>NC_000014.9:102338714-102641715 GCF_000001405.40 Homo sapiens
GATTTAATTCTATGAAGTCGTTTAATTCTTGCATGTGAATGTGCTTCTGGGGGTGTGTGCTGTTTGGGTGAAGTTTATTCTCTTGGCCCATTTCTTTTCAGGTTGCTGAGTCATTAGGAATCACAGAATTCCTACGGAAGAAAGAAATACACCCAGACAACCTTGGACCCAAGCACCTCAGCCGAGACATGGATGGGGAGCAGCTAGAGGGAGCTAGCAGCGAGAAGAGGGAACGTGAGGTGGGCATGGCTGAAGTGGGTGCCAGGTGACTGTGCACGGTGAATTAGCGTGGTTTGGCTTCTTCTGTTCACACCAGGAAGAGGAGGTAGCGGTTTGCCTATTCCTTCCTATTCTAGCTGATTGGGTCTTCTCTTCACAGGCTGCGGAGGAGGGACTGGCCTCAGTGAAAAGGCCCAGAAGAGAAGCCCTGTCCAACGATACCACTGAATCTCTTGCTGCCAACAGCAGAGGCCGGGAGAAGCCCAGGCCCTTGCATGCTTTGGCCGCTGGTGAGGGTAAAATGCTGTTTGTGGGGTGTATCCATGGCCTGGCAGCCCTGCTGACATGCACAGATGTACCCAGGATTGCCATTTTTCAGGTTGGGTGACCTGTGCTGGATTTAAGGGGACCCTCTGGTTTCTCAAGTTTCATTCCAGCCTCCCAGTGTTCTGTCATTCCAGATTCATTCCCTGCGAGTCTTGAGGTCTTCAGGGTTTTCTAGAGTGCCTTGTTAAAATGGAGAGCCACAGGCCAGGTGCAGTGGCTCACGCCTATAATCCCAGCACTTTGGGAGGCCGAGGTGGGCGGATCACCTGACGTCGGGAATTCGAGACCAGCCTGGCCAACATGGCAAAACCCCGTCTCTACTAAAAATACAAAAAAAACTAGCTGGGTGTGGTGGCGTGTGCCTGTAATCCCAGCTACTTCGGAGGCTGAGGCAGGAGAATTGCTTGAACCTGGGAGGCAGGAGGTTGCAGTGAGCCGAGATTGCACCACTGCACTCCAGCCTGGGTAACAGAGTGAGACTCCATCTCAAAAAAAAAAGGAGAGCCACCAAATGGTAGTAAACAGGCTATACCAGGAGGGTCCCAAGAGGTTAGGCTGAGACGGGTCCCAGGACACATCCATCTATGGCTTGGCTTTCATGAGACTTCGCTGTACATGCCAGCTGAGATTTAACATTTGAAAACAAGACAGGTCCTGGCTTTTATTCTGGCTCTAGCCAGAACCTATCAACTAGGCACTTAAAAAATTATATATATAAATTTTTTTTTTGAGACGGGAGTCGCACTTTGTCACCCAGGCTGGAGTGCAGTGGCACAATCTCGGCTCACTGCAACCTCTGCCTCCTGGGTTCAAGCAATTCTACTGACTCAGCCTCCCCAGTAGCTGGGATTACAGGCACCCGCCATCATGCCCGGCTAATTTTTTTTTGTATTTTTGTAGAGATGGGGTTTTACCATTTTGGTCAGGCTGGTCTGAAACTCCTGACTGCAGGTGATCTGCCCACCTCGGCCTCCCAAAGTGCTGGGATTACAGGCATGAGCCACTACGCCAGCCTTTTTTTTTTTTTTTGAGATGGAGTCTTGCTCTGTCACCCAGGCTGGAGTGCAATGGCATGATCTCTGCTCACTGCAACCTCTGCCTCCCAGGCTCAAGCAATTCTCCTGCCTCAGCCTCCTGAGTAGCTGGGATTACAGGCGCCCACCACCACATCTGGCTAATTTTTGTATTTTTAGTAGAGATAGGGTTTCCCCATGTTGGCCAGGCTGGTCTTGAACTCCTGACCTCAAATGATCTGCCCGCCTCAGCCTCCCATAGTGCTAGGATTACAGGCGTGAGCAGCCACCGTGCCCAGCCTGATGGTGATTCTTAATTGGGGCATGTGTTGGAACCACCTGGGGAGGTTATTGTGAAATACAGGGGCCTGGACCTCTGGGAATTCCAGGTCTGCAGGTAGGGTTGTTGGGAGGGTGTGGATGTGAGTATTTGGAAAGGCCTCTTTGGGTGATTCTCCAGCTCACTCTGATGAAGAATCACCAATCATTCATTCAGTATTGGCATAAAATCACTGTTGCTGGGTGTGGTGGCTCATGCCTGTAATCCCAGCACTTTGGGAGGCTGAGTCGGGTGGCTCACAAGGTGAGGAGTTTGAGACCAGCCTGACCTACATGGTGAAACCTTGTCTCTACTAAAAATACAAAAATTAGCTGGGCATGGTGGCGCATGCCTGTAATCCCAGCTATCAGGAGGCTAAGGCAGGAGAATTGCTTGAACCCAGGAGGTGGAGGCTGCAGTGAGCTGAAATCGTGCCACTGCACTCCAGCCTGGGTGACAGAGCGAGACTCCATCTCAAAAAAAAAAAAAAAAAAAAAGCACACTGTCGATTGGCTCTTAGAGCATATTTTTAATACAAAATCTGTCTTTGTGAATAGAGAATAGGGACGTATTTTTTAAAATTGCTACCAATCCCAAGGAGCAAGGAGCATCGATGCTTTGACTTTTCTGCAGGGCAGGTGACTTGGCCTAGCTGGTTTTGGGTGGTGAGTGCAGTGAGTGGGCCATGACACAGTACACGCCATGTTCACCTGTTTCCCAAAATGTTTAGGTTTTTCCCCTCCAGTAAATGTGACTGTCTCTCCCCGTTCTGAAGAAAGCCATACAACGACGGTTTCTGGTGGCAATGGGAGCGTGTTCCAGGCGGGCCCGCAGCTTCAGGCACTGGCTAACTTAGAAGCCAGGAGGGGGTCTATAGGTGCTGCTCTCTCATCCCGGGATGTCAGTGGGCTGCCTGTTTATGCTCAGTCAGGAGAGCCTAGGAGGCTGACCCAGGCACAGGTGGCAGCGTTTCCTGGAGAGAATGCTTTGGAACACTCTTCAGACCAGGACACCTGGGACAGCCTGAGGAGCCCGGGTTTCTGCAGCCCTTTGTCATCTGGTGGTGGAGCAGAGTCCCTGCCGCCTGGGGGGCCTGGACATGCAGAGGCAGGACACCTCGGCAAGGTTTGTGACTTCCACCTGAACCACCAGCAGCCCAGCCCCACCAGCGTCCTGCCTACAGAGGTGGCAGCCCCTCCGCTTGAGAAAATTTTGTCTGTGGATAGCGTGGCAGTGGACTGTGCCTACAGGACTGTGCCCAAGCCAGGGCCTCAGCCTGGCCCACATGGATCACTATTGACTGAAGGGTGTCTCAGAAGCCTTTCGGGGGACTTGAACCGGTTCCCCTGTGGGATGGAGGTGCACTCTGGCCAGAGAGAACTGGAGAGCGTGGTTGCTGTCGGCGAAGCCATGGCTTTTGAAATTTCCAATGGGAGCCATGAGTTACTGTCTCAGGGACAGAAGCAGATTTTTATTCAGACTTCCGATGGGCTTATCTTGTCCCCTCCAGGTACAATAGTGTCTCAGGAGGAGGACATTGTCACAGTGACTGATGCAGAGGGGCGTGCCTGCGGATGGGCCCGCTAGAAGGAGTTCCTCTAGAAGCTGTGGAGTCGGTCGTCACCGTGGAGCCAGAGCCCTCACAGTGAAGTGGAGTCAGATCCTAGATTCGTCTGATTTTATCCAGAGAAGGTCTATGGCAAGCAATGTATATTTTTCTAATGTGAATATTGCACAGATGAACCTTTTATTTATAAAGAATAATGTCTTTCTGCCCTGCTGTCTACATTTTTCTATGGAGCTTGTCATAATAATAGCAGATATTACCTGATCAGGAATCCCTGTGGCGCGTCTGACGCTCATGAGTTTTTCATGATGGTGATGAGTAGCACTGCACTGTCACCTGATGATTGGCCCTGCTCCGTTTCCCTTCTCTCCTGGGAGATATGCTGCTTTTCCACCAGACTTGCTCCATACTAGAAGCTTCTTTTGGGTTCAATTAAAAAGAAAATAAGCTAGTCATTCTGGGCAGCATTTTATTGATAGAAGGGGGAAAAAGTCATTTCTACTTGCATGATTTTTTAAATTAAATTAAATTAAATTAATTTAATTATTTTTGAGACCAAGTCTTACTCTGTAGCCCAAGCTGGAGTGCAGTGGCGCGATCTTGGCTCACTGCAACCTCTGCCGCCTGGGCTCAAGCGATTCTCGTGCCTCAGCCTCCTGAGTAGCTGTGACTACAGGAGCATGCCACCATGCCCAGCTAATTTTTTTTTTTTGTATTTTAGTAGATACGGGGTTTCACCATGTTGCCCAGGGTGGTCTCAAACTCTTGAGCTCAGGCAATCCGCCCACCTCAGCTTCCCAAAGTGCTGGGATTACAGTACAGGCATGAGCCACTGCACCTGGCCAATGATTTTTTTTTTTTTTTTTGAGATGGAGTTTTGGTCTTGTTGCCCAAGCTGGAGTGCAATGGCTCGATCTTGGCTCACCGCAACCTCCACCACAGGGTTCAAGCAATTCTCCTGCCTCAGCCTCCCAAGTAGCTGGGATTACAGGCATGTGCCATCACACCTGGATCATTTTGTATTTTTAGTAGAGACGGGGTATCTCCATGGTGGTCAGGCTGATCTTGAACTCCTGACCTCAGGTGATCTACGCGCCTCAGCATCCCAAAGTGCTGGGATTATAGGTGTGAGCCACTGCACTGGGCCTGATTGTTTTTTTTTGAGATGGAGTCTTGCTGTCGCCAGGCTGAAGTGCAATGGTGCAATCTCGGCTCACTGCACCCTCCGCTTCCTGGGTTCAAGTGATTCTCCTGCCTCAGCCTGCCGAGTAGCTGGGACTACAGGTGTCCGCCACCACACCCGGCTAATTTTTGTATTTTTAGTAGAGATGAGGTTTCACCATGTTGGCCAGGATGGTCTCGATCTCTTGACCTCGTGATCTGCCTGCCTCGGCCTCCCAAAGTGCTGGGATTACAGGCGTGAGCCACTGTGCCCGGCCCCGGCCTGATTTTTTTTTTTAGAGATGAGTTTTCACTCTGTTGCCCAGGCTGGAGTGCAGTGGTGCAATCATAGCTCATTGCAGCCTTTAACTCCCAGGCTTAAGCGATCCTCCTGCCTCGGCCTCCTGAGTAGCTGGGACTACAGGCGTGCGCCACGGTGCCTGGCTCTCCTCACATTTTACAGATGAGGAAGGTGAGGCATAAATGATGGGGTGACTTACTTGAGGTCCACAGCAAGATGCTGCTCAGGGTAGAAGCCCAGTTCTTTGATGTCCCACTTGGAAAGTCACTTAGTGGCATGTCTTCAATATTTCCGTGGGCTGTGTTACGGGGAAGGAAGGGAAGGGCCATTTGTCCACATGTGGAAGAAAGCATTCAAAGGGAGCAGCAGGTCTCTCCCCACGCCTTGCAGAGACGGTCAGGAGAGACCCCAAGCAGAGAGCACGCTGCTCAGGGACAGAGCTGGGCTTGTGACCATGTGTCGCCCTGGCGCTGTGCTCCTTCCAGGTCCTGCCCTGGAGGGCAGCTGTATTCTCAGAGAGCCAGCCTTTCCTACAGCCCTTTTAGTGACCAGGGGCATTTCCTACCCTCACTTGATCTCAAAGCCACGGTCGGTAGGAACAAAAAGGTGGGTTTTCTAGCAGGCTGGAAATGGCCAGCAGGGGAGCAAGCCGCGGCTGCCTGGGAGTGTTGGGTGGTCAGGTCAGGCTGTAGATGTATCCTGTAGACTCAAGGCCGCTTCTCAGGAGTCCAGAGTCCCATAAACCACCATGAGTGCCCTCCTGGGATCCTGGAGATGGAGACAAGAGCCCTGAGGATCATTCATAACCACTGTCAGGTAACTGACACAACATGCTGACTCGAGTATGACCATGGTCTGGATGAGGCCCTGGTAAATATACATTTATTTTCTATCTATAGGACACTAGTGAATATCCCAACACATCTTAGTTTCACCACTGTGTATGTGCTACTATGAATGGATGGTCAATGTAACTGATGTAAAAAAAACCTACAACAAATAAACCTTTGTTCCACCAGACAGAATTGAAGACACAGGAGGCTCTGAGAGCAGTGTCCTCATGAATCGGCCACGTGCCTGTCGAGTGCTGCTGTGTGCCAGGCACAGGACTGACGGCAGTGAGGGGGACTCATGGGCCCTACTCTTTGGGAGCCCTGTGCCTTATCCTCTCTTCCAGCTTGGCCTTTGCAGAGTTCCCCAATACAGCATAGAGACAGATGTATGCACAGCTTCCACATTACAACCCCCTTCTAATAGACGTAACCTAGGAGGCTGAGGCGGGAGGATCGCTTGAGCCCAGGTGTTCAAGACCAGCCTGGACAACTCCGTGAGACCCCATCTCTACTAAAAATTAAAAAAAAAAAATTAGCCCAGCATGGTAGTGCACACCTGTAGAGAAAAAGAAAGAAAAAAAGACAGACATAACCTTATTTATGAAAGAATGATAAATGGAAATTTCCTTTTCTCATGAAGAACTTTGTTTTGTATACATAGTACTTTTAATTTCAAATACTCAGATTAAGAGCAAGTGTGAAGAGACATTAGAGTACAGACCGGGGGACAAGGACACCCAAATGACTCCCAGGGGTGGCTGGCTGGGGCTTCAATGAGGACACGTGGTTTCAGCATTTGTCATGATCCCTGGCACCTGGTCCATGTTCAGTTATTATTACTAAAGGCAAAGAAAGAAAATTCCCTTGTGTTCCCTGGAAACCATGAGGATTCCTGTGGCTGCAACCCTGGTTGGGTACCCCTGGTCAGGCACCCACGGCACTGCAGCCCTGGCACCTCCCAAATGGTCACAGGAGTGGGGAGAGCTGAACCAGCAGGAAAGAAAGGAGCCAGGGCAGAGTGGATCTTTAATGCCCTCTGAGGCACTTTTTTTTTTTTTCCACAGGGCTTTGCTCTGTCACCCAGGCTGCAGTGCAGTGGTGCAGTCGTGGCTCACTGCAGCCTCAATGTCCCAGGCTCAGGTGATCCTACCTCAGCCTCCTGAGTAGTTGGGACCACAGGCATGCACCATGACACCTGGTTAGTTTTTTGTATTTTTTGTAGATGTTGCCCAGGCTGGTCTCAACCTCCTGGTAGGCTCAAGCAATCTGCTTGCCTCAGCCACCAAAGTGCTGGAATTACAGGTGTGAGCCCGTAATGACTCATGCCTAGCCAGGTCATATTATTATCATTATTATTATTTTTTGAGGTAGAGTCTCGCTGTCACCAGGCTGAAGTGCAGTGGCACGATCCCGGCTCACTGCAGCCTCTGCCTTCCGGGTTCAAGGGATTCTCCTGCCTCAGGCTCCTGAGTAGTTAGGATTACAGGCATGCAGCACCATGCCCGGCTAATTTTTGTATTTTTAGTAGAGATGGAGTTTCACCATGTTGGCCAGGATGGTCTTGAACTCCTGACCTCAGGTCATCCACCCACCTTGGCTTCCCAAAGTGCTGGGATTACAGGCATTGAGCTAGTGCGCCCAGCCTAATTTTTGTATTTTTAGTAGAGATGAGATTTCACCATGTTGGCCAGGCTGGTCTCAAACTCCTGACCTCAGGTGATCCACCCACCTCAGCCTCCCAAAGTGCTGGGATTACAGGCATGAGCCACTGCATCCAGCCGATAGTCAGATCTTAATAAATATAGCAAAGGCAGAGGAAAGAGAAATCCTAAGAAATGTTGCCTTTAAATGCTTTTGGCCAGGCACGGTGGCTCACACCTGTAATCCCAGCACTTGGGGAGGCCAAGGCGGGTGGGTCACCTGAGGTCAGTAGTTCAAGACCAGCCTGACCAACATGGTGAAACCCCATCTCACTGAAAATACGGTATTAGCTGAGTGTGGTGGCGCATGCCTGTAAAAATCAGCCAGGCATGGTGGCAGGTGCCTGTAATCCCAGCTACTTGGGAGGCTGAGCGGGGAGAATCGCTTGAACCCGGGAGGCGGAGGTTGTGATGAGCCGAGATTGCACCACTGCACTCCAGCCTGGGCAACAAGAGCGAGACTCTGTCTCAAAAAATAAATAAAGTTACAATAGTCTTAATAAACTTAGATAAATAGTATTTATAGTTAAATACTAAAATGACACAATTAAAAACTATACTTGGCCAGGTGCAGTGGCTCGCACCTATAATCCCAGCACTTTGGGAAGCCGAGGCAGGAGGATCACTTGAGGCCAGGAGTTCAAGGCAAGCCAGGGCAACATAGTAAGACCCCCATCTCTAAAAAGTAAAAATAAAAAAATTAGCCGGACGTGGTTATGCACACCTACAGTCCCAGCTACTCTGGAGGCTGAGGCAGGAGGATCACCTGAGCACAGGAGTTTGAGGTTGAGATTACAGTGAGCTACAATCATGCCACTGCATTCTAGCCTGGACAACAGAGCAAGACCCTGTATCTAAAAACACCAACAACATTATTGCTGGGCTGGGCAGTGCATGACTGTAGTCTCTGAGGAGACTAAGTAGGGAGGATCACTTGACCTCAGGAGTTTGACACTACTTGGGCCACATGGTAAGAGCCTATCTCATAAAAACCAAAAAACTAAAACTGCTGTTTATTAAGTATCACTCTATACACAGTCCCACAGAATATAAACAGTTTGGGATCAGAGAACTTACAAAAAGGCAAACGCAGATGTAGAAACCATGTAACAAGTAATGCCACAAAAAAGAGTTTAGGCTTTTGCAGGCTCGGCGCGGTGGCTCACGCCTGTAATCCTAGCATTTTGGGAGGGCGCGGTGGGTGGATCACGAGGTCAGGAGATGGAGACCATCTTGGCCAATGTGGTGAAACCCCGTCTCTACTAAAAATACAAACATTAGCTGGGTGTGGCGGCGCGTGCCTGTAGTCCCAACTACTCTGGAGGCTGAGGCATGAGAATCGCCTGAACCCAGGAGGCGGAGGTTGCAGTGAGCTTACATCGTGCCACTGCACACCAGCCTGGTGACAGAGCGAGACTCCATTAAAAAAAAAAAAAAAAGTAGGCTTTTGCATACCTTCACATTCTCCCCATGCCCTAGCTTTTGGCCAGTCTCTTCGGTCTGTTTCAAAACTGTCACCTTTCCCTCATTCTAACCTAGTATGTTAACTCTGGAAATGGCTGCAAACATTGTGAAACTCGAGGATTTGTGTCAGAAGAATGCCAGGGAAGGCAGTTTACATCGCTTGCCATGTCCCCAGTATGCAAACAGCGGCAATTTTTTTGTAGGTTATTTTCATTTTCATGATGTCAAACTTCATTTTAACTCCATGGGATCTTATTATTTAAGACGAAGTCTCACTCTGTCGCCCAGGCTGGAGTGCAATGGCTCACAGCAGCCTCTGCCTCCCGGTTCAAGCCATTCTCCTGCCTCAGCCTCTCAAGTAGCTGAGATTGCAGGCACGCGCCACCACGCCAGCTGATTTTTGTATTTTTAGTAGAGACAGGGTTTCATCATGTTGGTCAGGCTGGACTTGAATTCCGAACCTAAAGTGATCCGCCCACCTCGGCCTCCCAAAGTGCTGGGATTACAGGCATGAGCCACCGCACCTGGCCCAAAAACTAATATAGTCTCATAAAAACTTCAACAATCAGATAGGCATAAAGTAAAAATATTAAACCAGGGATTTTCTACACAAACATAATGTATAAAGCATGCCTAATTTATAGAAACTAGATCACTCACTCATTCTGCTCAGAAACTCATTGATTTTACTCTGAAGCACCCACGAATGACAGATTCCCAGGAGGGGCAGAGAAGGCTGAGCAGCACCACGTGGGGCTGGCCGCGGGTTGTGGGCATGAGCACGCCTGGAGAGGCCATGGGGCTGGTGACAAGCTCTGGCCAGAAGACCCCAAGGTCTGATCCTGGGGTCTGATCCAGGCCTGCGGCACTGGGTCCTAGGCAGACTGTCTGCCTGGTGAGACGTGGAAGGAGCCAGTGTCCGCAGCCGTCTCAGGACGTCAGAGAGCTCGGTGGCCTGTCTCCAGCAGCATGCTCTCCAGATGCAGCCTGCTGTCGCTCTCCACATAGGGCTGGTGCAGCCACATGGACAGGTAGCTCAGGGTGAGGTCGGGATCCCCGGTGTGGGCAAGCTCCTTGGCCACCGTGCGCTTCAGGAGCAGCTCCTTCCTGTACATCTCCAAGAGCTTATGCGAAACCTCATCTGAAAGAAACGTGAATCTCCCTTAATGGCAGTGATTCAAGAACATAGTGTCGACTTGGGAAGAACTACATTTTAACAGCTCTTGATTAAAAACCAGAATCAGCAACAGCACTGAGGGGAAGAAGGGCCCGATGGAGTTTACTACTCTAGCTGGTGCAGATTAGTACAATTTGATAACATGGTCAGCAGAGTGAAATAAAAAGTGTATACAAGCCGGGCGTGGTGGCCCACACCTGTAATCCCAGCACTTTGGGAGGCCCAAGTGGGTGGATCACCTGAGTTCAGGAGTTTGAGAACAGCCTAGCCATCGTGGCGAAAACCTGTCTCTACTAAAAAATACAAAAACTAGCCAGGTGTGGTGGCACGCACCTGTAATCTCAGCTACTTGGGAGGCTGAGGCACGAGAATCGCTTGTGCCTGGGAGGCGGAGGCTGTAGTGAGCCAAGATTGCACCACTACACTCCAGCAGGCGTGACAGAGCGAGACTCTGTCTCAAAAAAAGTATATATAACCTTTTCTACTTGACTCTTAGGTGACCTACAGTGATTATCAGTAGGAGATTCCCCTCAAACTGACAATATTTCACTAAACACATTCCACTAGGTGATTTTACCCTTTCCTGCCTTATTTAAAAAGTCTCAGGTCAACATCAAATAGCTTACCCTTGTCTTGAACTAATAAAAGCTAAAAGTAACCCTTTAAGAAGCGCCTCATAGAGTTTACTGAAGCCATGGGTTTCATTTTTCCCAGTCATCTTCCATGAGGTTGGCTGCAGTGACCCTCAATTTGTTTTTTAATTAAAACAAAAAACAAAAGAAAAACCTCAACAAACCAAAAAAACTCCTTTCTTCCTTTCCCCCCCTCAAAATGAGAGATATCTGCTTCCACAGAGGAGGTGGAATTCACTCTGCCCATTGGTTTTAGAGGCCTAATAACAGCAGCTTGCTTCACGGGTCTCTATGTTTCATATACTCTGCTGATAACCAGGTAATTAAAGCCAAGAAGAAATGTTTAAGATGCCTCTGTCTCCTTTCCTCCCGATACTTTTGCATTGAATTTGAAAGCCTTGTCAGCTTCTTAAAGTACCAGATGTAAACGATACTAAATGCCCTTAATAACCTTTACCCTCCTGAAAATCAACTGAGAAGGAACTACTTACAGAAATGGGTTGTAGGCCACGTGTGGAACAGAGGGGGTCGTTTACTCTCCTCCCCATAATGGTAGTTTTCTAGTTCACAAATTCCCTTGGTAGTTGAAGACAGCTTTTCCATTTTCACCTGTATTTTGGTCTGAAAGATATCCATTTGGAATATGATAATATTATTTGAAATCTCCAGTCTCAGATTTAATAACTCTAAGATTTCAAAGCTAAGAAGTGTAAGTCTATTATGATAAAAATTCCAATAACTAAACACTGTTAACTCTACGTACAGCAAATTCCCAGGGAGATGAAGGTGGACAGTTGCTATGATTTCATTAATTTGAATGACTTTGGTAATAAACCCCAGATTTCCAGTCCTAGAGCAAGAAAGGTTTCCGAGTGCCATTTCACTAGGATTTCCAAACAGCATTAATGTCTTAGACCCAAAGACCTGGAGGAATCCCAAGGCAGGCTCTTGCTGCCTTTTTTTTTTTTTCTTTTTTTTTTTGCGACAGGGTCTCATTCTGTGTGGCATGATCATGCCTTATGCAGCCTCAACCGCTGGCACCTCAGCCTCCCAAGTAGCTGGGATCACAGGTGTGCACCACCACACCCAGCTAATTTTTTTTAATTTGTGGAGACAGGGTCTCGTTATGTTGCCCAGGCTGGTCTCTAACTCCTGGGCTCCAGCAATCCTCCCGCCTCAGCCTCCCAAAGTGCTGGGATTATACAGGCATGCGCCACCGCGCCTGGCTGGCTCTTGCTGCTTTTAAGAAGTGAGAGAGAAAGGCATCAAATGAGCTCGTTTCTGATGCTCTCTCTCTCTCTCTTTTATCAAATGAGCTCGTTTCTGAGGCTCTCTGTCTCTCTATCAAATGAGCTCGTTTCTGATGTTCTCTCTCTCTCTCTTTTTTTTTTTTTTTTTTGAGACGGAGTCTTGCTCTGTTGCCAAGCTGGAGTGCAGTGCCAGGCTGGAGTGCAGTGGCGAGATCTCGGTTCACTACAACCTCTGATTCCCTGGTTCAAGCGATTCTCCTGCCTCAGCCTCCCAAGTAGCTGGGATTGCAGGCATGTGCCACCACGCCCAGCTAATTTGTGTATTTTTAGTAGAGACGGGGTTTCACCATGTTGGCCAGGCTGGTCTTGATCTCCTGAACTCGTGATCCGCCCACCTCGGCCGCCCAAAGTGCTGGGATTCTAGGCATGAGACACCGCACCAGGCCTGACTCTCTCTTATTAACTGCCTTTATTTACGGAAACCTCCTTGACTTCCTTGTTTATAAAATGGCAACACAGAAAGGGAGCCCTACACACTTCACGCAGAAAGGAAGGAAACGTGGCAAGCTGCCATTGACGGTCCCTCAGTGTGGACCAGGCTCTGTCCTAAGCCCTGTAACTGCATGATGTGTATGGCTACTTGTGGGAGACACTAAACCAACCCCACTGCACACACCAGGCAGCACAGAATAGGGGCAATGGCGGGCTTACTTTCACAGCTTGGTGAAGAGGATTAAGTGAGTTAGTATTTGTGAAGCACCTACTTGGAGATATATAAGGGTTGGATAAAGAAAATTAATGGGTGAAGTAACTAGGATTTCAGATTTAAGTAGCATAGGTCTATAAAGACCAAATTTTGAACTCCTAAGTATAGTTGACTTTACATACATAAATATGAAAAAGGGGAAATAAGAAAAGATATATAAATTGTCAAATATCTTAATTCCTTTACTTGGTCCTTCCAACCACCCTCCAATTACATTGGAAGTGGCAAGCACTAAATTCAGCTAACGTTAATTTTTAAAGGACTTTACTTAAGTAGTTTCCCAAATCTTTTAAGGTTTGATATTTTATTTGGCCCAACCCCAAGAGGCAGGACTTGTCATTTCCGTTTCACAGCTGGGAAATTGCTTAAGGTTGAGCTGAGGAAGGATGAGGCCAGAACTCGATACCATGCCTTCTGACACCAAGTTTTTTTGTTTTTGTTTTTGTTTTTGTTTTTTTTGAGACAGAGTCTCGCTTTGTCACCCAGGCTGGAGTGCAGTGGCGCGATCTCCGCTCACTGCAACCTCCGCCTCCCGGGTTCATGCCATTCTCCTGCCTCAGCCTCCCAAGTAGCTGGGACTACAGGCGCCCGCCACTGTGCCTGGCTAATTTTTTTGGTACTTTTAGCAGAGCTGGGGTTTCACTGTGTTAGCCAGGATGGTCTCGATCTCCTGACCTTGTGATCCGCCCACCTCAGCCTCCCAAAGTGTTGGGATTCCAGGCGTGAGCCACCGCGCCCAGCCGACACCAAGTTTTAACACCCAATCCTCTGCTCTTTCCTGTGAGTCCTGCAGCAGCTCCCTGGTGCCACCTGATTCTAAGAAAAGCTGATAACAGGAGACTAAGGAAAATTCTGGAGCCTTGACCCCAGGCAAGAAGTCATGCTCAATCCTGCAGCTCAGCCATCAATAAAGAATTCAAGTCACATAGGCACGTGCAGCCCTGAATGAACAGTGCATAAACAGCAGGCCCTTACATTTCAACATCGGTGGCTTCTTCCCACAGCAAACACAGACCACAGTGAAATGTTAGCCCAGCTTAGGAAGAACGGTGCATGAAACCCCCAGAAGGTCAAAGTTATGAAAGACACAGACCAGGTCTGGAAACCATTCTCTATAACGGATAGAGGAAAATAGGAAAAATAATAATACCCTATAAAATCAACTTTTGGTTTTGAACATAGAATGAGAACTTATTCCCAAACCACTTTTCTTTTTCTTTTTTTCTTTTTTTTGACACGGAGTCTCACTCTGTGGCCCAGACTGGAGTGCAGTGGCTTGATCTCGGCTAACTGCAACCTCCGAAAGTGATTCTCCCGCCTCAGCCTCCCAAGTAGCTGGGATTGCAGGCACCTGCCACCACCCCCAGCTAATTTTTTGTATTTTTAGTAGAGATGGGGTTTCACTATGTTGGCCATGCTGGTCTCAAACTCTTGACCTCAGGTGATCCACCTGCCTCGGCCTCCTAGAGTGCTGGGATTACAGGCATGAGCCACTGCGCCTGGCCAAAACAAAAATTAAAAAAAAACAAATAAAAATACAACAATTAGCTGGGTGTGGTGGCAGGCACCTGTAATCCCAGCTACTTGGGAAGCTGAGACAGGAGAATCACTTGAACCCAGGAGGCAGAGGTTGCAGTGGGCAGAGATCACCCCACTGCACTCCAGCCTGGGCAACAAGAGTGAAACTCCATCTCAAAAAAAAAAAAAATTAACAAATGGGAGGGAGGGAACAAATCTCCCACGCAGAATAATTCCAAATAATTTATGTAGATACTGCACCCTCAAGCAGGTGGTGAATACGTCCCTACCCCCAGGTGTGGGCTATGCATAGTGACTTCCTGCCAAAGAGCACAGCGTGGGAGGAGGAGAAAGAGCAACGTCACAGCAGAGGAACCTGGAAACACTGCCCAGCCAGGTGATCAAGGTCAACTTCAGCAGTGGAAAGTCCTGGCTGTGCACAGTGGCTCACGCCTGGAATCCCAGCACTTTGGGAGGCTGAGGTGGGAGCACTGCTTGAGCCCAGGAGTTTGAGACCAGCCCGGGCAATAGGTGGGACCCAAAGAAAAGTCCTGATGACAGTATATCCAGTACGTGCCCTTGATATGACATGATAGAAATGGCACTTTACTTCTGTGGTCCTCCTCTGAACAAAACCCGTAACCTCAGTCTAATTAGGAGAAAAACATCAGATAAATCTCATGATGTTCTACAAAATACCTGACCAGTATCCCTCAACATTGTCAAAGTCATCAAAAACAGGGAAGTCTGAGAAACTGTCACGGCCAAAAGGAGCCTGAGGAAACAAGGGGACTCGATGTCATACAGGATCCTGAAGCCAAAACAAGACATGACGGAAAAGCTAAGGCAGGGCGCCAGGGCTCACACCTGTGATCCCAGCACTTTGGGAGGCCAAGGTGGGAAGATCACTTCATGTCAGGAGTTCGAGACCAGCCTGGCCAACATGAGAACCCCGTCTGTACAAACGAATTTTAAAAATTAGCCGGGCATGATGGTTCATGCTTGTAGTCCCAGCTACTCGGGAGGCTGAGGCAAGAAGATCACTTAAGCCCAGGAAGTAAAGGCTGCAGTGAGCTGTGATCATACTACTGCATTCCACAGCGAGACCTTGTCTCCAAACAAACAAAAAGGTGAAAATATAAAGATCTTAAATGTTTATGGGTAAGCTTCAGTTATCCAAGTTCAAATATGTGTAAAACCTGATTTCCTGTGCCTAGCAAAGAAATAAGGTGGTGTTATCTTCACATCTGGTGGCCAGTATGGTAGGTATTGAAATTTAGTTATTAGTTCATTAAACAAACACTTTAGTCTCTTACGTGCTGTATCAGGGATGGGCAAACTATCCCTGGAACACAGGTCAATTCTGGCCCATAGCCTATTTCTGTATGGCCCATAAGCTAAGATGGTTTTTACATTTTTAAATGGTTGAAAATAACCAAAAGGACAATAGTGATTGTGACTCATAAAAATTATACAAAATTCTAATTTCGGTGTCCAAAGATAAAGATTTCCTGGACGAACATGGTGGCTCACGCCTGTAATCCCAACACTTTGGGAGGCTGAGGTGGGTGGATCACTTGAGGCCAGGACTTCGAGACCAGCCTGGCCAACATGGTGAAACCCCATCTCTACTAAAAATACAACAATTAGCTGGGCATGGTGGCGCACACCTGCGATCCCAGCTATGTGGAAGGTTGAGGCACAAGAATTGCTTGAACCCAGGAGGCGGAGGTTGCAGTGAGCCAAGATCTCGCCACTGCACTCCATCCAGCCTCAGTGGCAGAGTGAGGCCCTGTCTCAAAAAAAACAAAAACAAAAACAAAAAAGGCCAGGTGCGGTGACTCACGCCTGTAATCCCAGCAGTTTGGGAGGCCAAGGCAGGCTGATCACTTGAGGTCAGGAGTTCGAGACCAGCCTGGTCAACATGGTGAAATGCTGTCTCTACTAAAAATACAAAAATTAGCTCATGTGGTGGCACGAGCCTGTAATCCCAGCTACCTGGGAGGCTAAGGCAGCAGAATCACTTGTACCTGGGAGGCGGAGTTTGCAGTGAGCCAAGATCATGCTACTGTACTCCACCCTGGGTATCAGAATGAGACTCCATCTCAAAAAAAAAAAAAAAGAAAATCCAAAAAACAAAGATAAAGTTTTCATGGAATGCAGCCACATCCATTTACGCATATATTATCTATGGCTGTTTAGTCCTATGTGGCAGAGATGAGTAGCTGAGATAGAGACTGGCTGGCCCTGGAAGCCTAAAATATTTACTCTGTGGCTGGGCGTGGTAGCTCATGCCTGTAATCCCAGCCCTTTGGGAGGCCAGCAGGTGGATCACCTGAGGTCAGGAGTTTGAGATCAGCCTGACCAATATGGTGAAACCCTGTCTCAACTAAAAATGCAAAAATTAGCCAGGCATGGTGGCGGACGCCTGTAGTCCCAGCTACTCTGGAGGCTGAGACAGGAGAATCGCTTGAGCCCAGGAGGCGGAGTTTGCGGTGAGCCAAGATCACGCCATTGCACTCCAGCCTGGGCGACAAAGCAAGACTCCATATCATGGAAAAAAAAAAAAAATTTACTATGTGATGAGCCCTGAAAGTGGGTGACATTTCCCCGGATGACGCACAGGAGGAGTGAGTGTCTAAGACAGCATCTTGGGGAACATTAAGGTTTACGCAGCAGGCAGAGGAAGAGAACATCAGAGGAGACTGAGAAGGAGTAAGTGATGGCCAATGGTCAAGCAAACCCCAAATACGTCCATCGGATTCAGTGACAGTGACCACAAGTGGCCTGCGTCTTTATGTCTTACCAACCCATCCAAGGTGGCCTGCAGTTCCTCACACAGCTTCTCCAGTTCCTCGTTATATTCCAGACACACCTTTTCTTCATTTTCCTTCGAGGCTGGGCTGCTGCTGTCTAGTTCTATCTTGTCTTTATTCCTAAACAAAATAGAAAATAATGTGTACAAAATATACTCTTTAAGCTTGCCTTATTTCCTTATAATAAATTCTACAAACCTCTATATCCACATAGTTACGTGGGACATTTTGCATAAGCATTGTTCTTTCATATCATTATGATACAAATGCAGTTATTATTTATATGTGCAATGAATATGTCCATTGGTCACTCAATTTTGCACCAAAATAAGTCAGTTAAATTCAGCCATGTGACAGCCGGTTTTGGTGGCTCATGCCTGTAATCCCAACACTTTGAGGGATGGACGCGGGAGGACTGCTTGAGTCCAGGAGTCTGAGTCCAGCCTGGGCAACACAGTGAGACCTCATCTCCACAAAAATTAAAAGTAAAAATTAGCTGGGCATGGTGGGACACGTATGTGGTCCCAGCTACTTAGGAGGCTCAGGTGGGAGGATCACTTAAGCCCAGGAAGTCAAGGCTGCAGTGAGCCATTATAGCACCACTGCACTCAGCCTGCACAAAAGAGCAAGACTGTCTCAAAAAAAAAAAAAACACCATTCAGCGGTGTGGCATCCTTGGCATAGGGCATGGTGCTGGATGTACAAAGATGAATAAGACATGGATCATTTCCTCAAAGAGTTCACAATCCAGGAATATAGGCACGCCTCATTTTATTGTGCTTCACCTTATTCAGTTTCATAGATAATGCATTTTTTACAAATTGAAGGTTTGTGGCAACCCTCTGTATGTAGAGCAAGTCAATCAGCACCATTTTGCCAACAGCATGTGCTTACTTCATGTCTCTCTATCATATTTTGGTAATTCTTACAATATTTCAAACTTTTTCATTATTATGTCTATGATCTGTGATTGGTAATCTTTGATATTGCTAGTTTAATTGTTTTGAGGTGCCATGAACCATGTGCATATATAACGGCAAGCTTAATGAATGGATGTTGTGTGTTCTGACTGCTCCACTGACCGGCTGCTCCCCTTTCTCCCCATCTCCTTGGGCCTCCCTGTTCCCTGAAATAGGAGGATACTGAAATCAACCCAATTAATAGCCCTACATTGGCCTCTAAGTGTACAAGTGAAAGGAAGAGTTGCATATCTCTCATTTTAAATCAAAAGCTATACTTTGGCCAATTTAAGAAACAAAAAAATTAAAAGCTAGAAATGATTAAGCTTAGTGAGGAAGGCATGTCAAAAGCTCAGATAAGGGGCCAGGTGCGGTGGCTCACGCCTGTAATCCTAGCACTTTGGGAGGCCAAGGCGGGCAGATTGCCTGAGCTCAGGAATTCAAGACCAGCCTGGGCAACATGTGAAACTCCGTCTCTACTAAAATACAAAAGAAATTAGCTGGGCGTGGCGGTGTGCACCTGTAGTCCCAGCTACTTGGGAGGCAAAGGCAGGAGAATTGCTTGAACCCGGGAGGCAGAGGTTGCAGTGAGCCAAGATTGCACCATTGCACTCCAGCCTGAGCGACAGAGCGAGACTCCATCTCTACAAAAAAAAAAAAAAAAAAGCTAAGATAAGCTGAAAACCAGGCCTCTTGTGCCAAACAGTTGGCCAAGTTGTGAAGGCAAAGGAAAAGTTACTGAAGAAAATTAAAGGTGCTACTCCAGTGAACATGTGAATGATGAGTGAAACAGCCTTAGTGTGGATATGGAGAAAGTTTGAGTGGTCTGGATAGAAGATCAAACCAGACACAGCATTCCCTTAAGTCAAAGCCTAATCCACAGCAGGACCCTAACTCTCTTCAATTCTGTGAAGGCTGAGAGATATGAGGAAGTTACAGAAGAAAAGTTTGAGATAGCAGGATTTGGTTCATGAGGTTTAAGGACAAAAGCCATCTCCATAACATAAAAGTGCAAGGTGAAGCTGCAAGCGCTAATGTAGAAGCTGGAGCAAGTTATCCAGAAGATCTACTTAAGATCAGTGATGAAGGTGGCTACATGATACAACAGATTTTCAGTGTAGATGAAACAGCCTTCTATTAGAAGAACATGCCATCCAAGACATTCACAACTACAGAGAAGTCAATGACAGGCTTCAAAGCTTCAAGAGACAGGCTCACCCTCTTATTAGGGGATATTGCAGTTAGTGACTTTAAGTTGAATCCAATGCTCATTTACCATTCTCAAATTCCTAGGGCCCTTAAGAATGATGTTAAATCTACTCTGCCAGTGGAAAAAGCAAGAGAACCAGAACTGGAAGTGGGGTCTGAAGATGGAACTGAATTGCTGCAATCTCATGAGAAAACTTGAACAGATAAGGAATTGTTTCTTATGGATGAGCAAAGAAGGTGGTTTCTTGAGATGGAATCTATTCCTGGGAAAGACACTGTGCACACTGTTGAAATGACAACAAAAGATTGAGAATATTATATAACTTAGTTGATAAACCAGTGTGAGAGGTCTAATGTGGGTAAACACTATTAAACAGCAATGAGAAAGAACAGAACCAGAATAGTGGCTCTACATTACACGCATGGCTTCCATGTTGAAAGACAGTGAGACATGGCTGGGCGCAGTGGCTCATGCCTGTAATACCGGCATTTAGGGAGGCCAAGGTGGGCAGATCACTTGAGGTCAGGAGTTTGAGACTAGCCTGGCCAACATGGTGAAACTCTGTCTCTACTAAACATACAAAAATTAGCCGGGCATGGTGGCAGGTATCTGTAATTCTAGCTACTCAGGAGGCTGAGACAGGAGAACCACTTGAACCTGACAGGCAGAAGTTAGAGTGAGCCAAGATCACGCCATTGCACTCCAGCCTGGGGGATAGAGTGAGACTCGTCTCCAAAAATAAAAAATAAAAAATAGAAAAAGAAAGTGAGATATAAAGGAAACAATAACATATGTTTTTTGTTTACGTAAAATCCAAAAATGGATGAAAAGAATTCATGGTAGTTTTTTCCATATCAGCTAGGTAATGTGCCAACATCATAGCAAAGTTTGAGGAAGGCACAGGTCATACATGAGCATGAAAACCCAATCATTATGCCTATGAACTACAAAAGAATCAAAGAATCTGTGGTTTTAAAAATCAGAATAGCCAGGCACGGTGGCTCACACAGCACTTTGGGAGGCTGAGGCAGGTGGATCACGTAAGGTCAGGAGTTCGAGACCAGCCTAACATGGTGAAAGCCCGTCTCTACTAAAAATACAAAAATTATCTGGGTGTGGTGACGGGCGCCTGTAATCCCAGCTACTCCGGAGGCTGAGGTAGGAGAATTGCTTGAACCCAGGCGGTAGAGGTTGCAGTGAGCTGAGATCGCGCCATCACACTCCAGCCTAGGCAACAGAGTGAGACTTCATCTCCAAAAAAATAAATAAATAAATAACTAAATATATATATATATATATATATATATGGAATATAATTTTGTATTTAAAATGTACAATACAATTTATACTTACACGTATCATCTTACCACTTGCTTTTTTTGCTTAATATTTTATTTTAAAATTTATTCACATTATTTCCCCAGTTATTAAGGGTGAAAAACTTAGAGCATGAAAAACCAATATGTACTTACAATAAACTGATTTTCAAGTTGGCAATATTATTTGCAGTGGTAAAACCTGCATCATTGAGGGTTTCCCACTTCAGGATTAAATTGTGCCAATCAGCCGCATTGTCCTTAATTTTTCTTGCACTGACAGATAAGACAGGTTTTCTGGGCGTTACAGTTCCAAGAGTCTTTGCTGATAGGGTATAAAAGAAACAAAATTATTATCATGGAATATACAATCATAGTTGGAGGGCAAATGTCCTTATAATTTTCAACAGTAAAACTATCTGAAATGCTGTATCAACTGGACAAATAAATGTGGAAACTACAAAGTCTGAATGAATGTGAAAGTTCCTGGAAGAAGACAATATAGAATATTTTTAACATTTTAAAATTCACCAGATAGAGCTGAATCCTCTTCCAGCTTAATGGCTCCACAAAGTTTTTACCTTAAGCCCTTTGTTTTCCAAAGATTGGAAATAAGGTAAAGTTGTGACTGTCTGCTAAAACTCTTCAATGGCTCACGTTCCCTTCCCTACAGGATAATCTAGCCCTGACTCCCGAGTACTTCCACTATCTAGTCTCAGGCACTCTGATACTTTAAATTTGCTCAGAGTAGCGTGGCCCATGAGTGCTAATCATTTCAAGACACTGAGACAACAGAGATGCAGAGTTGATCACGATGCTGCCACTGCCCTTCTTGGTAATCAGGAGGAAGTCCAAAATCCTTCCAGACCTAGCTACCCCTCCACATCATCACGTACATCAACCCACACCTTGGCCCCCCGTCAATATCCAGCGAAAATGAACTACTGGCAGCTCTTGAAAAGCTGAGGTGCCTGCAGGCCTTTACACGTGTTCTCTCTGCAGGAAAGCTCCTTCCTTCCTCAGGCTCACGATGCCCATCCTCCAAGATGCACCCGGATCCCACTGCCTGTAGGAAGCAACCCCCAGACCACCAAGAGCCAACTCAGGTTGTTTGTTCTCCCCGAACCCTCCTGTGCCCTCTTGCCTTCTCTACTTTGAACCCCACAAAGGCTTCTCACTGCCCACAGGATAAAGTCCTCTTGAGGAATCCAGGACACACAACAGCTGGATGGTTTGATGCCTCAAGTCAGAAGACCACACTGCCTGCGTCTGAACCCCAGCTCGCCAGCTGTGAGATCTTGGGCAACTTAATGTACCTTTCAGAGCCTCAACATTTTCATCTGTAAAATGGGAATAAAAATAGTATCTATTTCATAGGATTGCTGAGATTAGATAATATATGTGAAGCTGTGAGGCCTCGCACAAGGCAAAAACCCAGTATCTCACCTGTTAGCTCAAGGGCCTCTACTATCCAAGCTCTGCCCACCACTTCAGCTTCTACCCTTTCCCACTTGCCCTCTGTGCATCAGAGCTGGCTCTGTACAAGTTCTGACTTTGACCTGGAATATTTTTCCTATCTGTGTGTGTCCCCACTCCCCTGCCTCATACTTAGTATCCTCACTTTAAAATATCATCTTGATTTATCATTCATTCTTTACTTAAACAACAAATATTTGCTTACTGCCTACAATACGCCAGGCATGGGGGAATGAAGTGATTGAATGAGACGGACCAGGACCGTTTTCATGGAACTTACTTTCCAAAGGGGAGGCAGATAATAAACAAATGACCACGATCAGTTCAGATCATGATTAAGTGTGTGTGGAAAATAAAACAGGGTCTTGTGTTAGTGTGATCCCCTGAGAAGGTGTCGTTTAGGCTGAGATTTGAATGATGAAAAGCCAGAAATAGGGTAGGTCAGTAGTATGTGCCCTAATTATGATAATGAGGTTGGTGAGTTCAAAAAACAGAAAACAAAACAAAACAAACAAGCAAACAAAAAAACCAGTGTGCTGGAATGAAATAGACAGAAAAGGACTAGTGCGTGAGTAGGTGATCAGACAACTAGAACCTAATAGGCCAAGATAAGAAGTTGGACCGAGGGCAGTGGCTCACGCCTGTAATCCCAGCACTTCAGGAGGCCAAGGCGGGCGGATCACGAGGTCAGGAGATCGAGACCATCCTGGCTAACACAGTGAAACCTCATCTCTACTAAAAAAATACAAAAAATCAGCCGGGCGTGGTGGCGGGCGCCTGTAGTCCCAGCTACTCAGGAGGCTGAGGCAGGAGAATGGCGTGAACCCGGGAGGCGGAACTTGCAGTGAGCCCAGATCGCGCCACTGCACTCCAGCCTGGGTGACAGAGCGAGACTCCGTCTCAAAAACAAAACAAAACAAAACAAAACAAAACAAAATAAAAAAATGAAGTTTGGACTTCTAAGTATTAGCTTGGTGCAAAAGTAACAGATTTTGCCATTACTTTTAACAGCCAAAATTGCCATTACTTTTGCACCAACCTAATACAATGGGGAGTGAGCAATGAGCTCTGGATAGGGCAGTGAAATTATCTGATTTAGGTTTTTAGAAAGTCATTTCCACAGAGAAGTATTCCTGGATCCCCCAGGTTGGGTTACGACTCACCACTAGATATGTGGTACACCCTATAATTCTGCTATCATGATATTCACCAGTGGAGTGTATTTGCTTGTTTAATGTCTATATTCCCTGCTAAACTGGAAATTCGACTAGGGTAGGAACTATGTCTCGTTCTCTTTCAAACCTTCCACACATAGGAGGCTTTGCATAAAATGAGGTAAATGGAGGAATAGCTCTTACCACCTGTTCTATAATTGTCTAAGGGTTTTCCCCCCAACAGGAGATTCTGAGGGCAGGATCACATCTGATTCATGGTCAGCCTGACTCATACGGGGCACATATTTAGGAACCAAAAACATAACTGACTTCAAGAAACTCAAGGGCTGGTAAAGACAGACCAGTCATCAGCGTCACAGGACAGGGTAGGGTGAGGGCACAGTGGCTAAGTTACTTATCCCCTCTGAGCCTCGATTCCCCATCTGCAAAATGGGGTTGACATTACTTCATGGGACCACTGTGAGGTTCAAATGAGATGATCCACTTAAAGTGCTTGGAGCAGTACTCAGCAAACTGAGCACTAGGCGAAAGCCAGCTTTCATTACAAGCAGAATGTTCTGACTGAGGGCAGTTCAGAGAGGAGTTTCTGGACGAGATGAGCATGCAAGGCTTGGTACCCAGTGAACTCTGTTAGTACTAATTTATAGTGACAATAATTACAATTTGGATGTCGGATCTGCTGACACTCATTTGCGTATATCGTCCCGTTCATCTGTCACTGCACATGTGAAAAAACGGAGGCTCGGCAAAACTGTCTCCCGAGCAGCTCGCAGAGGCTGCGAGGGGCCTGCGGGCTAGGCTGGGGTAAGACAGAGGACCTCCATTTAACCTCATGTAATCCGGGGAGCTCCTGAGCTTCTGGTCCAACCTGCGGCCTAAGCAGTAACATTCACAGCCACCCCACCCCGGGAAAGGAACCGATCTCACGCACCTTCCATAAGGTCCACAGATATCCGTAGAAGGAGACGCGAAGCCCCGCCCACCCCACCGGAAACGCATTTGCGTCACGTCCGCCCCGCCCGCTGCCACTTGTGGCTCTGCCGCTCTAGCCCCCGGCGGAGCCAGCTGCTGCTCTTCGGTGCTGGCCCCGGTGCCGGCCCCGTTGCCCAGGGAACAGGCTCCCGGCAGCCCCCGCGGCCCGGAGTCCATCCCGCCTCCTCCGGCCCGGCGGGGCCGACGAGTCCGGAGGGGCTGCCGCGGGAGGTGAGTCCGGCGACGCCGCAAGCGGCCCCGACGCCCCCGACGCCCCCGACGCCTGGCCCCGAGCCCCTCCTCGGCCTCCCCCGGGCCACTCTTCCCTTGCCTCAGCCCCGCAGGGTCTCCATGCCCGTCCGCCCCGTCTCCCTCGCCCGCGGTCTCGCCCGCGCGGAGTGGCGGACACTAAATGCCACAACACACGGAGCGCCTGGCTCGCCGCCCGCAGAATCCGGCGGTCCGCAGCGGGGAACAGGGGCCGCCCGCCCCTCCTCAGGCCTCCGCTGCGCGTCCCGCGCCCTCGGCCCCCGGCCCCACCCTGCATCCCGGCTGCCGGTCTGGCCGCGGGCTCTGCTCCTTCGCCTTAAGATTGACGTCGTGTTCTGTCCCCCACTCGCAGCCCGCGTCCCTTACATCCGCCCACCGGCGCCTGGCCCCAGGCCTTGACACTCATCCAGTTGGTGTTCAGTGTTCGATGAGTGGATAAGTGAATGACTCCTTTCCCAATCCTATTTGAAGGCATGGGAGGCAGAATAGGTAGTAAGTGTTAAAGGATGGGGTGTCCTGGAGTCAGAGCCGGGCAGGTCCCAGCGGCCCCTTCCTAGCTCTGTGCTGGGGCAAGTGCCCTACCTCACTCCGCTCCAGTTTCATCACCAGTGGAATGGAGATGAGAATAGTTTCTACCTCTGGCTTGGTAAGAGGATTAAATGGGTCAGTGCATGTAAAGTTAAGCACGGTGCCTGCCGCTGTACATTTCAGTAAAGGGGAGCCCCTGCTGTCATCTGTGCTAGCCTGCGTTCTCGCCCTCTAGTCCCTTCTGATATGTCTCTGACTTCTCATGACTTTAGTTTCTCCTTCTCTACCTCCATTTCTCTTCCCTGCACTTTTTTCTTCCTCTCTTATTGGGATTCAGGAATTTTATTCTGTTCTGTGACTTATGTTCCATGTGTTGGCAGAATGTGGGATACCAGCCTGGGTGCATCCTTTTCTCATCTATTGGAGTGACCAGTTGCACTTGTGGACTGCCTCCTTGCAGCCAAGGTCTTGTAGACAGAGTTCTGGGAAATCTCAAAACGCAAATCCCAGGCATAGGTAGAATCTGGGAATGAAGCCACTGTAGCTCCTTGTGATCACCAGCGATTCCTGGTCTTTTAGGCTGCAGGACTTTGTGTTTTCTCACACCCAGCTATAATGTACCTTGATAAACCTCTGACCTTATTTTTGTTGTTGTTGTTGTTAACCTGACTTACGTCCCATATTGGTGGTTATTTGGCCATCGTGTGCCAGCACTGTGCCAGGCTGGCTCTAGGGATGCTGTGGTGAACCAGACAGACCCTTCCTGAGGTCACTGCCTCAGAAAGATCATGGTCTGGCCCATGAACTTTAAAAGGGAGAACTAAGTGCAGGTGTAGGGGACACACAAATTGAATTTTCAGGACTGCCTTGGAAAACCAGTGGTGGGGAAGATGGAATGAGGATAACCCTCTTCTGAAGGAGTGACTAGGAAGTAGCTTTTGTTAGGCATCAGCTATATTATACCCACGTGTCTTTTTCAATAGAAGACTGGCATCTACTGGATTTTTTTTTCCAATTTTTTCTTAAAGAAGTTACACTTAAGTTTGGGGAGAATTTCATTTCATATTAGCCGCTGTAGGAGTTGAAAAAAATGGCTACTGGAACTTAGTGGGAAGAAAAGGAAGGAAACAGGCATCAGGCAGAGGCAGTTGATTGAACTTGGGAAGATGAGGAATAGATCAGGAAAGGGTTATAATGAAAAGCTTTGGTGTCAAGCACGAAGAGATTTCTAGATTCAGTAATGCACAGAGAGATCAGTAAAATTAGAAGGGAGTAGTTGATGGCTTTGCGAATTGCTAAGGTAGAAGGGAGCTGTTACTCAAGATGCATGTTCAATTTAAAATGAATGTATTCTTTGGACCTGGACATAAGAGTTCTATTGACTTTTTGCCACTATTTTATATTTAGGGCTGTCATACTTGGGTGAATCTAGCACAGTGCTTTGAGAGAGAGATTCATTCAACAAACGTGTATTGAGCATTGATTGTACCATACTCTTTATTGGTCTTTTAAAGCACCACAAAGTATACAGACTAGAAGAACATAGGTGAAGATGAGAAAGAGTCCATTGAAGGGGAGAGAAAACAGATAATGATGGTGCTGTGCGATAACTGCCATCATGGAGTTCTGTGAAAGCAGAGAAAGACCAACCAAGTATCTGAGGGAATTTATGAAGGCTTCCTGGTGGCGGAGGACTAGTTCTTACAGGGCACATGTGGGGGAATAGGGAAGAGTGGAAAGGGACTTTGTTCTGCAGAGACATACAGGTTATGGTGTGTGCAGGGACTGTGATGGAAAGCTGATGGATGCACAAACAAAACGTGGCCTGTCTACACAATGGAAGGCTGTTCAGCAATAAAAAGGAACGAAGTACTGATTTGTGCTACAACATGGAGGAACCTTGAGAACATTAGGCTAAGTGAAAGCAACCAGACACAAAATACCACATATTATATGATTCAATTTTGATGAAATCTCCAGAATAGGCGAACTGTAGACAGAGAGGAGATCAGTGGTTGCCCAGGGCTGAGAGAAGAAGCGTGTAGAGGGGTGATTGCTAAAGGGTAGGGAGTGCACAGTGTGTGGATGGAAGAGTGGCCTGAGATGAAGTTAGATATAGACTGTTTTGTCATAGTGTCTAATTTCCATGCTTGTGTTAGGCTTTAGCTTGTGACCATTGGGTAGCCAATGGGGATGGGAGCAAGGAAGTGACAAAATTTTGTCTGGAAGATAAATGACTGCCTCAGTCTCATTACGTTCCTCCTTAATAATTTAATACTCAAATAATTAATAGATGTCGTAGCCAGATTTCAAACATAGATTCTACAATAGGGATACAAATTGTTGCTTCCTAGGGATTTTGGAGAGAATCCTGAAACCATTAGTGTACCCAGAGCACTCTGATAACATGGTTATTGTACAGCGAAGTGGATGACTTAGACTCTATATTAGTCCTAGCTCCAGTTTGAGAAATCATCCATCTGGGTGGCAGTTGGGTGTTAGTAGTCAGCAGTGAAGGCTAGCTGCCACCTTCCAGGGTTATGAGATTGACAGGGCTAGTGGGGAAAGGAAGCATCGTAACTTGAAGGATGCCATAGGGTGGTGTTTTGTATTTTTTTAACTGAAATAGTCATGACTAAGGAAGCATTATTCATTATATTTTTATTTATTTATTTATTTTTGAGATGAAATATCACTCTGTCACCCAGGCTGGAGTGCAGTGGCACGATCTTGGTTCACTGCAGCCTCCACCTCCCAGGTTCAAGTGATTCTCCTGCCTCAGCCTCCCAAGTAGCTGGGATTACAGGTGTGCGCCACCACACCTGGCTAATTTTTGTATTTTTTAGTAGAGATGGGTTTCGCCATGTTGGCCAGACTGGTCTCGAACTCCTGGCCTCAAGCAATCCTCCCACCTCGGCCTCCCAAAGTGCTGGGATTACAGGCGTGAGCCATCATGCCCAGCCCAATTTTAAAAATTGGATTGAGACTATTGTTTTGCAGTAAGACCTGAAGTTAACAAATCTTTACTGAGCATCTACTCTGTGCCAAAGCTATTATTAGATACTAGGATTTACCTTGGTAAGCAAGAGAGAATTCATGTTGCTTACATTCTTGTAGGAGAGATGATTTTTAAATGGTTTAGCAAATAAAGCAATTAGAGGTTGTAATGAGGATTATGAAGCACATATGATAGAGGAAAGAAGGGACAGTTGGGTACTCTTGAGTGATCTGGTCAGAGAAGGCCTTTCTGTGGTGGTGATATTTAAGCTGAGACCCCACAGTTGAGAAGAAGCCAGATAAATGGAGTGAGATCATTTATTCTGCATAGAGGAAATAATTATGACACCTGAGTGGGACAGAGTGGGTCAGTGGAGCTAGAACTTGGAGGACAAGTGGAGACGGGTAGAGAGGTGACAGGGGAGCTGCAAAGGGCTTAGACCACACGGGGCATTTGGTTTTTATTCTTAGAGCACTGGGCAACCAGTGAGGAGTTTTGAGTAGAATGGGTAGTATGGTCTGATTTCTCTTTGAAGGAGCTGATATTTTCCTTTGTTTTTTGGGGGGTAACAGCTTTATTGAGATATAATTTACATGCCACACAGTTCACCCATTTATATACAATTCAATGGTTTTTACTGTATTCACAGCTATGCAACCGTCACTACGTCAATTTTAGAACTTTCTCATCACCCTAAAAGGAAACTCCGTACCCTTCAGCAATACACCCTAACCCCTTCTTCTCCCAGCCCTGGGCAACCACTGACCTACTCTGCCTACAGCTTGCCTATTCTAGACATTTTGTATACATGGAATCATATAATATATGGTGTTTTGTGCCTGGTTGCTTTCACTTAGCATAATATTCTCAGGATTCCTCCGTGTTGTAGCATGAATCAGTACTTCATTCCTTTTTATTGCTGAACAGGCTTCCATTGTGTGGATAGATCACATTTTGTTTGTCCATTCATCAGTTGATGGACAGTTAGGTTGTTTTGACATTTTGGCTATTATGAGTGGTGATATTATGAACATTTATCTACAAATTCTTTGTAGATATGTTATCATTTCTATTGGGCATAAACCTAGGAATAGAACTTCTGGGTCACATGGTAACTCTGTAACCTTTTGAAGAACTGCCCACTGGTGGCTGCACCATTTTATTTTTCACCAGCAATGTATACAGTTTTTTCCACATCCTTGCTAACACTTGTTCATACCCTAGTGGGTATGAAGTGGTATCTCCTTGTGGTTTCGATTTGCATTTCCCTGATGAGTAATGGTGCTGAACATCTTTTTATGTGCTTATTGGCCTTTTTTTTTTTTTTTTTTTTTTTTTTTTTTGGAAATAAAGTCTCGCTCTGTTGCCCAGGCTGGAGTGCAGTGGTGCGATCTTGGCTCACTACAACCTCCACCTCTCGGGTTCAGGTGATTCTTGTTCCTTCGGCCTCCTGAGTAGCTGGGATTACAGATGTGCGCCACTATGCCCACCTAATTTTTGTGTTTTTGGTAGAGACAGGGTTTCACCATGTTGGCCAGGCTGGTCTTGAACTCCCAACCTCAGGTGATCCACCTGCGTTGGCCTCCCAAAGTGCTGGGATTACAGATGTGAGCCACCGTGCCTGGCCTTACTGGGCATTTGTGTGTCTTCTTTGGAGAAATGTTTCTTAGACTTTGCCCATTGTAAAATTGTCTTTTGTTGTTGTTTTGAGATGAAGTCTTGCTGTGTTGATCAGGCTGGTCTCAAATTCCTGGGTTCAATCGATCTTCCCACCCCAGCCTCCCAAGTAGCTGAGACTATAGCCACGTGCCACTGCACCCAGCTTTTAAAATTGTCTTTTTATTATTGAGTTATAAGAGCTCTTTATATATTCTGGGTAAAATCTCTTTATCAGATATATAACCAGGAGATATTTTCTTCCATTTTGTGGGTTTTTTTTTTTTATTTTTGTCGGTGGTGTGGATTAGATGTATTTTTACTTTCTTGATGGTGCCCTTTGGAGCACAAGCGTTTTTCATTTCAGTGAAGTCAAAGAGCTAATTTTGATGGCTGAATGAGCCTGGCTTCTGGGGGCAGGTGTGGAAGACCATGGCAGCAGTGTAGGCGAGGGATATGATAGCTTGTACTGTGGCATGGCCACAGAGTTGGTGAGGAGGCGCCAGGCTTGAGGGAGGCTTGGAGATAGGGCTGATGGACTGAGTTGAGAGATTGTTGTACGGGTGAGGGAAACAGAGGAATTGAGGGTGAATACTAGGATTTCAGCTTGAACAACACTTTTGATTCAAAATGTGATTATGCTGTTACCTGCCGGACAATTGTGACAGTTTCTAATACCTGCTGGAGCCTAGCAAGGGCAGCCCTGCGCTCCCTCCCTGGGTTCTGAAGTTGCTTTTGGTAGGATTATCACTGAGTGTGCCAAGGAGATGGTCAGGGATTCTGACCTTTTGTAATACCCACTAAGACCTCCTAAGCCACCACAAATAAACATATTATCTGAGTAGAATAGTGCACTTGCTCTGCAAATGCACTTTTGAGGCAAATCTCTTGACTCCCTTCTAGCTAGACTGCAGTCTCAAAGCCCTTCTTGTGTAGAGCCTGCGAGCTGTCAGTGGATAGCATCAAATCAAGCGGATGGATTCTTGAAAGCTAAATGTCATCATTTGACAGAGCTACTATGAGGAAAAATATTTTTATTTTTAAAAAAGTTTTATTGATCGATTGATTTGAGATGGGGTCTTGCTCTGTCACCTAGGCTGGAGTGCAGTGGCTTGATCATGGCTCACTGCAGCCTCGAACTCCCGGGCTCAATGGATCCTCCAGGTTCAGTCGATCCTCCGGGCTCAATTGATTCTTGTGCCTCAGCCTCCTGAGTAGATGGTACTACAGGCACGCACCACCACACCTGGCTACTTTTTTGTATTTTTTGTAGAGACAGAGTTTTGTCATGTTGCCCAGGCTGATGTCAAACCCCTGGGCTCGGCCAAGTGCAGTGGCTCACGCCTGTAATCCCAGCACTTTGGGAGGCCGAGGCGGGTGGATCACAAGATCAGGAGATTGAGACCATCCTGGCTAACACGGTGAAACCCCGTCTCTACTAAAAAAAACAAAAAAACAAAAAAACAAAAAATTAGCCAGGCGTGGTGGCAGGTGCCTGTAGTCCCAGCTACTCAGGAGGCTGAGGCAGAATGGCATGAACCCGGGAGGCGGAGCTTGCAGTGAGCCGAGATCGCATCACTGTACTCCAGCCTGGGCGACAGAGTGAGACTCTGTCTCAAAAAAATAAATAAACAAACAAGCAAACAAACAAACCCTTGGGCTCAAGTGATCTGCCCACCTCAACCTCCCAAAGTACTGGGATTACAGATGTGAGCCACTGTGCCTGGCTGAGGAATAACTTTTTTTTTTTTGAGACAGAGTTTCGCTCTTGTTGCCCAGGCTGGAGTGCAATGGCACAATCTTGGTTCACTGGAACCTCTGCCTCCTGGGTTCAAGCGATTCTCCTGCCTCAGCCTCCTGAGTAGCTGAGATTACGGGCACCTCCCACCATGCCCAGCTAATTTTTGTGTTTTAATAGAGATGAGGTTTCACCAAGTTGGTCATGCTGGTCTCAAACTCCTGACCTCAGGTGATCCACCCACCTCAGGCTCCCAAAGTGCTGGGATTACACGCGTGAACCACCACACCCGGCCGGTAATAAGATTTTTAAAGGAGGAAATAACATTAGGCAATACTTACTGGTGAAGAGCTCAGTACTTCCGCTTGCTTGCTAGGAGATCTCATGAGCTAAAGCAGATACGAAAGTGCCTGCCAGAGATAGGGAGTAGAAGGTGTGAAGGCCAGGACGTGAGAGGCCAGGCCTGTTGTAATTAGAAGCAATTCAGTGTGGCTGGAGGACAAGTGAGAGATCCTCGGGTGGCAGAGGCCAGATCACCAAGGTTCTTGTAAGCCAGCAACACTTGGGCTTTAGCAGGAGGAAGATGGGGACCACTGCAGAGTGTTAAGCAAGGGAGTGATGACATCAGCTTTGCACATCAGGAAAATCCCTCTGTTTGCCACGTGGATGACGGGGAGGGAGAGGCGGGCAGATGAGCTGGGCACCAGAGAGAGCTGCAGGTGAGAGGTAATGGTGGCCCGAGCTAGGGGTGACACACTGAGGTGTGTGGGAGATGTACTGAATGGAGAATCGGGGACATGGAGAGGAGAGGAGGAGGGATCAGGGATGATGCTCCTTTTCTGGCTTGGTCAGCATGGCCCAGGCAACTGGTAGAAGATACAAGATAGGTAAGTGTCTTTGACATTGTTCATTTACTCTGTGTTTATAGCTAGGATGTAAGTTTTACTAATCCCATTTCAGATGGTAATTGGAGATCTAGAGAGGTTGAGCAGTTATTCCAGGGTGCCTCAGGTAGTTTTAGGAGCATTGGGATTTGAACTTGGGTCTTTTTCACTTCAGTATCATTAGCCACTCATTGTGCAGTTCTTCCTCGGTGGAAAGAGGGTCAGTTCTGTGGCTGTGGGTCTGAGACCTGGGGGTTGGGTGAGGTGGAACATGGAGTTGGGTGAACATTGGGTAAGGAGGAGGAGCAGAAAGTCTTAGCAGAAATGTTTGCTGTGTCTGCATTGTTTTTCCCAAACCTAGCGCAGGACAGTGAGACAGCGGCTCTATGCCTTTTCCTCAGCCCGTCCTAGACACTGTTTCTGCCAGGAGGACAGTTTTGCTGGGAGTTGGCCTCAACCTGCTCCTCCTATCTGAATGGTGGGTGAAGGACAGACAAGCCTGGTGCTAAGCTCATCCAGAGGCCCCCAGATAGGGAAATAGCATGGATTCTCTTCTGCCCGCTGGGGACTTCTTGGGCACCTGGCCCCCAGGCATGGCTGTCCTGACTCATCTGGGTGCTATGGCTTACGGGCCTCTAGATATCCTTTGGAAAAACGTGTGAGGCATAAATTGATATGAACATTCTTCAAGGCAGTTTGGCAATACATTTTTTTTTAATTCAACATTTCCACCTCTTGCAGTGTACTCCAAGAATATACTTGGATATATTTCTGTTGTTTTTGATGGCAAAATTAAAATCTTTTGGTTGAGAAAATTTTGGTTTATCCATACAGTGTGTTCTCTGCAGTTTTTCTGTATAGTCACTAAAAATCACATTCTAGGGGAATATTTAATGACATGGAAAATACTCATGATTTATTAAGTGAAAAAGTCTGTGTGTGTGCATATATGTTTATATACATATATCTGTAGCTATCTGTGTACATGGCATATCTCAGTATGATGAGATTGTGACTTTTCTTTACTTCTTTGTCCTTTTATTTTGAGATAGGGTCTCACTCTGTCACCCAGGCTGGAGTACAGTGGTATAATCAGCTCACTGCAGCCTTGATCTCCTGGGCTCAAGCGATTCTCTGTGTACCACCACACCTGGCTAATTTTTGTATTTTTTGCAGAGTCAGGATCTTGCCATGTTTCCCAGGCTGGTCTCAAATTTCTGGCCTCAAGTGATCTACCCACCTTGGCCTCCCAAAGTGCTAGGATTACAGGTGTGACCTACTGCACCCAGCTGCCTTTGTACTTTTCTTTTCTTTTTTTTTTTTGAGATTGAGTTTCACTCTTGTTGCCCAGGCTGGAGTGCAATGGCACAATCTTGGCTCACCACAACCTCTGCCTTCTGGGTTCAAGCGATTCTCCTGCCTCAGCCTCCCAAGTGGCTGGGATTACAGGCATGCGCCACCACGCCCAGGTAATTTTGTATTTTTAGTAGAGATGGGGTTTTTCCATGTTGGTCAGGCTGGTTTTGAACTCCCAACCTCAGGTGATCCGCCCTGACTCAGTCTCCTGAAGTGCTGGGGTTTACAGGTGTGAGACACCGCGCCCAGCCTTCTTTGTGCTTTTCTATATTAACAAATTTTTGAGGCCGGGCATGGTGGTTCATACCTGTAATCCCAGCAAGTCTGGGCGTGGTAGCTCAAGCCTGTAATCCTAGCACTTTGGGAGGCCAAGGTGGGTGGATCACCTGAGATCAGGAGTTCAAGACCAGCATGATCAACATGGTGAAACCCCATCTCTATTAAAAATACAAAAATTAGCCAGGCCTGGTGGCAGGCACCTGTAATCCCAGCTACTCGGGAGGCTGAGGCACAAGAATCACTTGAACCCAGGAGGCGGAGGTTGCAGTGAGCCAAGATCATGCCACTGCACTCCAGCATGGGCGACGGAGCAAGTCTCAAAAAAAAAAGCAACTTTTTGATAGTGAGCATTTATAACTGTTATAAAAAGAAACCTTTATTTTTAAAAAGTTAAATAAATTATGGCACATCAATGTGTGTATGAGTATGTATGTATGCACTCTTTAAGGAAACAAAGCCTTTTACTATTTCTGTGCCTTGGAAAGAAGAATAAGAAGTTTCTGCATCCATGAAGTGGAGGTAACATTCATGTCTAATGTTTGGGGATTGCAGGAAAAAAAAATGGAAGTAACTATGATGCCTACTTCATGTTTGTTTTTTTTTTCTTTCTTTTTGGTGAGGATTTAATGGGTTTGTGTGCTAAGAACAGTTTGTATTAAGTACAGACGGTTTTCAACTTACAGAGTTTCAACTTACTATTTTTTGACTTTAAGATTGAGCGAAAACGATACCATTCAGTAGAAACTGTATTTCCAGTAACCATACAACCATTCTGTTTTTCACTTTCAATATGGTATTAAATAAATTACATGAGATATGCAACACTTTGTGATAAAATAGGCTTTGATTAGATGATTTTGCCCAGCTGTAGGCTAACATAAGTATTCTAAGCACATTTAAGTTAGGCTAGGCTAAGCTAAGATGTTCGGCAGGTTAGGTGTATTAAATGTATTGTGACTTATCTTTTCAGCTTATGACGGTTTTATTGGGACATAACCCCATTGTAAGTTGAGGAGCATCTGTAAAAACATTAGCTATTCCCATTATTATTACTGCAAAAGAGGGTGGATTGGGTTCTTAAGTATCACAGAGGAATGCAATTATTATTATTATTGTTATTTACTTACCTTTAAGAAAGTTCTCATACGTGGATATGTTCTGCCTGTATTGGCTATTGTGACTGTCAGATGAAATGGGAATCTAAGGCTGGGCGCGATGGCTCACACCTGTAATCCCAGCACTTTGGGAGACTCAGATGGGCAGATCATGAGGTCAGGAGTTCGAGACCAGCCTGGCCAATATGGGGAAACCCCCATCTCTACTAAAAAATATAAAAATTATCCGGGCTTGGTGGCACACGCCTGTAGTCCCACCTACTCGGGAGGCTGAGGCAGAAGAACCCAGGAGGCGAGTGTTGCAGTGAGCCGAGATCGCACCACCGCACTCCAGCTTGGGGGACAGAGCGAGATTCTGTCTCAAAAAAAAAAAAAAAAAAGAAAAGAAATAGAATCTAAAAATGCTTGGAAAACTGGATATGCTATACAGATTTAGGGAATTATTATTCCAGCATTGAATTGGGGTCATATTGAAGAAAAAATGATACTTTGCTGCTCTTCCATTCCATTTTTTAGAATTTTATATTTAATATTTTTTCTTTTGCTCTACACATTCAGAGAAACTTCTCTAGTAATGAACTATAGAAATGATCCCAGAAAGCACAGCCTTTGTTCTTCTGTTCTTGTCACTCATTCCTTCCTTGCATATTTTCCTTTTATTTATTTATTCATTTAAGAGACAGTGTCTCACTCTGTCACTCGGGCTAGAGTGCAGTGACACAGTCATAGCTCACTGCAGCCTCAAATTCCTAGGCTCAAGTGATCTTCCTGGCTGAGTGCAGTGGCTCATACCTGTAATCCCAGCACTTGGGGAAGCTGAGGAGGAAGGATCACTTGAGCCCAGGAGTTGGAGACCAGCCTAGGCAACATAGTGAAACCCTCTCTATTTTTTAAAATGAAATATTTGTTTTAAAAGCGTGATCTTCCCACCTCAGCCTCATGAGTAGCTAGGACTACAGGCATGTAGCACCATGCCTGACTAATTTTTAAAAATATTTTTTGTTGAGGCGGGAGTCTTGCTATGTTGCCCAGGCTGGTTGTGAACTCCTGGTCTCAAGCAGTTCTCCCACCTTGGCCTCCCAAAGCACTAGGATTACAGGCATAAGCCACTGTTCCTGGGCCAAATTTTCTGTTTCATCATTCATTCATTTATGCAACAAATACTTGCTGAATGCCTCTGATGTGCCTAGCCCTTTTCTCCCTGCGGGGGGAAGAGGGGTGAGTGAGGCAGATATGGGCTCTGCTGTTATGGGCCTTACAGACTAGTGTGTGTGTCAGAGTGGCAGGCAGGCAGATAACCAGTCAGAGAAAAGAAAGGAGATGTGTGGATAGGCCGGACACGGTGGCTCACACCTGTAATCCAAGCACTTTGGGAGGCTGAGATGGGAGGATCTCTTGAGCCCAGGAGCTTGAGGCTGTAGTAAGCCATGATTGAGACCAGCCTGGGCAACACAGCGAGACCTCATCTCTACAAAATAATTTAAAAATTAGCCAGGCATGGTGGCATATTCCTGTAGTCCCAGCTACGTGGGAGGTGGAGGCAGGAGGTTCACTTGAGCCCAGGAGTTTGAGGCGTCAGTGAGTCATGATCTTGCTACTGCTTTCCAGCCTGGGTCACAGAGTGAGACTGTGTCTCAAAAAAAAAGAAGAAAGGGGCTGTGTAGAGAAAGTAAAACTGGGAGAGGTGACAGAGAGAGAACTCAGTAGGGGGAGGAGAAATCAAGTACGGCCTCATGAAAGAGGGCACAATTGAGAAGGAGGAAGAGCTCAGTAGAGAAAGAACATTCCAAGTGGACGGAACAGCCAATGCAAGGGCCCTGGGGTGAGAACGAGCTGGATTAATTTGATCAGAAGAGGGACTGGAAGTTGGTCAGTCCACTATGTAGAAATAGAAAACCTACAGTTCAAAGAGACCATAAATCCATGATGCAAGAAGTTTCTGTGAGAGGAGCTTGGAAGTCTCCATAGAACCTGTAGAGCTAAAATATCCCTCCAGGTGTAATCAGGTACAGAGCATCTACCTGGACTGTTACAGCCTGCCTGTCAGAGCTGTGACTGTGCTGTTGTCAAGAGCCTAGGACTTGGAGGGAAAAGACCTAGAGTCAAGTCTCGGCTGTTTGATCTTGAGTGAGTCTCATGACCCTCTGGCCCCCAGTCCCTTCTAAAAGTTAGGGATGATGCTACCTGCCTTATAAGGTAGGGTCAGGATTAAATCAGTGAGTGAGCACTTTGTGAAAGATGGCGTGCATGGAAGGGTTGCATATCTTTAGTAAGGGAAGCTTTGAAGCCAAAGTGCAAGTGGGTGGGTCTCCATGTGGAACAGAGTAAGGTGCTGTGTGGCTGGACTCTTGAGCGCTGAGGAGGCTGTGGGCATCCAACCAGGCCAGGGCACCTGTTCTTCACCATCTCATTAACACAGCCAGCATATCTGCATCTGAGATTGGCCCACTATTCTCCTAATAGAGTGTCTTTCCTGTTTCTCTTTTCCATATCCTGTCCAACCTGGTGGGCTTCATAGTTCAGGATGTGTTCAGTGAAGCCATGTCTACACTCACTCTAATCCCCACTGATCTCTCTCTCCTCATGAAAACCCACAAATTATCACCTCATTACTTGTGGATTTGTGTCTTTTCACTATTTCATCTGCCTCCCTGTCTAGATCATAAGCTACTTGGGAGTAAGAACTGTTTTGTTTTTTGTATTCTTTCCACTCCTCCATGGCATTCACTACAACATAAATCATAGAGGTCAGAACATACTGAAGTGCATTTTGAGTTAAAATGCTCAAAAGTGATCTTAGTGACACGTGTTTACTTTCCCTGTTTATTTAAGCTCCAGCTATAATGTTTACCTGCCTAAAAGTTCCATGTTGCCAGTATTAAACATACTTCTTTTTGCCATGACTAGGCATTGAAAGGATTGTAATGCTTTGTTCTGTAGCCCCCAGGTTTCCCTAGATGACAAATAAACATTCCTTTTCCTGCGTGAAGATAGTCTGTGGAAACCTTGGCCATGGCATCGATATCAGAGCCTGTTACATTCAGAGAGTTCTGCCCGTTGTACTATCTCCTCAATGCCATTCCGACAAAGATCCAGAAGGGTTTCCGCTCTATCGTGGTCTATCTCACGGCCCTCGACACCAACGGGGACTACATCGCGGTGGGCAGCAGCATCGGCATGCTCTATCTGTACTGCCGGCACCTCAACCAGATGAGGAAGTACAACTTTGAGGTGAGCCTTGCTTTGCTTTTCACCTGAGGGGGCACGAGCCATAGCTGACGCTTAACATGCTTGTGTTCTAGGATGAGATAATTTACTTCTGATTTGCCAGAATATGGCCTTAATACCTCACCCAAACAATACTTTAAAACCATCTTTAGCTGAAGTGGAATATAACTAAAAACATTGGTGTTTTTAACTTTTTCCTGCCTCCAAAAATCTAACATCACTTTATTTATTTATTTGAGACAGCGTCTCGCTCTGTTGTCCAGCCTAGAGTGCAGTGGGACAATCATAGCTCATTGTAGCCTCAAACTCCTGGGGTCAAGTGATCCTTTTGCTTCAACTTCCTGAGTAGCTAGGACCACAGGGATGACTGCCACACCCAGCTAGTTTTTGTTTTGTTTTGTCTGTAGAGACATGGTTTCACTATGTTGCCCAGGCTGGTCTTGAACTCCTCGGCTCAAGCAGTCCTCCTGCCTTGGCCTCCTAAAGTACTCGGATTACAGGCATGAGCCACCACACCTGGCCTAACATCACTTTAAAAGAGAATATCACCTGAGGTCAGGAGTTCGAGACCAGCCTTGACCAATATGGTGAAACCCTGTCTCTACTAAAAATACAAAAATTAGCTGGGCGTGGTGGCATGCACCTGTACTCCCAGCTACTCAGGAGGCTGAGACAGGAGAATTGCTTGAACCTGGGAGATGGAGGTTGCAGTGAGCCAAGATCACACCACTGCACTCCAGCCTGGGTGACAGAGTGAGACTCCATCTTAAAAAAAAGAAAGAAAGAAAAAAAGAGAACATTTTAGTATTTAAAACTTACTACAACACTTTGAAAGCAGATATTTTTTTCCTAAGTGTTTACAGGAGCAGGCACATGCCTGTTTTTCAAAGTTTTGAATAATCTCTAGTTCTTCTCTTGAAATTATGATGAAAAAAGGATGTATATGAATATTGGCTCATTGCCAGAATATGCACCTCTTAGCTGAGCTGAGGTCTCTTCTATAGCATTGGGATCCTGACCAATCTGTTTCTGCAGTGCTGTGGACTCAGGCATTTCTGTGTATTGTAGATATTGGTGGAGATGTTATTTGACTGTGTTGTGGCTGGCACCAACTATTGGTGAACTGTAATGTAATTCACCCACTTAGTCAATATCTGTAGTTTATTGAGTACGTCACTTTTGTGAGAGACTCAAAGTTGACTGAGTTGTGGCTTCCACCACATGGGACTCTATTCTGTCTGTGGTTAGGGGGCTTTTATGGACCAAGATACAGCTTTTGTATCTAAGAGAAATGTTTACAAATACTTGTGTTTTAATCAGTATTCAATATATTAAAGTTTTCATTTAAAACGTAACTAATTTAAGCCTCTGTGCTCATTTTAAAATAATCAAAATGGTTCATACACATACAGCCCTTTCTATGTGTCAGACATTATTCTTTAAAAATATATTTTTTAAATTTTTTAAAACATTATTTTTTCCTTCTCACTATGCTTCTTGGACAGACATATATTAACTCATTTTATCCTCACAAAAACTCTCTGAGGCAGATGTTATTATGATCTTCCTCATTTACTAAGGAGACAGCTGGTGAAGAGAGGGTAGGTGACTTGCCTGAGGTTGGCTGGTAGTAAATGGCAGCACCATCATGTGAACTTGGGCAGACTGTCTCTAGGGTCTGTATTAATATATATATATATTTTTGAGACGGAGTTTCACTCTTGTCGCCCAGGCTGGAGTGCAATGACATGATCTCGGCTCACTGCAACCTCCACCTCCCAGGTTCAAGCAATTTTCCTGCCTCAGCCTCCAGAGCAGCTAGGATTACAGGCACCCGCTATCACACCCAGCTAATTTTTGTATTTTTAGTAGAGACGGTATTTCACCATGTTGGCCAGGCTGGTCTTGAACTCCTGACGTCAGGTGATCCATCTGCCTCAGCCTCCCAAAGTACTGTGATTACAGGCGTGAGCCACCACACCTGCCCGTGTATTAATATTTTTTGTATAAAAATTAGAACTACTGCTATTTCTTCTCTTTGAGTAATAGCTCATGGATTCGACTGATCAAATTCCCCAAACATTTAAAACCATTACGTAATCTTTCAAACTGTAGTTAGGAGTTTAATAGTCTGAAATCTCTCAAATGCTTCAGACACTTTATAAGGAAGACTCGTGAATCCAACGATGAACCCCAACAAGATCTATCAAAGAAATCCATGCACAGAGGCACCCTAGTCACACTGCTAAAGATCACAATCTTAAAATCCGTGCACAGAGGCGTCCTAGTCACACTGCTAAACATCACAATCTTAAAATCCATGCACAGAGGCGTCCTAGTCACACTGCTGAACATCACAATCTTAAAATCCATGCACAGAGGCGTCCTAGTCACACTGCTAAAGATCGCTGTCTTAAAATCCATGCACAGAGGCGTCCTAGTCACACTGCTAAAGATCACAGTCTTAAAATCCATGCACAGAGGCATCCTAGTCACACTGCTGAAGATCACCATCTTAAAATCCATGCACAGAGGCGTCCTGGTCACACTGCTAAAGATCACCATCTTAAAATCCATGCACAGAGGCGTCCTGGTCACACTGCTGAAGATCACAATCTTAAAATCCATGCACAGAGGCACCCTAGTCACACTGCTGAAGATCACAGTCTTAAAATCCATGCACAGAGGCACCCTAGTCACACTGCTGAAGATCACCATCTTAAAATCCATGCACAGAGGCATCTTAGTCACACTGCTGAAGATCACCATCTTAAAATCCATGCACAGAGGCATCTTAGTCACACTGCTGAAGATCACCATCTTAAAATCCATGCACAGAGGCGTCCTAGTCACACTGCTAAAGATCACCATCTTAAAATCCATGCACAGAGGCGTCCTAGTCACACTGCTGAAGATCACAGTCTTAAAATCCATGCACAGAGGCGTCCTAGTCACACTGCTGAAGATCACCATCTTAAAATCCATGCACAGAGGCACCCTAGTCACACTGCTGAAGATCACCATCTTAAAATCCATGCACAGAGGCGTCCTAGTCACACTGCTGAAGATCACCATCTTAAAATCCGTGCACAGAGGCGTCCTAGTCACACTGCTGAAGATCACAGTCTTAAAATCCATGCACAGAGGCACCCTAGTCACACTGCTGAAGATCACCATCTTAAAATCCATGCACAGAGGCGTCCTGGTCACACTGCTGAAGATCACAGTCTTAAAATCCATGCACAGAGGCACCCTAGTCACACTGCTGAAGATCACCATCTTAAAATCCATGCACAGAGGCGTCCTAGTCACACTGCTAAAGATCACAATCTTAAAAATAGCCAGAGAACAATGACGTATTACCTGTAGAGGAACAATGATTTAAATGACTGTGGATTTCTCATCAGAAACTGTATTAGCCCGTTCTCATGCTGCTATGAAGAAATACCCAAGCCTGTATAATTTATAAAGGAAAGAGGTTTTATTGACTCACAGTTACGCATGGCTGCGGAGGCCTCAGGAAACTTACAGTCATGGTGGAAGGCACCTCTTCACAGGGCTCACTGTCACAAGAACAGGAGGGGGGAAACCATGCCCATGATTCAGTTATCTCTACCTGGTCCCTCCTACGACATGTGGGGATTATGGGAACTACAATTCAAGATGAAATTTGGGTGAGGACACAGCCAAACCATATCAGAAACAATGGAAGCTGGAAGACAGTAGCATTTTTTTGGTTTTTTGTTTTTGTTTTGTTTTGAGACGGAGTCTCGCTCTGTCGCCCAGGCTAGAGTGCAGTGGCGCGATCTCGGCTCACTGCAACCTCCGCCTCCCGGGTTCAAGCGATTCTCATGCCTCAGCCTCCCAAGTAGCTGGGACTACAGGTGCCCGCCACCACACCGGCTAATTTTTTTGTATTTTTAGTAGAGACGGGGTTTCACCATGTTCACCAGGATGGTCTCGATCTCCTGACCTCGTGATCTGCCCGCCTCGGCCTCCCAAAGTGCTGGGATTACAGGCGTGAACCACTGCACCAAGCTTGTTTTTTTTTTTTTTTGGCAGAGTTTCGCTCTTGTTGCCCAGGCTGGAGCGTAGTGACTGCAACCTCCACCTCCTGGGTTCAAACGATTCTCCTGCCTCAGCCTCCCTTGTAGCTAGGATTACAGGCACACGCCACCAAGCTCAGCTAATTTTTCTATTTTTAGTAGAGACGGGGTTTCACCATGTTGTCCAGGCTGGTGTCAAACTCCTGATGTCAGGTGATCCACTCGCTTCGGCCTCCCAAAATGCTGGGATTACAGCTGTGAGCCACTGCGCCTGGCCGATAGTAGCACATTTTTAAAGTGGCTGAGAGGCCGGGCATGGTGGCTCACACCTGTAATTCCAGAACTTTGGGAGGCTGAGGCAGGTGGATCACTTGAGGTCGGGAATTCGAGACCAATCTGGCCAACATGGCGAGAGCCCCATCTCTACTAAAAATACAAAAATTAGCCGGGAATAGTGGCTCATGCCTGTAATCCCAGCTACTGAGAAAGCTGAGGCATGAGAATCGCTTGAATCTGGGAGGCAGAGGCTGCAGTAAGCTAAGATCGTGCCAGTGCACTCCAGCCTAGGCGACAGAGTGAGACTCCATCTGAAAAATAAAATGAAGTTCTGAGAGAATTGTCAACCCGAAATTCTTTACTCAGTGAAAATACCTATCAAGAAAGGTGAAATGAAAGTATTACCAGATGAAGGAAAACTTAAGAGGGTTCGTTGCCAACCGACCTGCTCTAAAGTCATTGCTAAATGAAGTTCTTTAGACAGAAGGGAACTTTGTACATCAAGAATGAAGAATGGTAAATACCTGGGTAATAAATACAATAGATGATTTTTCCCCTATTGAGTTCTTTAAAATATATTTGACAGTTGAAAACAAAAATTATAACTGATCAAGTTTTAACAGATGTAGATGTAGTAATATCTAAGACGAGTACAACATAAGTAAGGGAGAGTAAGGTATCCTATACATTTGTACATTCTTCTTGAAGAGGTACAATATTGATTCTAAGTAGATTTTGAAAAATTACGTATAGGCCGGGCACGGTGGCTCACGCCTGTAATCCCAGCACTTTGGGAGGCCGAGGCGGGTGGATCACGAGGTCAGGAGATCGAGACCATCCAGGCTAACATGGTGAAACCCTGTCTCTACTAAAAATACAAAAAATGAGCCAGGTGTGGTGGCGGGCTCCTGTAATCCCAGCTACTCAGGAGACTGAAGCAGGAGAATTGCTTGAACCCAGGAGGCAGAGGTTGCAGTGAGCCAAGATCGCGCCATTGCACTCCAGCCTGGGCAATGAGAGTGAAACTCCGTCCCAAAAAAAAAAAAGAAAGAAAGTTGGAGTGGCTGTATTAATATCAAGGTTTTCTTCTGTGCAAAGAAATAACCAGGGGTAAAAAAGACATTACATAATAACAGATTCGTATATGTCCCTTAACAACATAGCTTCACACAATACACGAAGCAGAAATGGACAAATCTGCAATTACATGTGGAGACTTCAGTATTCCTCTCTCAATAATAGAAGTAGTAGACAGAAAACCAACAGGATGTAGAAGAACTGAACAACACCATCAGCCAACTTGGTCTAATTCACATTTATAGAACACTCAGCTGAATATACATTCTTTGCAAGTGCACATGGAACATTCATCAATATAGACCATGTCCTGAGTTAGAAAACATACCTCAACACATTTAGAGTAGACTAAGCTTTCCAGGCCCTTGTGTTTTACTTTGTTTTTTCACTTTTCTTTAAAATATAATTTACACAAAGTTTGCAAATCTTTTTTTTTTTCGAGACGGAGTTTTGCTCTTGTTGCCCAGGCTGGAGTGCAATGGTGCGATCTCGGCTCACTGCAACCTCCGTCCCCCGGGTTCAAGTGATTCTTGCCTCAGCCTCCCAAGTAGCTGGGATTACAGGCGCCTGCCACCACGCCCAGCTAATTTTTTGTATTTTTAGTAGAGATGGGGTTTCACCACGTTGGCCAGGCTGGTCTCGAACGCCAGACTTCAGGTGATCCATCCACCTCGGCCTCCCAAAGTGCTGGGATGACAGGCGTGAGCCACTGTGCCCAGCCTGCAAATCTTAATAGTACCATGTGATGAATTTATATGTGTATGCCTGTTTAATCACCCAGTTCAAGATACAGAACATTTCCAGCACCCCAGAAGATTCTCTTGTGCTACCTCCTAATCATTACCCCTCCCCAAGGTAACTATTCTGACTTCTAACACAGAGTAGTTTTGACTTCTACAGAGTAGTTTTGCTAGCTCCTTGGGTTTTAATTCACTATTAAGTAACCTCTGGCAGTAAGGTTTATATGCGTTAGCGGAATTTGGACTCCTTACTCAGGTTGCAGTTACAACCCAGTTTTCTTTTATAAAGCACATGTGTCTCATTGATCACCATTGTATTGTCTTTTTTGTTTTTTTTGTTTTTTTTTTTGAGGCAGAGTCTCACTCTGTCTCCCAGGCTGGAGTGCAGTGGAGCGATCTCAGCCCACTGCAATCTCCGCCTCCTGGGTTCAAGTGATTCTCCTGCTTCAGCCTCCTGAGTAGCTGGAATTACAGGTGCCCGCCACCATGCCTGGCTACTTTTTGTATTTTTAGTAGAGACAGGGTTTTACCATGTTGGCCAGGCTGGATTCAAACTCCTGATCGCAAGTGATCCACTTGCCTCGGCCTCCTAAAGTGCTGGGATTACAAGCATGAGCCACTGCGCCCGGTCCCGTATTGTCTTTTAGAAAAACTGTATAACTATTTAAATATTTTCAGTCACCAAACTAAAAAACAAATACTAAAGTTGAAGTTTATTGCTCCCCAGAATGAAACTACAAATTACATCTGATGGCCATTTTTACAGTTTAACCAATAATTAGTTCTCTATCATATTATCTTTGTTTCGTTTTCCTTTAACAGAATACCTAAGACTAGTAGTTGTTCTTTTTTTTTTTTTTTGAGATGGAGTTTCGCTCTTGTTGCCTAGCCTGGAGTGCAGTGGCGCAACCTCGGCTCACTGCAAACTCTGCCTCCCGATTCAAGCGATTCTTCTGCCTCAATCTCCTGAGTAGCTGGGATTACAGGCATGTGCCACCCCATCTGGCTAATTTTGTATTTTTAGTAGAGACAGGGTTTCTCCGTGTTGGCCAGGCTGGTCTCGAACTCCCGACCCCAGGTGATCCACCTGCCTCGGCCTCCCAAAGTGCTGGGATTACGGGTGTGAGCCACTGCATCCGGCCGGAAGTTGTTTTTATTTTTTTACTATTTTTAATTTTTTTAAAGAGGTTTATTTGGCCCACAATTCTGTAGCTGGAAAGTCCAAGATTGGGCAGCTGCATCTGGTGGGGACCTCATGCTGCTTCCACTCATGGTGGGAATTGGAAGGGGACCAGGTGTGTATCAAGAGATCACATGGTAGGCCGGGCATGGTGGCTCAGGCCTGTAATCCCAGCACTTCAGGAGGCCAAGACAGGCGGATCACGAGGTCAGGAGTTTGAGATCAGCCTGGACAACATGGTGAAACCCCATCTCTACTAAAAATAGAAAAATTAGCCAGGCATGGTGGCCCATGCCTGTAATCCCAGCTACTCAGGAGGCTAAGGCAGGAGAATCACTTGAACCCGGGAGGCGGAGATTGCAGTGAGCCAAGACTGCACCACTGCACTCCAGCCTGGGTGATGGAGCAAGACACCACCTCAAAAAAAAATATATATATATATATGTGTGTGTGTGTGTATATATATATACACATATATATGTATATGTATGTGTGTGTATATATATATATCTATATCTCACATGGTCACATGGCAAGAGAGGAAGCAAGACAGGAACCAAGGATGCCAGACTCATTTTCTTTTCCTTTCCTTTTTTTTTTTTTTTTTTTTTTTTTTTGAGACAGAGTTTCACTCTTGTTGCCCTGGCTGGAGTGCAGTGGTGCAATCTCGGCTCACTGCGACCTCTGCCTCCTAGGTTCCAGCAATTCTCCTGCCTCAGCCTTCCGAGTGGCCAGGACTACAGGTGTGCGCCACCACATCTGGCTAATTTTTGTATGTTTAGTAGAGACAGGGTTTCACCATGTTGGCCAGGCTGGTCTCAAACTCCTGACCTCAGGTGATCCACATGCCTCACCCTCCCAAAGTGCTGGAATTACAGGCATGAGCCACGGCACCCGGCTCTTTTTCTTTTAGTATGGAGTGCTTCACAAATTTGTGTGCCATCCTCGTGCAAGGAAGCCAGACTCTTTTTAACAACCTGCTGTCTTGGAAACTAATCCAGTCCTTGGAGAGTGAGCACTCATTCACCCATGAGGAGGGCATTAATCTATTCATGAGGGATCTACCCCCATGGCCCAAACACCTCCTACTAGGCCCCACCTCCCAGCACTGCCACTTTGGGGATCAGACTTCAACATAAATTTTGGCAAAGACAAACCACATCTAAACCATAGCAGATATGATAAGTCACGTGAGCTTTGAAGGACTGTGACATGGTAGAACAGCATCCACAGGCTCTACCAGAGTTTGGTGGAACAGCATCCACAGGCTCTACCAGAGTTTGAGGGAGCAGCATCCACAGGCTGTACCAGAGATTGAGGGAAGCTGGTACAAATTACTGGATCCAGCACCATAGAAGGGGACTCTGGGAGAATCCCATGTAAAGATTTTAGCTAGTCCAGGCATAGTGGCACACACCTGTAATCCCAGCACTTTGGGAGGCCGAGGCGGACAGATAGCTTGAGCTCAGGAGTTCGAGACTAGCCTTGGCAATACAGCAAGACCCCCATCTCTACGAAAGAATACAAAAATTATTCAGGCGTGATGGCGTGTACCTGTAGTCCCAGCTACTCAGGAGGCTCAGGTGGGAGGATCATTTGAGCCCAGGAGGTCGAGGTCGTAGTGAGCCGAGATCGAGCCACTGCACCCTAACCTGGGCATCAAAGTGAGACCCTGCCTCAAAAAAAAAAAAAATTTAGCTAGTTATCCTTTAAATGTATTTCACCCATACATGCATATGCCTGCTGTGTACCTACAAAAACTTTTTAAATCTAAAATATTAACATTTGGAAAAAAAATGTATTTTGCTGGGGCCAAAATCCATACTTGGTAGCCCTGAGTATCAACAGCATTTTTTGAGCGCCCATTATATATAGGATATCAAACTTATAATTGTGGAGAATCACAAGGGAGGTATAAAATAAATTTCTTGTCCAGGCACGGTGGCTCACGCCTATAATCCCAGCACTTTGGTAGGCCGAGGCAGGCAGATCATTTTGAGCTCAGGAGTTTGAGAGCAGCCTGAGCAACATGGCAAAACCCCATCTCTACTAAAAATATAAAAATTACCCGGGTGTGGTGGCGGGCACCTGTAATCCCAGCTACTCAGGAGACTGAGGCTGGAGAATTGCTTGAACCCAGGAGGTGGAGGTTGCAGTGAGTAGAGATTGCGCCACTGCACTACAGCCTGGGCGACAGAGCAAGACTCTGTCTCAAAAATAAAATAAAGTGAAAATTTTTTTTTTGGCAAGAATGTAGAATTTAGAGGTAGAAGATTTAGAGCTTGGAAACAAAGCTGTATACCTATATGTAAACACATAGGAAAAGGTCTGAAGGAATTTTCACATGATTACTTAACTCTAGGTAGGGATTAAGATTGGGATGGGCTGAGGGAGGAAGAGTGAAAGGGAATTACGTATTTTTTTAACTTTACTGAGGAATTACTAGAAATTTTTGGTACATATTACACGCATAAACACAGCAACACAAAGATTTGTTTTGAGCTTTGGCTGCCAGTTATTAGTGGTTTAACCCCAGAGATGAATTAAATATTTATGTTGTTGTTGTTGTCATTTTCATCATGAGAGCTGGCTGGGTCTTAGAATCATTTGGTACAATCCCCACTTTTTATAGATAAAGAAATTCTAAGATTCCTGCTTCAAGGCACGTATCTCTGATTGCCTAACCATTGTGCTTACTTCTTGTGAGAGGAGGTAGGCCCTCTGTGCAGTCTGTGGATTTCAAGGATATGGAATACAGATGCGTGGTCTCTTTGGAATGTCCAAGTCGAAAGTTAAAGATGCATTAACTAGTTTAGGGAAAATCTAAGATTTTATGGGAAGATAAATAAAAAAGTTTATGCTCAAATAAATCCATGTATGGCATGATTGAAAGATTATGTTTTTAAATGAAGTTATGTTTCCTAAAGAGGAAAGCAGACCTTTTCTGTGGTAAATATAGCCTTGCATGTGTTTTCAAGAATGGTGCTTTGGAAACCATTTTTTTCTACAGAAGTTAGTGGGAGAGGGCAGATGGAAACACAGATTCTTCCTACCTAGTGCCAAAAGCACTGAGAAAATGTTGCAAGGAGCTAATAACAAGTACAAAAATGTTAGAAATGTGTTAAATATATAGGTCTGATATGTGTAAGCATAGACCAAAAAGACTACCTGACCTGAGTTTCTAATGTTCTGTTTTGAAGTTAAACATATGATCCCTTTTCCTTAGCATTCAACAAGCCAATGAGATTTCATGGATTTGCCTTCAGAGCTGTCTTTTTTTTTTTTTTTGAGACGGAGTCTTGCTCTGTCCCCCAGGCTGGAGTGCAGCGGCGCCATCTCGGCTCACTGCAAGCTCTGCCTCCCGGTTTCACATCATTCTCCTGCCTCAGACTCCCGAGTAGCTGGGACCACAGGTGCCTGCCACCACGCCTGGCTAATTTTTTGTATTTTTAATAGAGACAGGGTTTCACTGTGTTAGCCAGGATGGTCTTGATCTCCTGACCTCGTGATCCACTCGCCTCAGCCTCCCAAAGTGCTGGGATTACAGGCGTGAGCCACCACACCTGGCTGGGTGGTTGCAGTTTTAAATAGCATTCCAGGGAAGGTCTGACTGAGAAGGTGACAGTTGAACAAAGACGTAAAGAGCATGACCAACACACCATACTGACATGTCTGTATTCCAAGAAAACGGAAGGGAAAGGCACTGAGCCTGAAACATGTCTTGGATATTTCGCATTGAGAAAAGTCATGCTTCAGAATGTTACAAGTATTTCATTGGCTTATACTTTATAGACATATTTTAAAGAGGTGCAGAAAGGACAGTTTTTGTCTCACCATAGCAGCCAAGGTGCATTTGCCCAGTGCCTTCCATTGTCTTTCCCTGTGGGAGTAACTTTTAGGTCCAGTGATGAGGAGCCTGTGATGTCTGTGTTCTGGTTTGTTGATAACATTACCATACAGGGCTTCACGGGTGTCCTTCTTAGCATGGATTGCTTCCATTCATTGGTTGCTGGAAAATTTGCTTTCAAATGTTTTTAACAGTGACTCTTAGGGAAAAAAAATACATTTTATTAGATGTCCATTCTCCCTAAATTTACCTGAGTTCAACTGAATTCCAATAGGTTTTTTTTTAGTGTTAATTTAAAAAAACAAGCTGGCCAGGTGTGATGGCTCATGCCTGTAATCCCAGCACTTTGGGAGGCCAAGGTGGGCGGATCACTTAAGGTCAGGAGTTTGAGACCAGCCTGGCCAGTATGGTGAAACCCCATCTCTACTAAAAATACAAAAATTGGCTGGGCGCAGTGGCTCACGCCTGTTAACCCAACACTTTGGGAGGCCGAGGCAGGAGGATCACGAGGTCAGGAGATCGAGACCATCCTGGCTAACATGGTGAAACCCTGTCTCTACTAAAAATACAAAAAAAAGGCCGGGTGCGGTGCCTCACACCTGTAATCCCAGCACTTTGGGAGGCTGAGGCGGGCGGATCACGAGATCAGGAGATGGAGGCCATTGGGCTAACATGGTGAAATGCTGTCTCTACTAAAAATATAAAAAATTAGCCGGGTGAGATGGCAGGCACCTGTAGTCCCAGCTACTCGGGAGGCTGAGGCAGGAGAATGGCGTGAATCCAGGAGGCGGAGCTTGCAGTGAGCCGAGATTGCGCCACTGCACTCCAGCCTGGGCGACAGAGCAAGACTCCGTCTCAAAAAAAAAAAAAAAAAAAATTAGCTGGATGTGGTGGCACGTGCCTGTAGTCCCAGCTACTCAGGAGGCTGAGGCAGGAGAATTGCTTGAACCTGGGAGGTGGAGGTTGCAGTGAGCCGAGATTGTGCCACTGCACTCCAGCCTGGGCAACAAGAGTGAAACTCCATCTCAAAAAAATAAAAATAAATAAATAAATAAATAATAAAAATACAAAAATTAGCCAGGTGTGGTGGCACACACCTGTAATCCCAGCTACTTGGGAGGCTGAGGCAGGAGAATCATTTGAACCTGGGAGGCAGAGGTTGCAGTGAGCCGAGATTATGGCACTACACTCCAGCCTGGGTGACAGAGCAAGTCTCTGTCTTAATAAATACATAAATAAAAATGATAAGCTGATTTAAAAATGCATATGAAATTGTAGTGGGTGGAATAGTCATACTAGTGGAAAAGAGGAAGCAAATGGGAGAAGTTGCTATTAGGTAACAAAACTTATAGAGCTTTAGTAATTAAGGGAGTGTGGTATTAGCACAAGAAAAGATACATAGATCACTGGAACAGATTAGAGAAGTCAGAAGACCAACATGTATATGGATACTTGAGTAATTGCAAAGGTGATACGACAAAGTCTTTTTCAGTAAATGATGTGGGACAGCTGGATATGAATGGGAAGAAAAATGAAACTGGATCCCTACCTCACTTCATATGGTGGTTATTTTGAGCACTTTAAAGTATTAATGCCACTGTCTCTTGACTGCTGAGATTCTGCTGGCAGTGTAATTATTTCCTTTACCGGGAATTTGCCTTGTCTGTTTCTGCTTTAGATCTTCTCTAATGATAGAGTCCCTGGCTTTAGGCTTCTTCCTTCAACTCCAGTGGATATTCCCTACTTTGTTTTGTCCTATGGAGTTAAGAAAATTATTCCAGAAAAGCAGATATCTTTGTTTAACTTCCAGATCATTAAAAAGTTGTGTTAGTATTCAAACATTAAACAGATGTTCTTTGTTAGTAAAAGGAGGAAAATAGTGTAACCATTCTTAATAATTGAATGAATTCATATTTGGTCTTAAATATTTCAAAATATTTCAGATCAATTCTTTGGTATGCTAGTGGTTTCTACTGAAGGTTAAGCTTTGACCTACTAAAAGCAGCTCATAAAGAAAGCTTTGTCAGACTTCAGTTCCCATGAACCTGCTCACAAAGAACACTTTTTCCCAATGTAGTTTTGTCTTGTGTATGAAAGGAAAACTGCCTGCCAAGGAGGCTAAGAAGGTTAGCTGAATGCTATTGTAATGGTGAGATGTTTGTCCAGAAAACCATTCCTGACACCTTTCAAATCAAAAGCCTTTTTTTTTTCCTTAAACTTTTTGATTGCTGGATTTCTGTTTGAGGAAGTTATGTTGCTACAATGAGGGTAGCAATAAATGCCTCCTGGGAAGTTGGAAATAAAGGCAAAGGAGAGTTAAACACAATAGATGAGATCAGAAATGGGCAAAGTTATCTTAAAGAGACAGAATGGCTCCCTGGCTAGAATAAGACTGAATTGTCCCTAGATCAAAAAAAGAAGAGAATGTGTGTGGCAGAAGGAAGAAAGTGGACTCTACACTGTGTTAGTTAGGAAAACCAGAAATTGGGCCAAATTGCCTGTTTAGTGGGAGAGATAGCTTTTGAGAGCTGTGATCCCGCTGGTGTGGCTGGCTCTGGGCAGATATTTGTATCTGAAATGACTCATGCTGTGGGACCCTTCCTGAGATCTAACACTTACAGTGGTTTGATCAGAAATTGCACCATGCTTGCCAAGCAACTTTTGGACTAAAAGTTGCTGCCCACGTATATCAGGGGAAGAATATATATATATATATATATAGTACCTATCTTAGCATCTGATTTGTATGACCATTACTTCAATGTAAAATAATAAATTGGCTTTCCAGCTTAAACTTCAATTTCTTGTATATTATATGATCATGAGACAACCTCCCTGGGCTGATCAACAGCAGGACGCTAAAAAGATTGAGTATCTGAGTCAGGAAGGTAGAGGGCCAGACCCTACATGTAGCTAATTCACCATTGTGAATCTGCATGTTAGGTAAAACTATGGATTTGTTTTTTGTCTTTTGAGACAGATTCTCACCCTGTTGCCCAGGCTGGAGTGCAGTGGCATGATCTCAGCTCACTGCAACCTTTGCCTCTGGGTTCAAGAGATTCTCTTGCCTCAGCCTCCCAAATAGCTGGGATTACAGGTGTGCACCACCACGCCCAACCAATTTTTTGTATTTTTAATAGAGACGGGAGTTTCACCATGTTGGCGAGGCTGGTCTCGAACTCCTGACCTCAAGTGATCCGCCCACCTCGGCCTCCCAAAGTGCTGGGATTACAGGCATGAGCCACTGTGCCAGGCCTAAAACTATGGTTTTTAAAGATATACACGCATGTGGTAAAGCTATGAATCAAAGCAAGAGAATATTTCATCTCAATGTTAGGAGAGTGGTTTTGGTGGGGTGGGGTATGTAGTCAGGCAGAGGCACACAAGAGCTTCAAAGGTGCTGTTAATGGTCCCTTTCCCAAGCTAGATGGGGATTCCATGGGTGCTCATTTTTTAGTAACTCTAATTTAAGCTGTACATGTTATATATAGTCATGGATATATAATCATTATTTTAAAAATGAAGGCAAGGAGGATACCATAAAATGAGGTACTTCATATTTAACCAGCTGGCATCCTAAGCACCTTTCCTGCCCTCCCCTCTCTGCACCTGGCAGAGTTGATCACATCCTCCCCATTACCCACTATACATGGGTGTCAGTGCCAATAGTGCTTTGCTCTTGTATTATTGATGAGTCTTGCTCCTTTTCCTAAATTGTGAGGCCTCCTGAAGGCAGCACCCTTGTCTTATGAAAAAGTTGAGCTTCTGAGGATATGTCTTTGGTGAATTTTGGAAAACGTTTAGCCTTTATCTCTGAAGATACCACTTTTCATTACCCTCTCTTTTCATTTCCTGCTGAAACCCCTTTTTTTGTTTGTTTTTTGTTTTGTTTTGTTTTGTTTTAGACAGAGTTTCACTCTTGTTGCCCAGGCTGGAGTGCAATGGTGTGATCTTGGCTCACCGCAACCTCTGCCTCCCACATTCAAGTGATTCTCCTGCCTCAGCCTCCCAAGTAGCAGGGATTACAGGTGCTCGCCACCACACCCAGCTGATTTTTTTTGTATTTTTAGTAGAGACGGGGTTTCACTGTGTTGGCCAGGCTGGTCATGAACTCCTGGACCTCAGGTGATTCACCTGCCTCAGCCTCCCAAAGTGCTGGGATTACAGGCGTGAGCCACTGCGCCTGGCTGAGAACCCACTTATGTGTAGCTTGGACCTTTATGTTCTCTCTTCTATGTCTCTAAACTTCTCTTTCATGTTTTGAATCTTTTCATCTCTTTGTTGCATGGTAGGTAATTTCCTCAGATCTGTCATCTAGTTCAATACTTTTTTTTCCAGCTGTGACTAATTTGCTGTTCATTCCACCCAGTGACATTTTAAATTCTCTTGGATTTTTTCATTTCTATTTCCAATAGTAGTTGTTCTTTGCTTACATTTCAGTTTCCTGTTTTATTTTTAAAACATTTTAATCATTTTTCTTTTATGTTCTGTGTTCTTCAATCTAAGTGAAATACTTGGGGTTGTTCAGTGCTGTTATGGCTTGTTTTACTTGACTCATTCATGGGCCTGCTTCCCTATCGTAATTTCTAATTACGAGCAATGTGGCTGATCCTAATGTATGAGAACCCTGGGGGACCTGGATCGGGACTGCTCCACAGATGGGGTTTATGTTTACCAATGCCAGGCACCTTGGAGTGCTACCAACATAGAAGCACTTCAGATTAACCGTCTGCATAGAGCTTTGCTTGGAAAGAGAATAAATTCAAACTCTGATGCTGAATGGGGCAGGCTTATGATGACACATTCTTCGGAAAGATTCTTTTTTATTCGTTCCAATCAATGCTTGAGATAAGACAGATTTCCTTGCCAGCTCCATTTGCCAGCAAATCAATTTTTCCCTAGCTTACTCCTTCACTTAGGGTTAGGTCCTTGGGATTCTGGCTTGGCAGAGAATATCAGCTCCAGCTCCCCATCATCTACTCCGCTCTGAAAACCAAGGCTCCAGAGGTGTGCCAGATAGTTACAGGGTAGCCTGTAGCTTCAGGGCTAGCTTCTGTTTTAGTTTGGGGGCATTCTTCTTGGTTTTGGGGTCCTGTGGATTTTCCATACTTTCTTGAAAATTCAGCTGTGCATTTGAAAGGCTTTGTTATATATTGCACTCAGCATTGCCAGGTGTTTGGAGAGGGGTGTTTTGGGATAGCTAGGCTATTGTATTGTGCAAAATTAAAGCCTCATATTCTATTTCTATATGAACTGTAGTTAAGTGTTAATAATCTGATGTCTGGGATGTTTTGATTCTTACATCAATAACTATGACATTTATTAATAATCATATTAAATAACATTAACTCAAGCTCATTGGTTACATTACAAAGGACACTGATACATTACAAAGCACACATACAAGCACTGCACACCAGTATTGAGGCTTCCAGCCCCCTCTACATGATCATTTATTTATTTATTTATTTTTGAGACGGAGTCTCACTCTGTTGCCCAGACTGGAGTGCAGTGGCATGATCTTGGCTCACTGCAACCTCCGCCTCCCAGGCTCAAGCGATTCTCCTGCCTCAGCCTCCCAAGTAGCTGAGATTACAGGTGCGCACCACTACCACCTGGCTAATTTTTGTACTTTTAGTAGAGATGGGGTTTCTCCATGTGGGCCAGGCTGGTATCGAACTCCTGACTTCAAATGATCCACCCGCCTCGGCCTCCCAAAGTGCTGGGATTATAGGCATGAGCCACCGCGCCTGGTCATGATCATTTTTATTTTGGAACCATTCATTCAGAAAAATTTCACAGCCATTTTGAACTTGTGCTATGACATGGCAAAATCTCTAGTAAATCATTTTAATTCCTGATGAGTTCATTTTTATAATGATAAATTTCTAAGGAAAATATTTTGTTTTCAACTTCTTGCCACCATGTCAAGACTGTACATTTTAAAACATATTACATCACATTTTCCCTTCAAAGCAATGCCAGTGAATTCTGTTAATGGTATCATTCATCTCATGTTACCCAACTCCAGATCATAAAGTTTCCCTCATTCTCCTTCCTTTCCACAAACCTACCAAATCCTCTATCGCCAAGTCCTTTGGGTTAATTCACGGAGAAAGTATCGAGCACAGAGGCAGAACAGGGCCTCTGGAGAGTGTCACATTTGTGTGTGAATCCTGACTCTTGATTTTCACTAGCTTTGTAACCTTAGACAAATTACTACCAGGCACGGTGGCTCACACCTGTAATCCCAGCACTTTGGGAGGCTGAGGCAGGATCACTGGAGTCCAGGAGTTTGAGACCAGCCTAGGCAACATAGCAAGATCCTGTCTCTACAAAAAATAAAAAATTAGCTGGGTGTGGTGGCACACACTTGTATTCCCAGCTACTTGTAGGGGCTGAGGTGGGAGGATCACTTGAGCCTGAGAGGTCAAGGCTGCAGTGAGCCATGATCGGGCCACTGCACTCAGCCTGGGTGACAGAGCGAGACCCTGTCTCAAAACAAACCAAAAAACAAATTAGTTAACCTGTCTGGAGCTCAGTCCCATATTTGTAAAATGTGGCTAACTACAGCACCTTCCCTTATAGAAAGCTGTTTGAGGATCCAGTTATGCATTTAAAGGGCTTAACACATTACCTGGCACAGGAAAACAAAGACAAGCTGCTGTCCTGTTTTCTTTGTTGCTGCCATCCTTCTCACAAGGTCTCGACGGAGTCTGTCTTCATCACGATTTCACTGCCCTCATGCCTGTTCTGTTTACCCCTTTTCTAGACTGGGCCCTTACTTACCTTAGCCTGAGCTATTGTGAAACACTCCCAGCGGCTTCCTGACTTGCCCCACTCCCTCCTTCCGCCGTCCTGTCCTGCTCCTAATCGTGTTTGTCAGAAATGCCTCTGACTGATACACTGGCAAAATCAGAAATCTTCAAGGGATCCCCCTTTTTCTTGCTGTAGCTTAAGATCTAAATCTCTTAACCTAGATCACGATCTGACACTAGATATATTTATAGTCCATGAAAATACCCTGAAAGCTTTCAAGTACCAGATGAAAGTGAGCTCCTTCATTACCACCTCAACTCACTGTAGGCGGCTTTTCATGTGCAACAGCTAAGCTTTAAGAGGGCTGGGACTGTGACCTACTTTATTTTGTATTGTTATAGCAGCTCACTTGGTACCCAGAGCAAGGAGGTATATTTGTTTCTTGCATATTTGGCAGGTTGATTACTATATAAATTACTCTATTGAAGATTAAAATGGTTTACTGAAGATGTCGCCATATATCTTAGCAAGGTCAAAACAGTTGTGTAATTTTTCTGAATGAATACTTTCAAAATAAAAAAGACCACTCAGACCAGAAGCCTGAACATCTGTGAGCAATGCTTATACATGTGCTTTTTAATAAACCAACATGTTGGGCCGGGCACGGTGGCTCACGCCTGTAATCCCAACACTTTGGAAGGTTGAGGCAGGTGGATCACAAGGTCAGGAGTTTGAGACCAGCCTGACCAACATGGTGAAACCCCGTCTCTACTAAAAATACAAAAATTAGCTGGGCATGGTGGCGTCTGCCTGTAATCCCATCGACTCAGGAGGCTGAGGCAGGAGAATTGCTTGAACCCGGGAGGCAGAGGTTGCAGTGAGCCGAGATCACACCGTGGCACTCCGGCCTGGGCGACAGAGCGAGACTCTGTCTCCAAAAAACTAAACTAAACTAAACTAAAATAAACCAACATATTAAACTTTAATAGGATTATTGATCTGAAAACCAAAACATGGTAGGAATTAGTTTATAAGTCATATTTAGACGCATCATCTTATAACCCTCTCAGCAAAACCTGTGGGGCAGGTAGATTATGGATAACAAGTGTTCACTTCATGAATTGTCCCTGTTGATCAGGTGAAGTAGAACTTGGATCTGGGGCAGCTCTTGTGACTCCAGATTCTTGGTTTTTGAGCAGGTGTTGGGGGAAATACCTTTCTTGTTGAAGTTCTTTAGTACTCTTTTTTTTTTTTTTTTGAGATGGAGTCTTGCTCTGTTGCCCAGGCTGGAGTGCAGTGGCGCGATCTCAGCTCATTGCAACCTCTGCCTCATGGGTTCAAGCTGCTCTCCTGCCTCAGCCTCCCGAACAGCTGGGATTACAGGCACACACCACCACGCCAGGCTAGTTTTTGTATTTTTAGTAGAGACGGAGTTTCGCCGTGTTGGCCAGGCTGGTCTTGAACTCCTGACCTCAGGTGATCTGCCCACCTTGGCCTCCCAAAATGCTGGGATTACAGGCATAAGCCACTGCACCCGGCCCATCTTTTAATAAGAGCTCAGCATATTCATACTTGATTGATCAGCATTTTCGTCATTAGAAATGAGGTGGGGTTTTTTTGTTTTTGTTTTTTTGTGTTTTCATTTCAAAGATTAAAAACCTAGAGAGGAAGGAGAGTATTTGGGGAAAATGGTGGAAGAGGGAGCACCAGTCATCTGTCTCCACACCTAGACATCAATTGTACTGGCAGGATCTGTCTGATCTAACTATTTTGGAACTCGGAAGTCTACTGAGGTTTACACATTCTTGCTGGGATGGCAAACTGTGGTTAATTTTGGTCAGTTTCAACTCTTAGCACAGTAGCAGCTATGCACTCCCCAACCCCAGTTCTGTGGAAGGCGGCTACGCGGGTGTTCCTAGAGCTTGCACACAGCGTGGGAGCCAGAATAGGCAAAAAGCATCTTGTCCTCTAAATATTTGGGGTCTGTGCTCTGACTGCTGATTGCTGCTTCTGATCGTAGAGGTGCAGACAAAGAGATGGGTGGCCATTGTCGTTACACCTCCTCATTATTGCAAGTTCTTCCCCCTCCAATTAACAAGACTTCCAGGGGATTTAAAGAGCTAATGGTCCTGCTCCCTTGCTTCACTTTTATTTTTTCCCATTTGGGAGCCAGATGTTAGAGAATATGACATTGAAAAGCAACTGCATATAAGGGGGAGAATTAAGAAGTGACTGTGCATGCCTAGGAAAAGGTATAGGCACAGTAAAGACCTGAGAAGACCCTGAGTTTATACCCAAGACTGATCTTTGGCACAGACGGCCTACAGTAAACAAAAAGAATCACACACACATCCACACACAGAATAACAAAACCCAGTAAACTTGAAAAGGGGAGGATCTGATTTTCTGAATTACCACAGTATTAGATTCAAATGTTCAGTTTTCAACAAAACAAATCACGAGGCACACAAAGAAACAGGAAAGTATGCTCTTCCAAGGAAAAAAAAAACAACTGAAACTGTGAGACCACATAGTAGACCTACTAGAAAAAGATTTTAAAACAACTGTCTTAAAGATATGCAAACAACTAAAGAAGATGTGGCGCTGGGGGCGGTAGCTCATGCCTGTAAACCCAGCACTTGGGGAGGCCAAGGCAGGTGGATCACTTGAGGTCAGGAGTTTGAGACCAGCCTGGCCAACATGGGGATACCCTGTCTCTACTAAAAATACAAAAACTAGCTGGGTGTGGTGGTGTGCACTGGTAATCTCAGCTACTTGGGAGGCTGAGGCAAGAGAATCGCTTGAACCTGGGAGGCAGAGGTTGCAGTGAGCCGAGATTGTGCCATTGCACTCCAGCCTGGGTAACAGAGTGAGACTCCTTCTCTAAATAAATAAATAAATAAGATGTGGAAAAAGGTAAAACAGCGTATGAAGGCTGGGTGTGGTGGCTTACGCCTGTAATCCCAGCATTTTGAGAGGCAGATCAGTTGAGTCCAGGAGTTCAAGACCAGCCTGGCCAACATGTTGAAACCCGGGTCATCGCTAGTAAATAAGACAAAAATTAGCTGGGCGTGGTGGCACAAGCATGTAGTCTCAGCTACTCAGGAGGCTGAGGCAGGAGAATCACTTGTACCCGGGAGATGGAGGTTGCACTGAGCCAAGATCGTGCCACTGCACTCCAGCCTGGGCAACAGAGACAGATTCTGTCTCAAAAAAAAAAAAAAAAAAAGAAAAAAGAAAGAAAAGAAAAAGGAAAACAGTGTACAAATAAAATGTAAATATAAATAAAGAGATAGAAACCCTAAAAAGAAACTGAAAATAATTCTGGAACTGAAAAATACAATAACTGAAATGAGAAATTCACTGGAGGGATTCAAAGGCAGATTTGAGTAGGCAGATGAAAGAATCAGTGAATTTGAAGATAAGATATTAAAATTATCAAGTCTGACAAACAGAAAAATGTTTGAAGAAACATGAGCAGAGCCTAAGGGTCATCATCAAAGAGACTAACATGTTTTCTGGGAGTTATAGAAAGAAATGAAAGGGGGAGAGAGATTATTTGAAGAAATAGTATCTGGAAGCTTCCCAGATTTGACGAGAGACATGGATATAAACATCTAGGAAGTTAAACGACCTCCAAGTAAGATGAACTCAAGGACACCCACACCAAGACACATTACAATCAAACTCCCAAAAGCGAAAACCAAAGAACCTTTGGGCTGGATTCAGTGGCTCACACCTGTAATCCCAGCACTTTGGGAGGACAAGGCAGGAGGATCACTTGAGTTCAAGCTCAGCCTGGGCAATATAGTAAGACCTCATCTCTACTAAAAATCAAAAAAATTAGCCGGGCGAGGTGGCATTTGCCTGTAGTCTCAGGTCCTCGGGAGGCTAAGGTGGGAAAATTGCTTGAGCCTGGAAGGTCGAGGCTGCAGTGAGCTATGATTGAGGCACTGCACTCCAGCCTGGCCTACCGAATGAGACCCTGTCTCAAAAAAGGATTCAACCTGAGGAAGCTGACTAAAAAAACAAACTTCAGAGAGGAGAGAAATGCCTCCTCATATACAAGGGACCCCCAATAAGATTATAAGCAGATTTCTCATCAAAAACTTTGGAGGGGTCAGGTGCAGTGGCTCACATCCATAATCCCAGCACTTTGGGAGGCTGAGGCAGGTGGATCTCTTGAGGCCAGGAGTTTGAGACCAGCCTGGCCAACATGGCGAAACTCTGTCTCTAAAAATACAAAAATTAGCCAGGGATGGTGGCGTATGTGCCTGTAATCCCAGCCATCTGGGTGCCTGAGGCACAAGAATCGCTTGAATCTGGGAGGCAGAGGTTGCAGTGAGCTGAGATCAGGACACTGCACTCCAGCCTGGATGACAGAGTGAGAATCTGTCTCAAAAAACAAAACAAAACAAAAAAACAAAGTTTGGAGGCAAGAATACAGTGGGCTGATATATTCAGAGTGTTAAAAAGAAAGAAGACCTGTCAACTAACCATCTAATACCCAGCAAAACTGTCCTTCAGAAATGAAAAAGAAATTAAGATATTCCCAGGTGAACAAAAATGGAGGGAGTTCATTAGCCACAAGACCTGCCCCGCAAGAAATACTCAAGTGAGTCCTGCAGAGGGAAATTAAAGGATATTAAACAGTTACTCAAAGCCATATAAAGAAATGAAGATCTTGGCCGGGCACGGTGGCTCATGCCTGTAATCCCATCACTTTGGGAGGCCGAGGTGGGTGGATCATGAGGTCAAGAGATGGAGACCATCTTGGCCAACATGGTGAAACCCCATCTCTACTAAAAATACAAGAATTACCTAAGTGTGGTGGCTTGTGCCTGTAGTCCCCAGCTACTCAAGGAGGCTGAGGCAGGAGAATCGCTTGAACCCAGGAGGTGGAGGTTGTAGCGAACTGAGATCTGGCCACTGCGCTCCAGCCTGGTGACAGAGCAAGACTCCGTCTCAAAAAAAGAAATGAAGAAAAAAAAAAAAGAAAAAGAAATGAAGATCTCAAAAGTGAAGGATATGTGCAATTTTAAAAGCTAATATTACTGTAACAATGGTTTATAATTGCATTTTTGTGTTCTACATGATTTAAGAGACTAAAATGCTTTTTTAAAATTAGTCTAAAAGCTAGTAGTATTGTAATGTTGGTTTGTGAATCCACATTTTCTTTTCTTTTCTTTTTTTTTTTTTTTTAGATGGTGTCTTGCTCTGTCACCCAGGCTGGAGTACAGTGGTGTGATATGGGCTCACTGCAACATCTGCCTCCCGGGTTCAAGTGATTCTTGTGCCTCAGCCTCCCAAGTAGCTGGGATTACAGGTGTGTGCCACCACACCCAGCTAATTTTTGTATTTTTAGTAGAGACGGGGTTTCTCCATGTTGGCCGGGCTGGTGTTAAACTCCGACCTCAGTTGATCTGCCCGCCTTGGCCTCCCAAAGTGCTGGGATTATAGGCGTGAGCCACCGTGCCCAGCCCACATTTTGTTTTCTACATAATTTAAAATAATTTTTTTGGTAAAATAATTTCTAAAGCATTTAAAATAATTATTTACTTTATGGTTTGGGGCACACAGTTTATAAAGGTATAATTTTGTGATATCAGTAAGCAAAAAGGTTGAGGACCCAGCTGTAATGGAGTGGAGCTTTTCTGTGTTACTGAAATTAAGCTGATAGAAATTTAAATTAGTGTTATAACTTTAGGATGTTAAATGTAATCCTCATGGTAATGACAGAGAAAATCACTGTAGAATATACACAAAAGGACATGAGAAAGGAATTTAAATATTTTAATGTACCCCCAAAAATCAACTAAACACAGGAGTAGACAGTAATGCAGGAAACTAGGGACAAAAACCTTAAGGCATATACAAAACAAAATGACAAGCCAGGCGCGGTGGCTCACGCCTATAACCCCAGCACTTTGGGAGGCCGAGGCGGGTGGATCACGAGGTCAGGAGTTCAAGACTAGCCTGGCCAAGATGGTGTAACCCCGTCTCTACTAAAAAAACAGAAAAATTAGCCAGGCATGGTGGCGGGGACCTGTAATCCCAGCCACCCGGGAGGCTGAAGCAGAGAATTGGTTGAACCCAGGAGACAGAGGTTGCAGTGAGCCAAGGTCACACCATTGCACTCCAGCCTGGGCAACAGAGTGAGACTCGTCGCAAAAAAAAAGGAACAAAATGATAGAAATAAGTCCCTGTTTATTGGTTAATTACCTTAAATGTAAATGGATTAAACTCTCCAATCAAAAGACAAAGATTGTCAAAATGGTTTTTAAAACCAATCTGGGCTGGACGCAGTGGCTCACACCTGTAATCCCAGCACTTTGGGAGGCCAAGGTGGGTGGATCACCTGAGGTCAGGAGTTCGAGACCAGCCTGGGTAACATGGTGAAACCCAAACTCTACTAAAAATACAAACATTAGCTGGGTGTAGTGGTGCATGCCTGTAATCCCAGCTACCCAGGAGGCTGAGGCAGGAGAAATGCTTGAACCTGGGTGACAGAGGTTGTAGTGAGCTGAGATTGCACCATTGCACTCCAGCCTGGGCAACAAGAGCAAAACTCCATCTCAAAAAAAAAAAAAAAAACAAAAAACAATCCTACTATATGCTATATATAAGAGACTCACGGCCAGGTGCAGTGGCTCAAGCCTGTAATCCCAGCAGTTTGGGAGGCCGAGGCCAGCAGATGACAAGGTCAGGAGATCGAGACCATCCTGGTTAATATGATGGAACCCTGTCTCTACTGAAAAGTGGAACCCTGTCTCTATTAAAAAATACAAAAAAATTAGCCATGCTTGGTGGTGGGTGCCTGTAGTCCCAGCTACTCAGGAGGCTGAGGCAGGAGAATGGCGTGAACCCGGGAGGCAGAGCTTGCAGTGAGCCGAGATCGCACCACTGTACTCCAGCCTGTGCAAAAGAGCGAGACTCCGTCTCAAAAAAAAAAAAAAAAAAAAAAAGAGAGACTCACTTTAAATCCAAATGTTGCTGGTGAAAGGATAGAAAAAGATATTCCATGCAAATAGTAATGAAAAGGGATCGGGGTGGCTATTCTACTATCAGACAAAAAGAGTTACAGAATTGCAGGAAGAAATAGACAGTTCTACAATAAAAGTTGGAAGCTTTAATATCCCACTATCAATAATGGATAGAAAAATAAAGAAACTTTACATGATAAACCAACTAGATTTAACAGACATTTATAGAACACTCTACCCAATAACAATAGCATACATTTTCTCAAATGTAGATGGGATGTTTTCCAGGATAGACTATATGTTAAGCCACAAATTAGTGTCAATAGATTTTAAAAGATATACAAAGTATGTTCTTATTGCAACCACAACAGGATAAAGTTAGAAATCAGTAACAGAAGGAAAATTGGAGAATCCACAAATTTGTGCAATTAACCATATACTCTTAGTCAACCAAAGGGTAAATAAAGAAATTACAAGAGAAATTTAAAAATACTTAAAGATGATTGACAATGAAAACACACATACCAAAATTTATGGGACAGTGAAAACAGTGCTAAAGGAGAAATTTATAGCTTTAAATATATACATTAAAAAATAAGAAAAATCTCAAATCAACAACCTAAACTTTACCATTTAAGGAACTAGAAAAGGAAGAAAAACTAAACTCAAAACTAGCAGAAGGAAGGAAATAATAAGATTAGAACAGAGGTAAAGGAAATAGAGACTAGAAAACAATAGAGAAAATCAGTGAAACCAAAAGTTGAATTTTTGTAAAGGTAAACAGAATTGACAAACCTTTAGCCAGATGGATCAAGAAGAAATGAGAGAAGACACAAATGATTAAAACCAGAAACAAAGTAGACCCTTACTATTGATTCAACAGAAACAAAAAGGATTATGACAGGATGGTGATCTGTTGAATACCAACAGATTGGATAACCTAGATGAAATGGACAAACCCCTAGAAACACAAAACCTACTGAGACTAAACCGTGAAAAAATAGAATACCTGAGTAGATCTATAATTAGTAAGAGGATAGAATCAATAATCAAATATCTCCTTGTAAAGAAAAGCCCTAGACACGAAGCCTTCACCAGTGAATTTAACCAAGCATTTAAAGAAGAACTAACACTATTTCTTCTCAAATTTTTCCAAACAGTTGAAGAGGAGGGAATACTTCTGAATTCACTCTATGAGGCCAGAATTATGCTGATATCAAAACTAGAAAAGATAACCACAAGAAAAATACACATCAGTATCCCTCATGAACATTGATGCAAAAATCTTCAAGAAAATACTAGCAAGTAAATTCAGCAGCATATTAAAAGGATTATACACCATGACCAAAGTGGGATATATTTCTGGAATGCAAGGATGGTTCAACATATGAAAGTCAGTTACCTAATATGCTGTTTTAACAAAATGAGGGACAAAATCACATGGTCACTCCACTGGTCCATAAAAAGCACTTGACAAAATTCAACACCCTTTTATGGTAAAAACACTCAACAAACTGGGAATAGAAACTACCCCAACATAATAAAAGCCATATATGAAAAACAGTGAACAATTATACTTAATGGTAAAAAACGGAAAGCTTTTCCTCTAAGATCAGAAACAAGGCAAAATGCCTGCTTTTGTCACTTCAGTTCAACACAGTGCTGGAAATTTTAGCCAGAGTCATTAGCCAAGAAAAAGAAATTAAGAGGCATCAAAATTGGGAAGGAAGAAGTAAAAGTATCTCTGTTTGCAGATGACATGATCTTGTATGTAGAAACCCTAAAGATTCCACAAAAAATTGTTTGAACTAATACATGAAACTGACATAGTAGCAGCATACAAAGTCAATGCACAAAAATCAGTTGCATTTCTAAACACCAACAATGAATAATATGAAAAAGAAATTAAGAGGAAAATTCCACTTAAAATGGCATTAAAAAGAATAAGGAGGTGAAAGACTCATACAATGAAACATGAAACATTGCTGAAAGAAATTAAAGACATAGGTAAATAGAAACACATTGTATGTTGAGAAATTGGAAGACTTAACATTGTGTGTTTGGTTTTTGGAGACAGGGTCTTGCTCTGTCACCTAGGCTGGAGTGCAGTGGCACAATCACAGCTCACTGCAGCCTCAATCTCCTAGGCTCAAGTGATCCTCCCACCTCAGACTCCCAAGTAGCTAGGACTACAGGCATGCACAACTATGCCCGGCTTTTTTTTTTTTTTTAATTTTTTGTAGAGATGGGGTCTCACTATGTTGCTCAGGCTGGTCTTGAACTCCTGGGCTCAAGTGATCCTCCTGCCTTGGCCTCCCAAAATTGTGGGATTACAGGCATGAATCACCCCGACTAGCCTGACTTAATATTGTTAAGCTGTCCATACCACCCAAAGTAATTTATAAGTTAATTCAATACAATTTCTATCAAACTCCCAAGGCCATTTTTTGGCTTGGGAGTTTTAGAATATAAAAATTTATTCTAAAATTCATATGGGATCTCAGGAGAACCTGAAAAGCCCCAACAAACCTGAAAAAGAACAAAGCTGGAGATCTCAAACTTCCTGAACTTAAAACTTAACTGCAAAAATGCAGTCATTGAAACAGTGTATTGGACTTGGCTGTGGTATGAAGAAATAAGAAAAAGAAGAGAACAGCATGATACATAAAAATAGACATAGAGACCGATGAAATCAATAGCCCAGAAATAAACCCTCTTATATAGTCAAGTGAAATTTTTTTTTTTTTTTGAGACAGACTGTCACTCTGTTGCCCAGGCTGCAGTGCAATGGCGTGATCTCGGCTCACTGCAACCTCCACCTCCTAGGTTCAAATGATGCTCCTGCCTCAGCCTCCCGAGTAGCTGGGACTACAGGCGTGTGGCACCACACCTGGCTAATTTGTGTATTTTTAGTAGAGACAGGATTTCGTGTTAGCCAGGCTGGTCTGGAACTCTTGACCTCAAGTGATTCGCCTGCATCAGCCTCCCAAAGTGCTGGGATTACAGGTGTGAGCCACCGTACCTGGCCCAGTCAAGTGATTTTTGATAAGGACGTGAAGATTGTTCCACAGGGAAAGGACAGTCTTTTCAACAAATGGTATAGGGGAAACTGGATATTCACATGCAAAAGAATGAAGTTGGACCCTTACCTAATACTACATTCAAAAATTAACTCAAAATGGCCGGGGCCTGGTGGCTCACACCTGTAATCCCAGCACTTGGGAGGCCCAGGCAGGCGGATCACTTGAGGCCAGGAGTTTGAGACTAGCGGGGCCAACATGGGGAAACTCTGTCTCTACTAAAAATATAAAAAATTAGCCAGGTGTGGTGATGCATGCCTGTAGTCCCAGCTACTCTGGAGGCTGAGGCATGAGAATCACTTGAACCCGGGAGGTGGAGGTTGCAGTGAGCCAAGGTTGCACCATTGCACTCCAGCCTGGGCAACAGAGCGAGGCTCCATCTCAAAAAGAAACAAACAGACAAAAAACTCAACAATGAAAAAACCCAATTCAAAAATGGGCAAAGGACTTGAATAGATGTTTCCCCAGAGAAGGTAAACAAATGACCAATAAGCATATGAAAAATGACCATCACTAATTATTAGGGCATGCATGTCAAAACTATACCCCACACCCATTAGGATGGCTACTGTCAAAAAAAAGAAAAAAAGGAAATAACAAGGGTTGGTAAGGATGTGAGAAATGGGAACCCTGGTGCATTGTTCACAGGAATGAGATGATGCAGCCAATACTAGAAAACAGTATGGTGGTTGCTCAAAAAAATTAAAAATAGAATTACCATATGATACCAAAATTCAGTCCTGAGTACAGTATGTACCCAAGATAATTGAAAGCAGTATCTCAAAGAGATGTTTGTACACTCATATTCATAGGAGCCTTATTCACAGTAGTTAAAATGGGGAAGCAATCCATGTGCGTCTATCAACGGATGAATGGATAAACAAAATGTAGTATGTACATACAAGAGAATATGAGTAAGCCTTAAAAAGGAAGGAGTTCTGATATGTGCTATAACACGGATGAACCTTGAAGATACTGTGTTAAGGAGATAAGCCAGTCAGAAAAAAGGCAAATACTGTATGGTTCCATTTGTATGAGGTATTTAGAGTATTCAAAATCACGGTAAAAGGAATCTGAGGAGATTAAAAAAAAAAGAGTAGTCAAAATCATAAAGACGGAAAGTAGAATGGTAGTTGCCAGGGGCTGGGGGGAGGGATGAATGGGGAATTATTGTTTAATAGAGTTTCAGTTTTACAAGATTAAATATTCGTGGAGATGGATAATGGTGATGATTGAAGAGCATTATGAATGTATTGAATACCACTGAAATGTATACTTTAAAAAGGGATACTGGTAATTTTACGTTATGTGTATTTTAACATTAAAAAATTGGGGGATGAGGGCTGGGCATGGTGGCCCACACCTGTAATCCCAGCACTTTGGGAGGCCAAGGCGGGCAGATCACGAGGTCAGGAGATCGAGACCATCCTGCCTAACACGGTGAAACCCCGTCTCTACTAAAAATACAAAAAAAGCGGGGCGTGGTGGCGGGCGCCTGTGGTCCCAGCTACTCAGTAGGCTGAGGCAGGAGAATCGCTTGAACCCAGGAGGTGGAGGTTGCAGTGAGCCAAGGTGGCGCCACTGCACTCCAGCCTGGTGATAGAGTGAGATTCCATCTCAAAAAAAAATTAAAATTGGGGCATGAGGGCAGGGTGCAGTGGCTCACATCTGTAATCCCAGCACTTTGAGAGGCCCAGGCAGGAAGATCCCTTGTGCCCAGGAGATTGAGACCAGCCTGGGCAATATAGTGAGACCTTGTCTCTACAAAAAAAAATTAAAATTACCTGGGTGTGGGGCACACGTCTGTAGTCCCAGCTACTTGGGAGGCTGAGGTGCGAGGATCGCTTGAGCCTGGGAGGTTGAGGCTGCAGTGAACTGTGATTGCACCACTGCCCTCCTACCTAGGTATATTTGTTTTTTGGTTTTTTTGTTGTTGTTGTTTCTTGTTTTTTGAGACAGAGTCTTGCTCTGTCGCCCAGGCTGGATGCAATGGCACGATCTCGGCTCACTGCAACCTCCGCCTCCTGGGTTCAAGTGATTCTTCCTGCCTCAGCCTCCCAAATAGCTGGGATTACAGGCATCTGCCACCACGCCCAGCTAATTTTTGTGTTTTTAGTAGAGACGGGGTTTCGCCATGTTGGCCAGGCTGGTCTCGAACTCCTGACCTCAGGTGATCTGCTTGCCTTGGCCTCCCAAAGTGCTGGGATTACAGGCGTGATCCACCACGCCCAGCCCTGTTTTTGTTTTTGTTTTTTCAACAGATGTAATTTCTGACTTGTATACCTTTTCAATCAAGAATATGTATGGACTGCAGCCTGATGAAGTTTTTCACTCCTTTAGTAATGTCCTCCTTGTTTTACATTTTCAAAGCCTGCATAGTTACAGATTCATTTGTTTTCAACGTTTCCCCAGGGGAAGACGGAATCTATCACTGTGGTGAAGCTGCTGAGCTGCTTTGATGACCTGGTGGCAGCAGGCACAGCCTCTGGCAGGGTTGCAGTTTTTCAACTTGTATCTTCATTGCCAGGGAGAAATAAACAGGTGAGTACTCATGATCTTAACACGTGTTAACTTCTTGGCACATTCCTCATGGATTTTTAAAATTAGAAATCCTCATCTGCTTAGAAAGTTTATGCTCAGAGAAAGCCGGGCACGACTTTCTCTGCCCAGGCTCATGCCTGTAATCCCAGTACTTTGGAAGGCCAAGGCGGGCTGATCACGAGGTCAAGAGATCAAGACCATCCTGGCCAACATGGTGAAACCCCATCTCTACTAAAAATACAAAATTTGGCCGGGTGCAGTGGCTCATGCCTGTAATCCCAGCACTTTGGGAGGCCGAGGCAGGCAGATCACGAGGTCAGGAGATCAAGACCATCCTGACTAACACAGTGAAACTCCATCTCTACTAAAAAATACAAAAAATTAGCCGGGTGTGGTGGCGGGTGCCTGTAGTCCCAGCTACTAGGGAGGCTGAGGCAGGAGAATGGCGTGAACCCGGAAGACGGAGCTTGCAGTGAGCGGAGATCACGCCACTGCACTCCAGCCTGGGCGACAGAGGGAGACTCCATCTAAAAAAAGAAAAAAAATACAAAAATTAGCTGGGCGTGGTGGTGCGTGCCTGTAGTCCCAGCTACTCGGGAGGCTGAGGCAGGAGAATCACTTGAACCCGGGAGGCAGAGGTCACAGTGAGCTGAGATTGTACCACGCTACTGCACTCCAGCCTGACGGAGCGAGACTCTGTCTCAAAAAAAAAAAAAATGCTCAGAGAAGCTTAACACTGTGCTGTTTATAATTGGAGAACATTTTTGTGCTGGGTTGGACACTTGGCATAAAGTACATGTGGGTCATTTCATTTTTGCTTAATATTCTCAAGGTATGCTCTCTGTGGGTTTTGAAGGTGACTAGACAGATGGAACTTTGTGCAGGGTTCTGCTTGGAAAACGAGATTGGGAAAACCAGCTCTTCCCTAACTAGGAGTGATTGTATACCTTTTCCATGTAGCCCCAGCTCACAGCATTTATCCTTTTTTTTTCTTGTGTATATTTTTATCCCTTGTTCATAGCTTCGGAGATTTGATGTCACTGGTATTCACAAAAATAGCATTACAGCTCTGGCTTGGAGCCCCAATGGAATGAAATTGTTCTCTGGAGATGACAAAGGCAAAATTGTTTATTCTTCTCTGGATCTAGACCAGGTAAAATTATTTTCAGAAATACTGTTGGCTCTTACCTTCTTACATTTGGAAAAACTATATTTATAACTTGTATTTTTAGTCAACTTGTATTCTTGATCATCATCCCTTTATAATCTCAATTGTTATTTGTAACATTTACTTTTATAGACTTATGTTTTATAAGCTTCCACTTCTATGACTAAGGAGTTGGCCTACTGGAACATTCACTTTTTTCATTCCACTGTTGTGTATTACTTTTACTTGAAAAAGAAGCTATTATCATTCCTACTTCCTTGAAAGGTTAGTAGGAGTGATGCCAAGCACTTCTGAATCCTAACTGTGGACAAGTCAGTGATTTCAATGGATGGAGGACTCTGCCAGCCACCTGGCCTGTGTGAGATGACCTCATGTGACAGGAAGTGGCAGAGGAGGTTAGGTGGCAGTATGGTGAAGATGAAGAAACTGGAGTGCCAAGAGATCCAGGAACTAGTCCAGGGGTGCAGGCTTGCACCTCACAGAGCTTGCTTTCAAACTGTGCTTCTGCTTCGACGCCCGTGCCTTTTCCACTGCACGTATGGCTTGATGATCTGCTGGGTTTTATTTGTTTTGTCATGTGTCTGCAACCAAACTGAACTCCTTGGTGGCACAGTCCTTTCTTTTTCTTATTTGTAGCCTTCATTCCTAGAGCACTATAGGAATTCAGCAATTTTTTTTTTTTTTGAGACAGTCTCGCTCTTGTCGCCCAGGCTGGAGTGCAGTGGCCCAATCTCGGCTTGTGACAACCTCCATATCCCGGGTTCAAGCGATTCTGCCACCTCAGCCTCGCAAGTAGCTGGGATTACAGGGACCTGCCATCATGCCCGACTAATTTTTGTATTTTTGTAGAGACGGAGTTTTACCATGTTGGTCAGGCTGGTCTTGAACTCCTGACCTTAGATGATCTGCCTGCCTCGGCCTTCCAAAGTGCTGGGATTACAGGCGTGAGCCACCACGCCCAGCCAAGAATTCAGCAATTATTAGCTGCATGACTTTCAGTCCCTCTGATCCAAGACTGACCTAGTACAAATATTCTCTAGTAGTAGTTCTCAAGCTTTGTAGTCACAGGATCCCTTTACACTCTTAGAAAGAGGACCCCAAAGCATTTTTGTTCATATGGGTTATCTCTACCAAGTACACCATGTTAGAAGTTACAACTGAGAAATTTAAAAATATACATATTTTTTTGAGATGGAGTCTCGCTCTGTTGCCCAGGCTGGAGTGCAGTGGCGCGATCTCGGCTCACTGCAACCTCCGCCTCCCGGGTTCAAGGGATTCTCATGCCTCAGCCTCCCGAGTAGCTGGGACTACAGGCACCTGCCACCACGTCTGACTACTTTTTTGTATTTTTTGTAGAGATAGTGTTTCACCGTTTTAGCCAGGATGGTTTCAATCTCCTGACCCTGTGATTGAAATCTCCCACCTCAGCCTCCCAAAGTGCTGGGATTACAGGCGTGAGCCACTGCGCCTGGCTGAAATTTAAAAATATTTTACTTTGAAATAATAAATCCATAACATCTGCACATAAGTGACATATTTTGTGAAAATATCTCTATAGCTCTATTTTCAAAACAGGTGAGAAGAGTGAGTGGCATTGATTTATATTTTTACAAATTTCTTTATTATCTGGCTTAATAGAAGATGGCTGGATTCTCCCTAATCTCAAGTAATCAGGGACACAAACACTGCGGAAGGCCGCAGGGTCCTCTGCCTAGGAAAACCAGAGACCTTTGTTCACTTGTTTATCTGCTGACCTTCCCTCCACTATTGTCCCATGACCCTGCCAAATCCCCCTCTGTGAGAAACACCCAAGAATTATCAATAAAAAAATAAATTAAAAAAAAAAATAAAAAATAAAAAATAAAAAAATAAAAACACACCTCACCAAGCTCAGCCACCAACTTAAAAAGGACTGGACAATACTTTTACCACTTTCCCTTCTCAGAATTCAGGCCTGTCCTCGGAATGCTACAGGGTACAGCCCATTTGAGCTCCTGTATGGATACTCCTTTTTGTTAGGCCCCAGTCTCATTCCGGACACTAGACCAACTTAGACTGTGCCCCCCCTCAAAAAAAAAAAACTTGTCATCCCTACTATCTTCTGTCTAGTCATATTCCTATTCACCATTCTCAACTAACTCATACATGCCCTGCTCTGGTTTACACTGCCGGTTTACACTGTTTTTCCAAGCCATCGCAGCTGATATCTCCTGGTGCTATCCCCAAACTGCCACTCTTAACTCTTGAAGTAAATAAATAATCTTTGCTGGCAGGACTGTGCTGAATCTCCTTAGGCACTCTCTAATCAGATATCCTGAGTCGTCCCAATTCTTAGACCTTTTATACCTGTTTTTCTCCTTCTGTTATTCCATTTAGTTTCTCAATTCATCCAAAACCATATCCAGGCCATCATCAATCATTCTATATGACAAATGTTTCTTCTAACATCCCCACGATATCACCCCTTACCACAAGACCTCCCTTCAGCTTAATCTCTCCCACTCTATGTTCCCACGCCGCCCCTAATCCTGCTTGAAGCAGCCCTGAGAAACATCGCCCATTCTCTCTCCATACCACCCCCCAAAAATTTTTGCCGCCCCAACATTTCAACACCATTTTGTTTTATTTTTCTTATTAATATAAGAAGGCAGGAATGTCAGGCCTCTGAGCCCAAGCCAAGCCATCACATCCCCTGTGACTTCCACGTACGTATACGCCCAGATGGCCTGAAGTAACTGAAGAATCACAAAAGAAGTGAATATGCCCTGCCCCGCCTTAACTGATGACATTCCACCACAAAAGAAGTGTAAATGGCCTGTCCTTGCTTTAAGTGATGACATTACCTTGTGAAAGTCCTTTTCCTGGCTCATCCTGGCTCAAAAAGCACCCCCACTGAGCACCTTGCGACCCCTGCCCCTGTCCACCAGAGAACAACCCCCTTTGACTGTAATTTTCCATTACCTTCCCAAATCCTATAAAACGGCCCCACCCCTATCTCCCTCTGCTGACTCTCTTTTCGGACTCAGCCTGCCTGCACCCAGGTGAAATAAACAGCCATGTTGCTCAAAAAAAAAAAAAAAAAAAAAAAAAAAAAAAAGAAGATGGCTGGATTCTGCATTCAATCTGTTGCCATACATTGTTTTGATTGAAGTGTATAAAGAAAAACTGGCTTTACACAGACATGTAGTTGGAAATGGGAGGAGTATTTTGATAGCCTTTTCAGATAGTTGTGGACATTCTTTAATAATATCCTCATATGACTACCTCATAAAGCAAATGGTAGTTGCTTTAAAGGTTACGGTGACAAATGACAAATGGTAGTTTCTTTAAAGGTTAGTAAAAATGTGGAATCTGAAACCACATGGATGAATTTTTCCTACTCTGTTACATTAAAATCTACTTTACCCATGTTGGATTTTGTAACATTATGTATTGGTCACTTAGAAAATACTATTCACAGAGTGATGCAGATCTTCCAAATGTTGACACTTTTTTTTTTTTTTTTTTTTTTTTTGAGACATGGTCTTACTCCTCTCACCCAGGCTGGTGCACAGTGGTGCAATCACGGCTCACTGCAGCTTTGACTTCCCAGGTTCAGGTGATTCCCCCACCTTGGCCTCCCGAGTAGCTGGGACTATGGGTGCACACCACCATGCCCAGCTGATTTTTTTGTATTTTTATAGAGACAGGGCTTCGCCATGTTGCACAGGCTGGTCTTGAACATCTGGGCTCAAGCAATCTGCTCACCACAGTCTTCCAAAGTTCTTGGATTACAGGTTTGAGCCACCGTGCCAGCTGATAAATTTTCTAATACAATATCAAAAAAATACCTTCATTAACATCAACATCATTGTAATCGGGAAAGTCTAGCTATAAGGAATCATGTCAAGTTCACAGGGACAGATACAAGTTTTCAGATTGCTAATCTTTGTGTGAGAGCAACAAATACCATTACTTGTTTTCCTTGAAGTGACAGGCTTTTTTTTTTTTTTGAGAAAATGTCTGCTAAATACCCAAATTTGAATAATTACAGCATTTCAAATAAAAATGGTGTTTTGTGAAAAAAGCAGCTGGCTCAGCTCATAGCTGCAACAGTTGCACAAGTGGTTTCCTTGAGAGAACCACTGAGTGTATTTCAGTGTGCAGCAGAAGGGAGAATACAAAAGTACCTATCCTCTGGCCAGGTGTGGTGGCTCACACCCGTAATCCCAGCACTTTGGGAGGCCAAGGCAGGATGATCACTTGAGCCCAGGAATTTGAGACCAGTCTGGGCAACATGGCAAAACCCCATTTCTACCAAAAAACATAAAAATTAGCCAGGTATGGTGATGCACACCTGTAATCCCAGCTACTCTGGAGGCTGAGGTTGGAGGATCAGTTGAGCCTTGGAGGTGGAGATTGCAGTGAGCTGAGATTGCACCACTACACTCCAGCCTAGGCCAAGAGCCAGAACCTGTCTCAAAAAAAAGGTTTGCAACATTTTCATGTAATGGAAATTTCTTTATCTTGATTTTGGTGTTGGTTACATGACTATAAATTTGTCAAAATTCATAGAATTGTATACCCAAAAAGGGACGAAATTTACTGTAAGTTTTACCAACAAATCTGATCACTGCCCCCTACTTCCCTCACAAAATGTCAGTGATGTTACAGCAGTATTTCTGAAATAATTGATGAAACTTTTCATATATATATTGGATTTCATATATATGAAATATACATATATTTCATATATATATAATGTATATATATATATATTTTTTGAGACAGAGTCTCACTGTGTTGCCCAGGCTGGAGTGCAGTGGTGCGATCTTGGCTCACTGCAACCCTTGCCTCTGGGTTCAAGTGATTCTCCTGCCGCAGCCTCCCAAGTAGCTGGGATTACAGGCATGTGCCACCTCGCCCAGCTAAATTTTGTATTTTTAGTAGAGACGAGGTTTCACCATGTTGGCCAGGCTGGTCTCGATCTCCTGACCTCAAACGATCCACCCACCTCGGCCTACCAAAATATAGGGATTACAAGTGTGAGCCACTGCACCCGGCCTGATGACACTTTTCTGTAAAAGTAACTTACAGAATCAGATTTTTTATACAATGAAATATGCTTTGTGTTAGCAGTCGTATGCCTTCTAGAATTTTATTTTGTGTTTATATATAAAATATGGTTTTTTTTTCTTTTTTAAAGACAGAGTCTCACTCTGCTACCTGGGCTAGAGTGCAGTGGTGTGATCACAACTCACTGTAACCTGAACTCCTGGGCTCAAATGATCCTTCTGTCTCAGCCTCCCAAGTAGCGGGGACCATAGGCACGTGCCAACATGCCTGGCTAATAAAAAAAATTTTTTTGTAGAGACATGATCTCACAATGTTGCCCAGGCTGGTCTTGTAAAGTATCATTTTATGTTAATAGCATTTTATATATTTAATATCATTTAATTTCTTCTAACCTTCTGTTTTCTATTACCCTTTCAGTTGGCAAGGATATAATGTCCTCAAAGCTGCTTTGAACCCTTTGTGAGGGGAGACTATAATATGAACTTACAGAGCTGATTATTGTCGCAATAATTTTATAGAATGTTCCATTCCATTGTTTTATAATAGAATAAGCAATACACACAGTGCAACAGATTTCTGTTTAGATCTTTATGGATTCTTCTTTGAACTCTCTGCATGTTTACTGCATCATCCCTGAGCCTGCTATGGTGCACAGTAAAGAATGTATCTACTGAGGACATGTTTTTAAAAATTATGCAGATTTTAAAATGTTTCCTGTCAAACTGGATGCAGCATGAGGGAGATGTTAGTATGGACTCTTTTCCCATCCGTCAAATAATCTCGCTATGGTGGGTTGAGAGTGAATCTGCAGAGAGTGAAAGCATGCGTTAAGTAAGGTGCAAGCTGACCTAAGCACAGCTAGCGGGAAGGACACTGACTTGTCCTAAGGGAGGTCCATTCTTTAGCCTGGCGCTGATGTGAGGTGTAACCAGACTTTCTCTGCCAGGGGCTCTGTAACTCCCAGCTGGTGTTGGAGGAGCCATCTTCCATTGTGCAGCTGGATTATAGCCAGAAAGTGCTGCTGGTCTCTACTCTGCAAAGAAGTCTGCTCTTTTACACTGAAGAAAAGTCTGTAAGGCAAATTGGAACACAACCAAGGAAAAGGTAAGTTTCACAAGTTTGCCAGTTTGGCCTAAATGCTGGGCCTTGTTGTAGAAGGTGCTTTAGGGTTTCTTAGGTCTCCTGTTTGCCGGAGACCTCCTGTTTGCAAACCCACAGCGCCTCTAAGCCTGGGGTTCCTGGTGGGGCCCTGTGCCTGCTTAGGATTTCTCCTCCCAGAGGCAGACAAGAAGAGTGTGTTCTTCTTGTCGCAGAGCTGTAGGAGCCTGCACACACAGCCACTCTGCCTCTCAGGGTGCCACAGTCAGCGCAGAGAAGCCTCAGGGGTGGCCTGGTCTATCTGTTCCTTGTGGAGCCACCTCCTCCACACAGCCCTGGTGAGGGGTCAGGGTTGTGGGGCTCACTCGTTATTCAGCACGTGTTTACCATGCACCCCTGTGCACTGTGGCAGGCTCAGCAGTGACATGGTAAACACGGCAGATCTGAGCCCTCCGTTGTGGAAATGGAAACACAGATAGAACACTTGTTGACCACTGTGTCAGCTGCTGTGGACCAAAATACACAGGATGCTGTGTGAGTTTAGACACACTTTTGTCCAGGTGAAGGGTCAGGGAAGACATCCTGAAGGCATGGGTTCCAGGTTGAGAGATCATTCCTCCTTTGACCAGTGATGTGGAGGAAGGGCATCGAGAAGTCCACCAGCCATACCAGCCGTGTGGGAAAAGACAACTGGAACACCTGGGGAACCTGTAATTCATCATCCCACCCTAGCCTGTAAAGCACTCTTGTAGGACTCTGCAGCGAGTTTGCGTGGGGATGGGGTGAGGAGGGGTAGGTAGAGCAGTGGAGCTGACCCCTCCTATGCCAAGGAGGAGGTAGACTGGGGCCAACGTGGGGGTGGGAAGCAGAGGGCGGCATTAGTACAGATCATGCGTTGATGAGTCTACAGTCATGGATTGTCGATTGGCCGATGGGAGCTGGAAGAGTTCCCGTCTTGTGTCTCCCAGGAAAGGGCACTGTTTGCCTGCATAGAATCAGGGGCAGGGCAGCTGATGGTCACGGCATGTGGGGAGGGCTTGAGGCTGGCCCTGTGGAGAGTGACAGCAGGGACTGGGAAACATGGTGAGATTGGCAGGCGTTGATGAGGCCCTGCGGCTGGTGGTGCCGTTGGGGACAGGCCGTCCTGGAGAGTCGGGTGAGGCGGAGCCAGCCCCTGTGGTCGTAGTCACTGCCCGTTATTCTGTGTTCTGGGCTTTGCGGCAACACACAAGTTTATTCTCTTTTCTGCATGGCAGCCCTCCGGCTGTTAAAAGACGCTCTCAAACCTCCCCTTTCTTCTATTTTCGATGCTGAACACCTTCTTTTTTCTTTTTCTTTTTCTTTTTTGTTTGAGACAGAGTTTTGCTCTTCTTGCCCAGGCTGGAGTGCAGTGGTGCGATCTTGGCTCACTGCAACATCTGCCTCCTGGGTTCAAGCGATTCTCCTGCCTCAGCCTCCTGAGTAGCTGAGATTACAGGCATGTGCCACCACACCCGGCTAATTTTGTATTTTTAGTAGAGACAGGGTTTCACCATGTTGGTCAGGCTGGTCTCAAACTCCCGACCTCAGGTGATCCGCCTGCCTTGGCCTCCCAAAGTGCTGGGATTACAGGTGTGAGCCACCACATGCGGCCTGCTGAACACCTTCTTAATCCCATCAACAATCTGGCCTTTTTATATCTGCAGTCTCCCTTTCGGTCCCTGGAGAACTCAGTGGAATTTATGGCCCTGCAGATCTTAGTTCTGCTGCTCTCTCTGCCAGTATCCTACTCCTCTGGCATTTTATCCTGGTTCGTCTGTCAATGTTTTACTGCACTGTCTTGGAAGGAAGGCAGAGTGTAAAGAGAGGCATTGAAAACCAATTACTTTACATGTGGGTCCTATTCCCAACAATCTCTCTTAAAACCTGGCCCTTGGCCGGACACAGTGGCTCACGCCTGTAATCCCAACACTTTGGGAGGCCAAGGTGGGCGGGTCACTTGAGGTCAGGAGTTCAAGAACAGCCTGGCCAACATGGTGAAACCTCCTCTCTACTAAAAACACAAAAGTTTGCCAGGCAGGGTAGCAGGCGCCTGTAATCCCAGCTACTCAGGAGGCTGAGGCAGGAGAATCGCTTGAACCGGGGAGACAAAGGTTGCAGTGAGCTGAGACTGCACCACCGCACTCCAGCCTGGGTGACAGAGCGAGACTTCATCTCAAAAAAATCGAAAACAAAAAAACAAAAAACAAACCTGGCCCTTTAACCTCTTGTGTGGAGACCCAGGCAGTTTCTGTAAACCTCTCCTAGTGCGTCTGTGCAGTCAAGTCTTTAGGGAACATTGATTGAAAGCGTGCTCTGCTCCCCAGGAACGTTTTAGGATGCAGAAACAAATAAATGTGTCCCCTTCTCAGAAGGAGAGAGATTTTACTGAGCCTTGGGGAAATGAGGGCTAACAGAATAAGAGGAAATGTTTTTAACATCTGTGTCTTAAAGACTTGCTTTCTGCTGTAGACTATTGTGTGCGTCTATCCCTGGAAGCAGTGCTTCCCTCACAACTGTTTAGTGAGCGGAGCTAGGCATGTACACGTGGAGGCGTGACAGCAAGTACGGAGGCATCCAAGGAGACAAGGCCTCTGCCCTCAAACACAATGAGAGAGACTGTCGGTCAGCAGGAGGAGAGTAGAGGCTGTCAGTGCTGTAAAGGAGCGGGCTAGGTGAAGCATTAGGGAGTGCTAGGCATGGGGCAGGAAGTTGCATTTGGATAGGATGGTCAGGAAAGGCCTCTACAAGGGCAGTGATCTTTGAGCTGAAGCCTGGGAAGAGCTGCTGGAAGAGCATTCCAGGCTCAGGGAACAGCATATGCCAAGACCTCAATTGGGCAAGAGCTTAGATGTTCAAGAAGCCAGAAGTGACTAGGGCACTGGCTATGGCTGGAGTCCAGGGGAGCCGTGGGGAGGCTGACACGGGAGTCCAGGGGAGCCGTGGGGAGGCTGCCATGGGAGTCCAGGGGAGCTGCGAGGAGGCTGGCACGGGAGTCCAGGGGAGCCTGGCATGGGAGTCCAGGGGAGCCGTGGGGAGGCTGCCACGGGAGTCCAGGGGAGCCGTGGGGAGGCTGGCACGGGAGTCCAGGGGAGCCACGGGGAGGCTGCTGCAGGAGTCCAGGGGAGCCGCAGGGAGGCAGGGGAGCCGCAGGGAGGCTGCCTTGGGAGTCCAGGGAAACCATTGACTGAGATGGAGACTGGAGACTGGGGAAGGCTGGGCCAGAGGTCAGGACATCAGGACCTCTGCTGTGGACATAAGGGGTTTGACGGGCCTGTCAGGTGGCTGCGTGGGAGTCGCAGAAGAGAGTTCTGTGGACCGGTCTGGAGCCCAGGGAAGAAGTCTTGACCAGAGGGGAAAATGAGGTCACCAGATACAGGTGACACTGACACCCTGACATTGGATGAATCCACGCAGGGAATGTCTGTTCATTCAGCGCTGGAGCTTTGCGCCAAGCCTCTGCCCTGCTCCAGTACTCCTCATCGGGGGATATCTGTGAACAAGGCAGAACAGATCTCTAATCTCAGGGAGCTGTGTGCAGAGTAGTGAACAGATAAACATGTCAGAGGGTGCAGAGCCAGAGAGGGAGGAGCAGGAGACACAGGTGTCTCTTTAATAGGATGACAGGGAAGGCTCCTCTGAGGAGGTAGCATGGGCTGATTCCTGAAACAAAGAGGCAACTAGTGCGAGAAGACCTTAGAGAGAGGCTCTGGAGGCAGAGGGCCCTGCGCACCGAGGATCTGAGCAGCCAGGCTGGCTGTGTGGAGCACGGTGTGGGGAGCCCCCTCCCGTCGGCTTTGTGGGCCCTGCCCATGGGGCTCTTTCAGTCCAGTGCTGTGGTCAGTCACAGAGGGCTGTGGCCAAGCCAGGGAGGTCACTCTGGCTGCTGCTTGGAATATGCTGGAGGGGGCAGGTGTGGCAGCTCAGCAGGGCCAGCAAGGATTCTGGGTGATCCGGGTAGGAGAAGACAGGATGGGGCGGGGTTGGTGGTCGGACTGCTTCCAAGGCAGAGCTGGCAGATTTGCTGCCACGTTGGTTCTGAGGTGTGAGAGGGATGAGTTGGAGATGATTCCTAGGTCTGTGGTCTATGCAGCTGGGTGAGTGGACATGCTGTGGATTGACGCAGAGAATCCTGGAGGCACGGGGAGAAGGAGGAGATGGAACAGCCTGCTGTGGCCCCGCCATGTCCTCTCCCTGCAGTGGAGAGCTGGCGTGGGAGGCGGGTGGCGGGTGTACCTCTCGGGGAGCTGTGCGCTGGCAGCCACTGGCATGCAGACAGGAGCTCGCCTAGGGAGATTTGGGCAGGCTTGTGTTCTGAAGAGGAAAGGGCATCAGGAGAGAACAGGAGTTGGGGGGTCAGAGGAGTCGGAGGCCATATGGAGGGACATAGCAGCTGCTGCGAGACCGGGGGCTGAGGCAGCTTCGACGGGCCTGAGTCTGTAGCATGGAGGCTGTGCACAGCCCTCCTCATCAGCAGGGCCAAGGGATTGGAAGGGCTGAAAGAGGAGTTGACGGCGAGTATGGAGAGCTTTTAGGAGGAGTGTTTTTGTAGAAGAGAACAAAGAAAGACAAATAGGTGGTGCCCAGGGGGGAACCATGTGGCCTGGTGGGAGTTTTGGGAGAGGGGCCGTGTGGCAGCACATTGGTGTGTGACGCGGGTGCCTGTGGAGGGAACACAGTGCTGGTGGGGACAGAGTGCAGGCGGTGGCCTCAGTTGGGCCCTCTCATGGGCAGCAGTGTAGGGTTGACCAGAAACCGGGACAGAGACTCTCTTCCAGAGAAAGGGCAGGGCACTGAGCACAGGGCAGGTGCAGGCAGGTCAGGAGGCCCAGAGGTAGAAGACGAGGGGTCCTCTTCCCGTCGAGTCCGTGAACCTCTTCAGACCGGATGATGTGTGTTACATCCAGAAAACCTCAGAGGCCCTAGCCATCTGCAACCGTGGGTTTGCTGTCCTGTGTATTTATGTTGCATTGTTTCATGTGTCAGAGCCCTCTGCAGACCTGTTACTGTGTCCCCTGTGAGTCTAGTACTCAGGGAAGCCCTCCCTGGCAGTAGCACTTTGCCCTGGGGAAGGAGAAGGAGACGCAGCAATCTGTAGGTGTGGCGCCCGCATGTGGGTAAGAGCCAGCAGCCGGTTCTGGAACCCCGCGACTAGCACATCTGTTTGGATGGCCAGTGGGTGTTAGCTGTTGAGATCTCTGGCAGGGCTTCTGTGGATCCTTCTTCTCACTCAGCTTAGACTTTCAGGCTCCCATTTTGGGTGCTGTCAGCTTTCAGCGTATCAGCTCTGTGGCACCATACATTATGCACAAAATCATAAAACACCATTTTATAGCTAGAATTTGTTAGCCAGAACACACTCCTTACATATCAACGTGGTCTATAAAGGGAATTAAAATTTTTTTAGGTAATCAATGAGGTTTTTGGAAATCATCTCTACCGAAATTAAGAAATTATATTAATTTGTTTATGATTTTAGAATCCTGCAATACTTAGACCTTAAAAGTTGGAGCTTCAGTGTCAAATTCAGAAAGCACCAGCAAGTACTGCAGAATCGCACTGCAAGTGGATGGTGGCTGAGTCGGGGGCTTAGGACAATTTGTACCTGGCTCTAGCTGGTTCTTCACAACTTCACTGCCTTTGACCAACCCACTCATCAGACATTTCCGTTCTTTTTATTTTTTAGAGACAGGGTCTTGCTGTGTCACCAAGGCTGGGGTGCAGTGGTGTGATCACAGCTCACTGCAGCCTTGAACAGCTGGGTTCAGGCGATCCTCCTCCCTCAGCCTCCCGAGTAACTAGGACTACAGGCACGCACCACCATGCCTGGCTAAATTTTTTAATTTGTAGAGATGGTGTCTCTCTAGGTCACCCAGGCTGTTGTCAAACTCCTGGGCTCAAGCAGTCCTCCCTCCTTGGCCTCCAAAAGTGCTGGGATTACAGGTGTGAGCCACCATGCCCAGCTATTCAGCAGTTTTAGAGGCAGCCACTCCCAGGACCTTGCTCAGCAGGGCTCCTTTCCCTTCCTCCAGGGTAAGAGTCCACCTGGTGTTCAGGACCTCGCCTTCTCATGCCCACTCAGATGCACCACCTTGATCTGAGCTCTTTGAGCAGCTCTTTGAGCCTCAGATGGCGCTTCCAGATGCTGATGTGATTGTTCACACAGGTCAGCACAGTGTTATGAGACAGGCTGAGGACCTCATCTTATTTATTTTTTATTTTACCCAGAGCATCAAACACGATGTCTTACAGAATGTAGGAATCACTAAATGTTTGTTAACATGAGTGCTTTAGTTACATAAGATGAACCAGTCAAAATGGAAATGACAAGAGATTTTTCAGAGGTCCTACAAATAGAAGGAAAACATTTAAAAATTGGATCGCCAAGAGAAATTGATTGACAGGAAAGGCAGAGGAAGAGATTATGGGCTCCCTTGCTGGAATTCCTCTGGTTCGCTCTATTTAGAGGACATCTCCAGAACAAACCCACCAAAGGCAGTAATCAGATACGATGCTGTTGATAGAGTTGTCCATAAAAGATCCACGATGTCAAAACACCCTTGGTTCGTCCTAACGATCATTGTTTCAAAGCTGAATTTGATATATAATATCCTCCTTGGACCCTATCCAAAGGGATTTAGTTACTGAGGTGCCAGAGGGACCTAGTGAGATTCTGGTGTGCGAAGAAACCCCGCAAATAACTATCTGTTTGCCTATGTGGGTGGGCCCTGGGGGTGGCCTCTAGGGTTGGGTGTGCTGCTGTGTGCAGGGAGTGTGGGAACAGGCACAGCACAAGTTGGCCGAGGTCTGGTGGGGAAGCAGTGGCACGGAGGCAGCTCTCAACTGTGACCTGCCTGTAGCCTCGTTCAGGACAATTGAGCACTTATGGGGACTTAGTGTCACAAGCATTGCTTTTGTGCTGCATGTAAGTAATCTCATTAATTCCTCACTTCAGCCTTTGAGATGGGAGTTACTCTGCCTGGTTTACAGAATGGGAAACGGGTCCAGAAAAGTTCAATAATTGCACGTACCACATACCCACTAGGTGTCAGGGCTGGACATCGAGCCCAGGGCTAGCTCTAAAACCAGTGCTGTTTCTGCTTTTCACAATCTGAGAAGTATTTGGGAGAAGGAATCAGCCAGGCATAGGGCTGAACTGAAATGCTTACATGTGAACTCTGTTAGCATCCTGAGAAATAACGAGAACTCAGATTGCCAGTGGGAGTGTAGATTGTATAATCACGTTTAAAAAGCTTGAAGTTGTCTTCTAAACTTGAATATGCTCTCAGCAACCCAGCGATTACCCCACAGCCCACCAACTGCATCCTGAGTGTCCGTGACAGACTCTGACACCTGTGGGCTAAGGGGTATGCACAGAAATGCTCATAGCACAATTGCTCAAAATAGCTTTAAAAAATAATAATTGAAATATCCATCAACAAGAAAATGAATAAATGAATTGTGGAATACATTAAGTCCTCGTTTAATGTCATTGATAGGTTCTTGGAAACTGCGACATTAGCAAAACAACGTATAACAAAACCAGTGTTTTTCCCTCACCAATGTTGTTGAAGGAGATGGTGTTATCTGAGGACCTGCTCTATGTCATTTCGCTTACAGTTGTAGTTTCTAAGAACCTGTGGACGCTGAGTAGGACGTACTGTACCATTCAGCAGTAGAAATGAATTAGTGCGACAGCTTCTTTTTATCAAGAAGGATAAATCTGAGAAACATAGTGTTAAGTGAGAAAAAGCAAAAGAGTACAATTAGCATCATACATTTTAATAAAAATGAAAGATAAACAATACTAAATTATATTGTCTTTAGAGATACATAGATATGTGATTAAACCAACAAAAAAGTGAGGAAATGATAAAGGCAAAATGCAGTCCAGTGGTTCCATCTGGGGCACAAGGGGGCAGGAAGTGTTAGGAGCACAGGAGAACATTGGTTGGGTGACTGATGATTTCTTTCCTAAGTTTGGGGATGGGTTCCCAGGTGTACCTTTCCTTGCTAGGCTTCATAACTGCATGGATATATGTACATATACACAGTGGTGCACTGCATAACAACATTTCAGTCATTGACGGACTGCATGTATGACAGTGGTCGCAGAAGATTATAATGGAGCTGAAAAAATTCCTATCAGCTGGTGTCTTAGCGCCACACATTACGTGTTCTGTTTTTAGATAGACAAACAGTCATCATTATGTTACAGGTGCCTACAGTGTTAAGTACAGTCATATGGAGTACAGGTTTGCAGTCCAGGGGCAATAGGCTAGACTAAGCTTGTCCAACCCACGGCCCAACACAAATTTGTAAACTTTCTTAAAATGAGATTTTTTGGCCAGGCGCAGTGGCTCATGCCTGTAATCCCAGCACTTTGGGAAGCCAAGGCAGGTGGATCACTTGAGGTCAGGAGTTCGAGACCAGCCTGGCCAACATGGTAAAACCCCATCTCTACTAAAAATACACAGTTAGCTGGGCATGGCGGTGCACACCTATAATCCCAGCTACATGGGAGGCTGAGGCAGGAGAATCACTTGAACCCAAGAGGGAGAGGTTCCATTGCATTGAGCCCAGATTGCGCCATTGCACTGCATCCTGGACAACAAGAGCAAAACTCTGTCTCAAAAAAAAAAAAAGAGGTTTTTTTTGTGACTATTATTATTATTATTATTATTTTTAGCTCATCAGCTATTGTTAGTGTATTTTATGTGTGGCCCAAGACAATTCTTCTTCTTCCAATGTGGCCCAGGGAAGCCAAAAGATTGGACAGCCCTGGGCTAGACTATGTGGGTGTGTCATAGGCTGTGCCATCTAGGTTTGTGTAAGTACGCTCTATGATGTTCACACAACGAAGACATCGCCTAATGACATATTTCTCAAACATCCCTGTCACTAAGTGACCTGTGACTCTATATATAGCATATTCTTTTGTTTGTGTCAGATATTTCATAATTTCAGAAAGAAAAAATATCAAGCTTGGGGGCAGGAAGGGACATTGGTGCCTCTGATGGGTTTAGAGAAATTCTGAAAAGGCAACAATATAGATGGGTTGCTGTGAAGCTCATTCATTCAGGATGTGGACTGAGCACAGCAATCAGACGTCAGAAGCAACAGAATCAGAGCAGGGAAAGGATGAGCAGACCTGGATTCTTCACCTTCTGCCTCAGTTTCCTCTCCTCCAAAACGGGAGTTGTAATACAGTCATGTGTCACCTAACAACTGGAATATATTCTGAGAAATGCATTGTTAGGTGACATCTTTGTTGTATGAACAGCATTGAGTGTACTGACAAGCGTAGGTGGTAGGTACAGCCTACTTCCACCTGGGCTAAATGGTACAGCATATTGCTCCTGGGCTACAGACTTGCACCACATGTGACTGTACTGAATACTTTAGGCAGCTGTAGCACAACGGTAAGTAATTGTATGTCTAAACATAGAAAAGGTACCATAAAAATATGGTATTATAATCTTATGGGACCACTGTTGTATTTGCGGTCCATCATTGACTAAAATGGTTTGTTGTTGTTGTTTTTGAAGCAGAGTCTTGCTCTGTCACCCAGGTTGGAGTACAGTAGTGGCACTATCTCAGCTCACTGCAAACTCTGCCTCCCAGGTTCAAGCGATTCTCCTGCCTCAGCCTCCCGAGTAGCTGGGACTACAGGCATGCGCCACCATGCCTGGCTAATTTTTGTATTTTTAGTAGAGGCATGGTTTCACCATGTTGGCCAGGCTAGTCTCAAACTCTTGACCTCAGATGATCTGCCGTCTTGGCCTCCCAAAGTGCTGAGATTGCAGGCATGATGCATCCAGCCTGAATACAATGTTATGTGATGCGTGACTGTATCTGCCACTCATGGTTGTTGTAAGGATTAGACACGAGAGTGGGATCAAGTGCCAGGCACAGTGCAGGCTGTGTGAGTACTCAGTGAATGGTTCCCTGTGTGCTAATGGGGCACACACCTGTGAGGGTGTGGTCGGGCCTCTGTTGGTACAGGGATGACAGTGTGGTTTGACAAAAAACAAACAGTAGAAAGGGTGAAAAATCAATTATTGTCTTAGCCAAAAAATTCTTGTTGTACTTAATATTAAGGGTTGACAACTGCATTACTTTAAATCAGTCCATGTCTGTTTTTTGTTCTTTCTTTCTTTCTTCTAATTTTAGTACTGGGAAATTTGGTGCTTGTTTTATACCAGGACTCTGTAAGCAAAGTGATCTAACCTTGTATGCGTCACGGCCCGGGCTCCGGCTATGGAAGGCTGATGTCCACGGGACTGTTCAAGCCACGTTTATCTTAAAAGATGCTTTTGCCGGGGGAGTCAAGCCTTTTGAACTGCACCCGCGTCTGGAATCCCCCAACAGTGGAAGTTGCAGCTTACCTGAGAGGCACCTGGGGCTTGTTTCATGTTTCTTTCAAGAAGGCTGGGTGCTGAGTTGGAATGAATATAGTATCTATCTCCTAGACACAGTCAACCAGGTAAGTGAAGGGACGCCACCATATCTTCTGTGTCTATAGGCAAGAGAATGTATCTCTATAAACTGTTCTACTCAGGGACCTCAGAATGCTACCAGGAGCAGTATTGACTTACACTTTACTTTTTCCTTTGGGCCAGTCAAGGAAATCAAATGAAGGTTTGGTAATTTTTATAGATTTGAAAAAAAAAATTTGGTTTTGACATTTAGGTCCAATTTTCTGCCGAGAAATGATGTATGTTTTTTGTATGTAAACACAAAATTAAACTTGTTCTTTTTGTTGTTGTTGTTGTTGTTGTTGTTGTTGAGAAAGAGTCTCGCTCTGTCACCCAGGCTGGAGTGCAGTGGCATGATCTCGGCTTACTGCAACCTCCACCTCCCAGGTTCAAGCGATTCTCCTGCCTCAGCCTCCTGAGTAGCTGGGATTACAGACGCATGCCACCACGCCTGGCTAATTTTTGTATTTTTAGTAGAGACAGGGTTTCACAATGTTGGTCAGGCTGGTCTTGAACTCCTGACCTCGTGATCTGCCCGCCTTGGCCTCCCAAATTGCTGGGATTACAGGCGTGAGCCACCATGCCTGGTTTTTTTTTTTGTTTTTTTTTTTTGAGATGGAGTCCTAGTATGTCACCCAGGCTGGAGTGCAGTGTGCAGTGGTGCAATCTGGGCTCACTGCAACCTCCACCTCCCGAGTTCAAGCGATTCTCCTGCCTCAGCCTCCCAAGTAGCTGGGATTACAGGTGCGCACCACCACGCCTGGCTAATTTTTTTGTATTTTTAGTAGAGACAGGGTTTCACCATGTTGGCCAGGCTGGTCTCGAACTCCTGACTCAGGTGATCCGCCAGCCTCGGCCTCCCAAAGTGCTGGGGTTACAGGCGTGAACCGCCGCGCCCGGCCGCCACTTGGTTTTTTTTTTGTTTTTTGTTTTTTATTTTCAGTTTTCTTTACTTAGCAATATATCTTGGGCAAATTTCCAACATCATTAAAATCATGGTAGGAAATAATTTCTGCTTAAACCAAGATGATAACAGATTATCATCAGAGACAGATTTAGAAACTTTAAACAAAGCTGTTTAGTTTCAGTTTCTCCTTGTCTTAAGAGCAGAGCTTTTGCTCTTTTTAAAATAAACTCCCTGCCTTACCCTCCCGACTCCTCACCCCCAGACTCTAGACCAGGCCCTGTCCTGTTCACGTTCTTCCATTCTGAGCTCAGCGGGCCTCTGACAGGCACCCCTTTCTTTTATAAGCAGAGCCTCACTGTAGAAAATAAACAGTTTTCAGCCAGGCGCAGTGGCTTACGCCTGTAATCCCAGCACTTTGGGCACTTTGGAAGGCCGAGGTAGGTGGATAACCTGAGGTCAGGAGTTCAAGGCCAGCCTGGCCAACATGGTGAAACTCCGTCTCTACTAAAAATACAAAAATTAGCCAGGCATGGTGGTGGGCGCCTGTAGTCCTGGCTACTCGGGAGGCTGAGGCAGGAGAATTGCTTGAACCTGGGAGGCGGAGGTTGCAATGAGCCAAGATCACACCACTGCACTCCAGCCTGGGTGACAGAGCAAGACTTCATTTGAAAAAAAGAAAAGAAAGGGTTTTCTTCTTTGGTGTGTGTCAGCAGAACATGAAGTTCATCTTCTCCTCATTGAAGTTTTATGAATTATTATCAGCCGTACCTGGTAACACTGGTTTGGCAGAAAGAAAACTGGCCCGGGGTGGGGGGCAGAACTAGACTCGACTCTTCTAGCCTGGTTCTGCCTTTAACCAAGAGTCTCTTATCGGCCGGAGCCTGGTTTGTTTTCCTGTAAAATGGGGTGGGGGTGGAAGAAGCATCGACTTAGGGGAATCACCAAGGTGCCTTGAGTTTGTTCATTTTATAAGGGATATTCTGAAAGGTATTTTTGCACCCTTTCCTCAGTTACAGAGAACTTCTTTCCCTGGATACCTTTTGAACTTATGTGCACTTATTAATTAGTAGCATCAAGATGCTTTGTAACTGTGCATTGGTTCTTTCATCTGAGCATTTACCCGATGCTTTACCCAGTAGGTATAATTAACTTCATTTTATAGGTAGAGAAATGGAGACAGGGGACCGTCTGGGACAGATGTCACAGTCACCCTCAGAGACTGGACCACCCAGTGGCAGCATGACTGGCAGCTTTCGGAAACAAATGTTATGTTTGCAGCAGTCCATCAGTTATTTAAAATTAGCCAAAAACATAGACTCTCCTTCTACAACAGACTAGTCTCTTTATTTGCACTGTCTACAGCAAAGCAAGGACTTGCTTTAAGTCAGTGTGGGCTCAGGATGTCCTGTGTTTTGTTGCCACCCACTTTCAGATAATGCTGGAGGAACCTCCCCTCCCTTCATGTATTCATTCAAAACCCATGAGTTGCAGTGCGCACTGGCCTCTCCTGCAGGAATGCACACAGTAGGGGGACTAGACGTGTCTGCACGTTATTTCAGCCCAGGAGTGGGGCGTCAAGCGGAAGTTTGGATGAGGTGCTGCAAGCCCTGAGAGCCCTGGGTGTTGCAGCAGAGGGCAAGCTTGTCAGAGGCTGCTTCTCACAGAGGTGGCGTCTGGAGAGAACTGGAACTTCCCCAGCAAACATGGATAGGAAAGGAATTTGAGCAGAAAGAGAAGCACGTGCATTCACCATGGAGGAACAGGGCTGGGACTGGGCTGGCAGGGCCGGTGCACCTGCAGCAGGGACGAGGGCAGGGTGGTACGTGGGTCGGAGATGACCGAGGCCCCACCATGCCAGGGGACCCCTCAGATCCTGCTTACCAATCTGTGAGATGTTACCTAACTTTGGATTGAATTGGAATTTTCAGAAAGTTACCATAGTAAAGTGCAGTTATCATTTGACTGATTTGGACTCTCACACATGCATTTTTATGCTTTGAGCTGTTACCGTTGTTTAGTTTTGTGTTTTTTGTTTTTTTTTTTTTTTTTTTTTTGACAGGCCACAGTTGCTGGTTTGGAAGGATCCGGTGATATTGTGTCTGTTTCGTGCACAGAAAATGAAATATTTTTCTTGAAAGGAGATAGGAACATTATAAGAATTTCAAGCAGGCCTGAAGGATTAACATCAACAGGTTTGTATTTATTATAAAATGTACCATGTATATGATGGGAAGTACTATACTCTGTTGTTTGTAATTGCAGTTAATAATTGATCAAACTTACCATTGGGCCAGGCATGGTGGCTCACGCCTGTAATCCCAGCACTTTGGGAGGCTGAGGTGGGTGGATCGCTTAAGCTCAGGACTTTAAGACCAGCCTGGGCAACATGGTAAAACCCTGTCTCTACCAAAAATACAAAAAACTAGCCAGGCGTGGTGGCATGCGCCTGTGGTCTCAAGTACTCGGGAGGCTGAGGTGGGAGGATCGCTTGAGCCTGGGAGGCAGAGGTTGCTGTAAGCTAAGATTGCACCACTGCACTCCAGCCTGGATGACAGAGTGAGACCTCATCTCAAAAACAAAACCAAAAACTTACCATTATTTTGCTAAACTATTGCAACTTTATTTGAACTTGGAGGATTTGGAGGGTTTCCTCTGATTCTTTTTTTTTTTTTTTGAGATGGAGTTTCGCTCTTGTTGCCCAGGCTAGAGTGCAATGAGGCGATCTCAGCTCACCGCAACCTCTGCCTCCCAGGTTCAAGCTATTCTCCTGCCTCAGCCTCCTGAGTAGCTGGGATTACAGGCATGCGCCATTATGCCAGGCTAATTTTGTATTTTTAGTAGAGACAGGGTTTCTCCATGTTGGTCAGGCAGGTCTCAAACTCCCGACCTCAGGCGATCCGCCTGCCTCCGCCTCCCAAAGTGCTGGGATTAAAGGCGTGAGCCACTGTGCCCGGCCGCTCCTCTGATTGTTAAAATAGCATTTACAGTACATTTCTTGAAAGTCACCTACTTTAAGGCTTACATCAGATAGTCTCACATTTAGTGGAGTTGCTTTCATGGTTGTGGAAGATGGGGAGATTGAGAAAGGAGGAAGGAAAAATCAGAAACCACTTTACTGATCCCTGCTCTCCGTCTGAGACAGTATGTGGGATTAATGCTCCAAAAGACATAGATTTGCATAGAGTTTTAGAATATTTAAATCTGTCATCTGGGACATACCGTTTACCCTTAACTCAGTTCTTCCTTGTAGGATTTATTTTTCTCTGTGCTTTTGACATTTTTTGGTAATTCATACAAGCCCAAATTTTAATGAGCAAAGAATCCTAATATGTGTCCTCTTGCGGACATCCACATGCTTTATATATTTGGGTTCCTCGGGGAACTTGTTCCTCATGGTGGCAACAACAGCCATGTGGACCCCATCACCCTCCTCCTCACTACCATTACCTCTGATGTCAGAGAGGGCAAATTGGGGTGAATATTCCAAAACATAATTTGTATAAGAAGTGAATAAGCTCTGACTCTTGAGTTTATGAGCTGGGGGCCCCTCAGACAGTGTCATCAAAGGGTTAGAATGGCTTTCAGGAAGGGTGGTGACTTGGAGCCACCAGGCTAAGCTCTGGACCTCTGCTGCCCATAGAGCTTTCTGCAGTGATGAAGATGCTCCCATCTGCCCTGTCTGGTAGGCAGTCCCTGTCCATGTGTGGCTGCTGAGTACTTGCAATATAGCAAGTGCAGCTGAGAGATGAATTTTACATTTTGTTTAATTTTTATTTTATTTTATTTTATTTTTTGAGACAGAGTCTTGCTCTGTATCCCAGGCTAGAGTGCAGTGGTGCAGTCTCTGGTCACTGCAACCTCCACCTCCTGGGTTCAAACGATTCTCCTGCCTTAGCCTCCCGAATAGCTGGGATTACAGGTGTGCACCACCACACCAGGCTAATATTTTGTATTTTAGTAGAAAGGGGGTTTCACCATGCACCATGTTACCCAGGCTGGTCTCGAACTCCTGAGCTCAGGCAGTCCTCCCACCTTAGCCTCCCAAAGTGATGGGATTACAGGCATGAGCCACCGCGCCCAGCCTAAATTTTGTTCAATTTTGATCAATTTGAATTTCAATACTTACAAGTAGCTGGTGGCTGCCTATTGGACAGGGAGCTCTAGGCAAGATCTGCCATTAAGTTATGTAATCTTCAGCAAGTCGCTTCACAGCAGAGTCCTCCCCTCCAGTCTCCAGTGTACACTTCATTGCCTGCAGTCTGCCCCTAACACATGCCCTCAATAGAATGTGGGTGCTTCAAGGGCAGGAATTCCTGTGTCTTATGGACTGCCATGTCCCAGCAGCTAGCCCTGTGTCTGGCACACGGAGGATCCCCGATAAAGAGAGGATGGCGAATGGATCAAAGTGGGCTGTGGTCTTGTGTTGAGGGTACTGTAGCTGGAACTGCTCTGGCCTTGTGCCCTGTGGTGTCGTGTTGCAGAAAAGATGAGTCCACTGCAGTGGGAAGCTCACTGGCCCTTGGGCTTGGGGACAGGAGACAGGTACTCACATGCCTGTTCTCACTCTGCGGTCTACTGGCCTTGATGCTGTGTGGTAATGGACTTCTCTGTCTTGAGTTTGTTCTAATGGAAAATTACCTTTCCCTCTTCCAGGAAACTTAATTACAGGTACACATGTATTTTTCAAATGCCCTTTGAGTAATCTTAAAGTATATTCAAGGCAGAGTCTTAGTATGAAGTATAACTAAGCTGTTTTGTTATACACAGGCATCTCTCATTTGTAAATAATTTGTAAATTGAAGCGAGAAATGCTGTATTCTTAGTATTTTTTTACTTTTTTTTTTTTTTTTTTGAGACAGGTTTCACTCTGTCGTGCAGGCTGGAGTGCAGTGGCATGATCTCAGCTCACTGCAACCTCCACCTCCCAGGCTCAAATGATTCTCCCACCTCAGCCTCCCAAGTAGCTGGGACTATGGGCGTGCACCACCACACCCTGCTAAATTTTGAGACTCCGTCTCAAAAATAAATAAATAAATAAATATAAAAAGAAAGCTATGGCAAATTATTTTACTGATTTTAATATATGAGCTTCTTGAAGAACAAAAACTGTTTCTTAGAGTCTTTTGTATGATTCTTTTAGTTTTGGTGGATTTTTTTTTTTTTTTTTTTTGAGACGGAGTCTCACTGTGTTGCCCAGGCTGGAGTGCAGTGGCGCAATCTCGGCTCACTGCAAGCTTTGCCTCCCAGGTTCACACCATTCTCCTGCCTCAGCCTCCCAAGTAGCTGGGACCCCCGGCGCCCGCCACCATGCCCGGCTAATTTTTTGTATTTTTAGTAGAGACGGGGTTTCACTGTGTTAGCCAGGATGGTCTTGATCTCCTGACCTTGTGATCCGCCCGCCTTGGCCTCCCAAAGTGCTGGGATTACAGGCGTGAGTCACCGTGCCCATCCTAGTTTTGCTGGTTTCTATGAATTTAGAATCATTCAGTTCTTTAGCTGGCTGGTGCCTCTGTGACAACTGGTATTTAGGGCTAGCAAACGTGGATAAGTGCACATCAGCTCTCTCTTGGATCACCAGTGGTAAAACCAGACTCTTCTTTCTTAGTGAGAGATGGTCTGGAGATGTCTGGATGCTCAGAGCGTGTCCACGTGCAGCAAGCGGAGAAGCTGCCAGGGGCCACAGTTTCTGAGACGAGGCTCAGAGGCTCTTCCATGGCCAGCTCCGTGGCCAGCGAGCCAAGGAGCAGGAGCAGCTCGCTCAACTCCACCGACAGCGGCTCCGGGCTCCTGCCCCCTGGGCTCCAGGCCACCCCTGAGCTGGGCAAGGGCAGCCAGCCCCTGTCACAGAGATTCAACGCCATCAGCTCAGAGGACTTTGACCAGGAGCTTGTCGTGAAGCCTATCAAAGTGAAAAGGAAGAAGAAGAAGAAGAAGACAGGTACCCTCTGTAGCTGGCACACACCCATCTGGGGTTACAGTCTTTCCAGATTCTCTGGGAGTGCTGCTGCTCACTGAGTGAGCAATGCTCCATACATCCAAAAGCAGAGAACACATACATTTCTTCCCCAAAGGAGTTTTACTGCAAAATACTTCACATTAACGGAAAATACACACACACACACACACACACACTGTAAGGTCTAAATGATGACAGAACACCTGTGTGTACTCACCACCCTGCTTAAAGGGTCTCAGTTTTGTACTTTTCAATATTTATTTATGTATTTATATTATTTATTTATTTTTTGCGACAGAGTTTCGCTCGTCGCCCAGGCTGGAGTGCAATGGCACGATCTCGGCTCACTGCAACCTCACCTCCTGAGTTCAAGCAATTCTCCTGCCTCAGCCTCCCGAGTATGCATGCCCAGCGAATTTTGTATTTTTAGTAGATACAGGGTTTCTCCATGTTGGTCAGGCTGGTCTTGAACTCCCAAACTCAGGTGATCTGCCCGCCTCGGCCTCCCAAAGTGCTGGGATTACAGCGTGAGCCACCGCGCCTGGCATAGTTTTTAGTATTTAAATTAAAATGTCGGGGCCGGGCGCAGTGGCTCATGCCTGTAATCCCAACACTTTGGGAGGCCGAGGCAGGCGGATCACGAGGTCAAGAGATTGAGACCATCCTGGCCAACATGGTGAAACCCCGTCTCTACTAAAAACACATAAATTAGCTGGGCTTGGTGGCATGTGCCTGTAATCTCAGTCACTCGGGAGGCTGAGGCAGGAGAATCACTTGAACCTGGGAGGCAGAGGATGCAGTGAGCCGAGGTCACGCCACTGCACTCCAGCCTCGCAACAGAGCAAGACTCCGTCTCAAAAAAAAAAAAAAAAAAAGTGTTGGTTTATCCATGTATACCATTGATTAAATCAGAGATTCTGTGAGCCTGGGTGGAAAGTTGTGGAAACCAGAAGATCTATGCTGGTAAATACTTGGGACATTTTATGTTTAGTGTTGAATATGCTACCAAATATGGGATTTAACATTGAATTTTTTTCTTTTTTTTTTTCAACTTTTATTTTAAATACAGGGGGTCCATGCGCAGGTTTGTTACATGGGTATACAGCACCCAGGTAGTGAGCACAGTATGCAGTAGGTGGCTTTTGACCCATGCCGCCTCCTCTCCCGCTCTGGAGGTCCACAGTGTCTGTCCTTCCCATGTTTATGTCCATGCGTGCTCAGTGTTTGGCTCCCACTTACAAGTCAGAACATGCTGTTGGTTTTCTGTTCCTGTTGCATTAATTTGCTTAGGATTACGGCCAGCGGTTCCATCCATGTTGCTGTAAAGGACAAGATTTCATTCTTTATTTTTATTTATTTATTTATTTATTTATTTATTTTTTAATTTATTGGAGACAGAGTTTCACTGTTGTCACCCAGGCTAGAGTGCAATGGTGCGATCTCGGCTCACTGCAACTTCCGCCTCCCAAGTTCAAGCAATTCTCCTGCCTCAGCCTCCCGAGTAGCTGGGATTACAGGTGCCCACTACCACGCCCAGCTAAGTTTTTGTATTTTTAGTAGAGGCAGGGGTTTACCATGTTGGACAGGCTGGTCTTGAACTCCTGACCTAAGGTGGCCCACCCGCCTCGGCCTCCCAAAGTGCTAGGATGGCTTATGAGCGTGAACCACCGTGCACAGCCCAGATTTCATTCTTTGTTATGGCTGTGTAACACTGAATTTTTCAAACCTTTTACTCCTTGGTTCCTGTTAATCCTCTCTAGCTAAGATGACTGCAACACTGAAGGAAATGTTATTAGATTTCTAAGCATTTTAATAATTATAAGGAATTGGTTTGTGACCCAGGTGAACATCTCAGTTTGTCCCCTGGTTTTTCTTAGCTGCCCTCAAACCCATGGATTTGTTCAGTACTTGCATGCATAGAAAGCATCTCTTTGTTGGGATTATTTGTACTTAAGAGGTTTATTCTTCATTCACCAAATATCCTTTATTTAAAATTTTTTTTCTTGAGCCAAAAATATGTGTGCAAGTTAGTCTCTTACTAATCATATAGAACCGTGCCTTATTTTGAATGTTCTTATTCTGAATTAGAAGGTGGAAGCAGGAGCACCTGTCACAGCTCCCTGGAATCGACACCCTGCTCCGAATTTCCTGGGGACAGTCCCCAGTCCTTGAACACAGACTTGCTGTCGATGACCTCAAGTGTCCTGGGCAGTAGCGTGGATCAGTTAAGTGCAGAGTCTCCAGACCAGGAAAGCAGCTTCAATGGTGAAGTGAACGGTGTCCCACAGGAAAATACTGACCCCGAAACGTTTAATGTCCTGGAGGTGTCAGGATCAATGCCTGATTCTCTGGCTGAGGAAGATGACATTAGAACTGAAATGCCACACTGTCACCATGCACATGGGCGGGAGCTGCTCAATGGAGCGAGGGAAGATGTGGGAGGCAGTGATGTCACGGGACTCGGAGATGAGCCGTGTCCTGCAGATGATGGACCAAATAGCACACAGTTACCCTTCCAAGAACAGGACAGCTCTCCTGGGGCGCATGATGGGGAAGACATCCAACCCATTGGCCCCCAAAGCACTTTTTGTGAAGTCCCCCTCCTGAACTCACTCACTGTGCCTTCCAGCCTCAGCTGGGCCCCAAGTGCTGAACAGTGGCTGCCTGGGACCAGAGCTGATGAAGGCAGCCCCGTGGAGCCCAGCCAAGAGCAGGACATCCTAACCAGCATGGAGGCCTCTGGCCACCTCAGCACAAATCTCTGGCATGCTGTCACTGATGATGACACAGGTCAGAAAGAAATACCCATTTCTGAACGTGTCTTGGGGAGTGTGGGAGGACAGCTGACTCCGGTCTCTGCCTTGGCAGCCAGCACTCACAAGCCCTGGCTTGAGCAGCCTCCACGGGATCAGACATTGACGTCCAGCGATGAGGAGGACATCTATGCCCACGGGCTTCCTTCTTCATCCTCAGAGACGAGTGTGACAGAGCTCGGACCTAGTTGCTCCCAGCAGGACCTGAGCCGGCTGGGTGCAGAGGACGCCGGGCTGCTCAAGCCAGATCAGGTATGTGGGTTCGGGTGGTGGGAAAAGTAGCTGAGGCTTCTTTCTTAAGGGTAATAATTGTCAAGACTGATTATTTTCCTTCTCATGGAAAGAAATTCTATTCCTACTGCAAAATCCGTAGGCCAACTCTGTTTTCAAGTCTGGGTTTCAGGGGATTTCCAGCACAGGGACTATGAATGGCTTGAACTACTTCTGACCTGTTCTACCCTGCTCAGTAACCTGCCTCCCCAACCAAGGTAGCGTCTTGCTGTTTCCTCTGACCCCACAAGTGCAGGCTGGTGTAGGCACTTACTGTTAGCCATCGTAGGGCAGGGCTGAATTGGCCTGGGGCCATCTCAGAAAACCAGTGGGCAGAGGACTGTCCACCTGTGGAGTAGAGAAAGCTCTGAGCAGTTTGGAGGCAGGGAGTCTCCTGTCCTTCTCCTCACACCCCTCCAAGGAACCATCTGCAAGAGCACGAGGCCATTTCCAGAACTGCTGTCTCCTCAACCTCCGAACAGTGGCTCCAAGGCTCCCCTGCGAGCTGTACAGGAACCAGTTTGGAGTAACCAGTCTTTGTAGGTCCACCCAGCACATGTAACTAGGAGATGACTTTTAACTGTCCTTGAGCATTTTATATTAAAAGTGATTTTTTTAAAAGTGCCTACTTCCCTTAGCAAGTAATTATTACTAGATATATTTGTTTCAAAACTGTGTCTTGCCCTGTCTCCTACTAACTGTCGATGTGAGGTATGAATTATGGCTGCGCACTTACAGCCACGTGTGCTTTCCACAGTCTACGCTGGCTTCTGTCAGTGCTAGCAGTGTGACGCTTTGTCAGTGCTCACCATGTGCAGGTATCCCACAAAGCACTTTAGAGGTTTAACTCTTTTACTTCTCTAAACACGAACTATAAAATAGGCACTCTTCTTGTCCCCATTTTACAGAGGAGAAAATGGAAGCACAGAACAGCTAGACAGCTTGCACAAGGTCACATAGCAAATGAAGGGCGGGCCCCAGGACCCCCTCACTCACCCTCTGTGCTGTCATGCCTCAGAAGTGAAACATGCTGCTTACTTGTTTTGAGACAAAACGCCATAAGTCTGGCTTTTTTTTCTTCTTTCTTTCTTTTTTTTTTTTTTTTCTGAGACAGGGTCTCACTCTGTCACCCAGGATGGAGCGCAGTGGCGCAATCATGGCTCATTGCTGCCTCGACCTCCCCAAGCTCAAGTGATCCACCTGCCTCAGCTTCCTGAGTCACTGGGACTACAGGCATGTGCCACCATGCCCAGCTAATTTTTGTATTTTTTGTAGAGAAGGGGTTTTGCCATATTGCCCAAGCTGGTCTCGAACTCCTGAGCTCAAGCAATCTGCCTGCCTCGGCTTCCCAAAGTGCTGGGATTACAGGTGTGAGCTGCTGTGCCTGGCCAAGGGTGGCCTTTTATTCAGTCATCCGGCATTTATCTTTTCAACCCAGTGGTTCTTGAGTGGCCTTGACTGTCAGCCTCTGTGATTATGCTGGGGACCACAGTGCAGATGGCAGCTAGTTGTGGATTCCATCTTCCTGAGCCTCAGAGTCTTGAGGGGGAGCCAGGTACATGTTCACATCCTCGCAGTTGAGTGGGACTCAGGTGAGGGTACTGAGCAAAGTACAGGGCTGCAGGAAGCGCAAGCAGCATGGCCCCCTAATGTCTGGGCGTTAGCCAGGCAGACTGTCGGTGGGGTGGGGTATTGGAATTCTAGGCCAGAAATTTAGGAAAGCCCTCACTTAGGTGACAGGGATCCTGGCCCTTTGAGCCCCTGACTCTCTAACTTCCTCCCTTCCTCATCCCACTCCAGGTAGCTGGGAAGCCAAGAAATTTTATGGTGTGTTTTTATTTGGAGGTTCGGTGTGGAAGTAAGACTTGCCATGGTGAGCAGGGCTGGATTGAGAAGAGTTGGGCACCATTTTCTTTGAAGTAGTTAACTTCTATGTGGGTATCTGTACAAATACATTTATCTTCTTTGCATTTATTGAAAAGTATTAAAGTACAAAGACTTTATTTAGCTTTGATTTTTAAAAGAATTCTAGCAAGGTCGGGCACAGTGGCTCACGCCTGTAATCCCAGCACTTTGGGAGGCCAAGGTGGGCGAATCACCTGAGGTCAGGAGTTCGAGACCAGCCTGGCCAACATGGCGAAACCCCGTCTCTACTAAAAATACAAAAAATAGCCGGGTGTGGTGGCAGATGCCTGTAATCCCAAGTACTCAGGAGCCTGAGGCAGGAGAATTGCGACTTGCTTGAACCCAGGAGGCGGAGGTTGCAGTGAGCCGAGATTGTGCCCCTGTACTCCAGCCTGGGCGACAGAGCGAGTCTCTGTCTCAAAAAGGAAAAAAAAAAGAAAATATGGTGGAAAAAAGAAAGACAGTGGTAGTGCCATATATCCAGTGCCTCTGTAATGATTAGACTACAAAAAATTGACTTGCATCCAAATGTTGAAGAACCTGGCTCTTTGTGTAAGGTGAGGTATGCCTGCAGAATAATAGCAGCTCCTTCGTAACGTGATGTGATGCTCTAAGCGTTACATTTGCAAAGGTGTTAGAACAGGAGAAAATGTCATCCAGGGACTCCAGGGAGTCTTTGTAGGGAGACAGCAGCACGCGTCTCAGAAGGTTTGTAGTAGAGGGGTGTCCACAGATAGCAGGGGTTGGGAGAAGGGTTGACTTGGCGTCTTGCTGACCCGTTTTACCGTCTCGTGTTAATGATATCCTCTCACCTTTCTTACTGAGAACAGTAAGCCAAATGTGGCTGTGTCCTCTGCCACAGAACTCACTGGCTCTTCCCTTGTTAGTTTGCAGAAAGCTGGATGGGCTACTCGGGTCCCGGCTATGGCATCCTCAGCTTGGTGGTCTCCGAGAAGTATATCTGGTGCCTGGACTACAAAGGCGGCCTGTTCTGCAGCGCGTTGCCGGGCGCCGGGCTGCGCTGGCAGAAGTTTGAAGATGCTGTCCAGCAGGTGGCAGTCTCGCCCTCAGGTTCGCCTCCCCGCTCCCTGCTCCCGCTCCCTGCTCCCGCTCGCCGCTCCTGCTCCCCGCCCCCGGGGTGCAGACATCTTAGTACAGGGCTCCCCTGCAGCAGCTCTGGGCTCACGCTGCCGTGCGTTCACCAGGTTTGCCTCTTCAGGAACGTTTGAGGGGTTGTCTCCAAAGAACGTGAATTGCTTCATTGGATGTCAATTCGTAGTGTAAATGGGTGTTCAGTTTGAGTTTTTGTTTTCTTTATTAATTGCAATGGTAAGCTCTGATCGTATTTTTGTAAGCTAGACAAAAAGTTTGAAAATTGAGGGACTTTTTTAGGGATATTAATATACTAACTCTTCATAAAAATAATACGTGTTTCTCTTTCTCATTGTTGCTTTAAAGCAACCGAACTAACGAAGACGGGCCTATGGATATGTTAGATATATTCCAATTATTTGGCTTCCTCTTTAGGAATTCTGTTTTAATGAGCTCTCTGCTGTGGGTGAACAGTCTACTCCCTGACTCTAAAAGGAAAGTCCATTCATTCTTTCATGCTGCTGTTAGGCCATTGTTAGTGAACTGGAGCTGGTGTTTCCTGAACGATGTTCTCCTGAGCTGGAAGACCTCCCATATCTGCATGGAATCATTTGCTTGCTTTTTCTTTCTTTCTTTCTTTTTTTTTTTTTTTTGAGACAGAGTCTTGCTGTGTTGCCCAGGCTGGAGTGCAGTGGTACAATCTCAGCTCACTGCGAGCTCCACCTCCCAGGTTCGCACTATTCTCCTGCCTCAGCCTCCCCAGTAGCTGGGACTACAGGCACCCGCCACCACGCCCAGCTAATTTTTTTGTATTTTTTTAGTGGACACGGGGTTTCACTGTGGTAGCCAGGATGGTCTTGATCTCCTGACCTCATGATCCGCCCGCCTCAGCCTCCCAAAATGCTGGGATTACAGGTGAGAGCCACTACGCCCGGCTTTGCTTGTTTTTTCTTAAGGTTGTGTTGGCCACGTCGGCACCTACGCCAGTGGGGACACTTTTGCCTTGAAGCAGCCTGGTTTACTGTCAGGACATTGGAATAGAAGTCAGACGAAGCCGAAGCTGAGTCTGTGGCTTGGGACCTGTCTGTTCTCTGTAACTTCACTGTGTTTCGGGATGAATTTCCCTTAATTCTCCCTGGTCTCTGTCACTGTTTAAAATATTAGTTTGTTCAGCGTTGTTTTTCTTGCTTGCTTTCACTGTTTGTTTGAAAAATATTTTTCTTTAGAGACTGGCTAACAACCCACTCCACAAGCTGTCATTACACAGTTGTGTGTTTTAATTCATTTCTCGTTGGTATCATTTACCTTCAGGTTTGTCTCCTTAGCCTTTTAGAACTTTGGTTCTATTCCTGACTATATTAGTTACTTGTATTCCCAGGCCCCTTGGTCCCTCACTGTGCTAGCGGGAACTCTGTATCTCCATGAGATTCACCTGCTCAGTTGAGGCGTCCTTCAGGGCCCAGTCCCATGTCCTTGGTGGGCAGCAGAGCCCTTGTGCCGGGGGCACCACAGGCAGAGATGCTCGACAGGCCCTCTAGTCCAGCCCAGCTGACACTCGGTGATCACTGGTGGCCCCTTGCCTTGCCTGCGTCGGCCTGCTCCAGGCCTCCAGCTGCAGCGCTATCCTGCCTTCCCTTTCCTCTCTCCTCCTCCATCTCTTCATCAAAGTCCTCTTCACAGTGAAAACAGGCCAACTCAGTGCAAGTGTGTTCCTTCTGTGCACCTTTTCCATTCAGCTCATCCAGAACTGATCCTTCTCTTTGAATCCCTAAAGGACTTTTTCAGCCTCTCCTAGGGCACTAGTTGTGCTTAGGATGTTTATTTGGAGACTTATCAAACCTAATAATGTCATCAGTGTTTCTCCTCCCGTGTGAGGAGCGCCTGTCATGTGCCCAGCTCTGTGGCCATGTGGTTGATCTGCTTCCGTCTGCAGTCTTTAGAGCAGCCCTGTAAGGTGGAGATGATCCCCACGGCCCAGGAGGAAAGTGAAGCTTGGAGACGGGCGGTGACATGGAGCCTGAAGCTGCATAGCCACTGGGTGGTGGCCAAGGGCCCAAACCTGGGTCTGGTGGCCTCTTTCCCCACTTGGGGGGACAGAACAGGATGTGTTTTAGAAATCTTTCTCCCCTCAATGCCCAGCATGAAGACTTTTGTATAGAAATATATTCTAGTATTTATTGGACAGTGAATAGAATTTTTATTTCCATAGGAGCCCTTCTCTGGAAGATTGAACAGAAATCTAACCGGGCTTTTGCTTGTGGGAAAGTCACCATCAAGGGGAAGCGGCACTGGTACGAAGCCCTGCCCCAGGCAGTGTTTGTGGCCCTGAGCGATGACACGGCCTGGATCATCAGGACCAGTGGGGACCTATACTTGCAGACAGGTAACCGCGGGCCACGCTTAGAGGCCTGCCAGCTCTGCCGTCACTGCCTCTGCTGCACCCTGCTTTGCTAGTAACATGCTTACCACAATCGCTATGATTAAGAGGCTAAATCCATTCGAATTAAGACACTTCTGGGAAGAGAGTATTTGCCATTTGGCATGTATTAGCAGTTTCCTGCATTGACACAAACTCAACCCAGGACAAATTTAGGGCAAAAATGAATAGGATTATTTGGTGAGATACAGAAACAGAATCTTATTCTCCTATGGCCAACCACCGCATATCACGTATCCTACAATGTTAGATCTTAAGAGGTAAGAATACAGAGGAAGGACATAAAATTCATTTCCCCCTTTAAGCTAAAGTTTAAGTGGCTGCATTTTTTTTTTCAGCCATATCAAAGCCCGGCTCCTATATACTTACTTACCCGTGGGCCAGGAAAAAAAAAGAAATAATTTGCTCTTTTTTATTTTGAGACGGAGTCTCGCTCTCTTGCCCAGGCTGGCATGCAGTGGTGCCATCTTGACTCACTGCAACCTCTGCCTCCTGGGTTCAAGTGATCCTCCTGCCTCAGCTTCCTGATCACAGGCTGGGATTACAGGTGCCCATCACCACGCCCAGCCAATTTTTTTGTATTTTTAGTAGAGATGGAGTTTCACTATGTCGGCCAGGCTGGTCTTGAACTTCTGACCTCAAGTGATCTGCCCGCCTCAGCCTCCCAAAGTGCTGGGATTACAGGTGTGAGCCACCACACCAGGCCATAATTTGCTCTAAATAGCAGTTCAGGCCAGGTGTGGTGGCTCATGCCTGTAATCCCAACACTTTGGGAGGCCTAGACGAGCAGATCACCTGAGGTCAGGAGTTCAAGACCAACCTGGCCAACATGGTGAAACTCTGTCTCTACTAAAAAAAAAAAAAAAAATACAAAAAATTAGCTGGGCGTGGTGGCGCTTGCCTGTAATCCCAGCTACTTGGGAGCCTGAGGCACAAGAATCACTTGAACCTGGGAGGCAGAGCTTGCAGTGAGCTGAGATCGCGCCACTGCACTCTCCAGCCTGGTGACAGGGCGAGACTCCGTCTCAAAACAAAACAAAACAAAAATAGCAGTTCAGCAAGTCACAGGAAGCTGCCCTCAGGGAAGTTTTTAGCTGATGGAAGGGCACAGTGGGACTTGCTTATTAAAAATAAGCTGTAATGACAGTCAGTGTTTACTGTCAGCAGAATGGGGAAGGATCTTCCACCAGCAATGTGATTTATCAGTATCTGGAAGGACTGTGGGGCAGGAGTTATCGTCAGTTGTCCAGAGGCCACGTTGGATTTATGTAAAGATCAGTCTTCCAGGCGTTTAATGTTGTTGATTCCAGGAGAATGTTGTTGTTGTTGTTTTGAGACGGAATCTCGCTCTGTTGCCCAGGCTGGAGTGTAGTGGCACAATCTCGGCTCACTGCAACCTCCACTTCCTGGGTTCAAGCGATTCTCCTACCTCAGCCTCCCGAGTAGCTGGGACTACAGGCACATGCCACCATGTCCAGCTCACTTTTGTATTTTTAGTAGAGGCAGGGTTTCACTATGTTGGCCAGTCTGGTCTTGAACTCCTGACCTTGTGATCCGCCCGCCTCAGCCTCCCAAAATGCTGGCATTATAGGCGTGAGCCACCGGCCTCAGGAGCATGTTTTAATCACTGCTGTGAGTCGTCAGCTGGGGATGAGTCTTCAGGTTGAAGCTCTTGCACAGCTGGCTCTCTCCTAGCTGTGTAAGAACCTCTGGCCTGGGTGCACAGCCATGCTGGCTTCATAGGCCATATGCTGGCCCAGGTCTCTCCAGCCTAGTTCCTGTGTCTTTCTTTAAATGAAAGTAGCTCTGTCAAGGCACATGCACATCTAAGCTGCCAGGACATTTGAGCTTTGGTCATGGGGAAGACAGGAGGTGCTTCTGGCCTGGGGGTGAGGAGCGAGTGACCTCTAAACCAGTAGTGCCAGAGGAATCACCAGGACAGTGATTTCACATGAGGTGGCCCCACCCAGACCTGTTGGATTAGGTCCAATCCCTCTGGAGACTGCTCAGGAGTGTGTCGTGTAAGAAGTCCTGCCGGTGATTCCCACCTAGTTTAGTGGAAGGAAATATCACCCAAGGACTGCAATACTATAGGTGCGTCTGTGATTAGTCACGGAGCATATTTGAGTACTGAGACCTAATTGCAGGCCTAAGGTCAAGGAATACAGGGTTGTAGGCGACAGTTGGTCTGTCTGCTCCCCTGGGAATAGCCTTTGAGCTCATTTAGACATACTTTATTGACAGAACACAAGGAGGCAAGGGGAGAGCCCTGGACAGGGAGCCAGGGACCCTGAGCTTTGGCCTGCCACTGCCTTGCAGTTTGACAGACCTCAGATTTCATCTGGGAAATTCGGGGTTTCATTTTATTAGTGGAACCTCGCACCCAGTCAGAGCAGAGAGGAGCCGCCGTGCTGGAGCTCTCTGCAGGAACGACTGCAGGCCTCAGGTCCCTGCCAACTCCAGCAGCGCTGCAGCCCTCTGCCTGGAAGAGCTGCTCTGCCCTGCAGCCTTTGGGCCTCCATCTGGCCACTCTCCTGCTCTTGGCTTTTGTGTTCTTCTCTTAGAACTTCTTAAGCTACATTGGGACACCAGATAATTCTGAATTGTTCAGTTTTCAAAGAGTGTCTAAAACTGTTTTCAGATAGATGTTACATTTAGGCAGAATTTAACCACTTTATGTTGATTAAACTTGACAACAAAAAAGCGGCCGGACAGGGCAGCTCCTGCCTGTAATCCCAGCACTTTGGGAGGCTGAGGTGGGAGGATCTCTTGAGCCCAGGAGTTTGAGATCAGCCTGGGCAACGTAGAAAGGCCCCGTCTATATTTTTAATTAATTAATTAATTAAAGTTTTTTTTTAAAGCACTCATCATAAAAGAATATAGCAAAATACCAAAAAAGGAAAAATAAGCCAATAACCAAGTCAAAATGAGGTGTGGAGTTCTGACTGTGTGTCTTTGGGGCTTCTTCCCATCTTCCTGGCAGGTCTGAGCGTGGATCGCCCTTGTGCCAGAGCCGTAAAGGTGGACTGTCCCTACCCGCTGTCCCAGATCACAGCCCGGAACAATGTGGTGTGGGCGCTGACAGAGCAGAGGGCCCTCCTGTACCGGGAGGGCGTGAGCAGCTTCTGTCCGGAAGGCGAGCAGTGGAAGTGTGACATTGTCAGGTACTGGCGGGCCAGAGACTCCTTTCACATCGTGCTTGTCCTACCCTTCGTTCTTGTCCACTTGACACCACAAGGCACCATGAGGCCGTTCCTGGGAGGCAGCACCTGCAGCCTCCATGGCTATAGGCTAAGCTTGAATCTCTGCCTAATTCTGACCGGCAAACTGGACGTTGAGTCAGAGCTCGCTTTTTAAAAATGCTGCCGCCCTCTGCGCAGCCCTGAGCATCACAGCGTCATGAGTCTGTCATGACGGTCTCTATTCAGAATTGCCCACCGTCAGGTAGTTCTGGTTTAGTGTCTGTGACGGCTTAGGTCCAAATATTTTTCTTTATTTTCATGCTAATCGAAGTTGATCTCTGAACTGTAGCTTTTTTTTTTTTTTTTGATACAGGTTCTCACTCTGTCACCCAGGCTGGGGTGCAGTGCCACGATCACGGCTCACTGCAGCCTTGACCTCCGGGCTCAGGTGATCCTCCTGCCTCAGCCTCCTGAGTAGCTGGGACTACAGATGCATGCCACCATGCCCAGCTAATTTTTGTATTTTTTGTAGAGATGAGTTTTGGGTTTTCATCATGTTGCCCAGACTCATCTCGAACTCTTGGGCTCAAGCAATTCTCCTGCCTTGGCCTCCCAAAGTGCTGGGATTACAGACATGAGCCACTATGCCTGGCCCGATCTCTGAACTGTAATTTATTAAGCTATTTTTTTTTTTACCATTCAAGATGTTAGTTATAGAATTGCCATCAGATCATTTTACTAGTATGGAAGTATTAATAGTCCTTTGAAAAACTAGATTAGGATATTCTTGGTTTGAATTTAGCAAGCCAATAAACTTTCAGTGAATACCTATTAAGAGCCAGAATGGTCCAGGTGTGGTGGCTCACGCCTGTAATCCCAACACTTTGGAAGGCCAAGGCAGGCGGATCACGAGGTCAAGAGTTCGAGACCAGACTGACCAACATAGTGAAATCCCGTCTCTATTAAAAATACAAAAATTAACCGGGCATCTCAGGAGGCTGAGGCAGGAGAATCACTTGAACCTGGGAGGCGGAAGTTGCAGAGAGCTGAGATCGCACCATTGCACTCCAGCCTGGGTGACAGAGCAAGACTCCATCTCAAAAAACAGACAGACAAAAAAAAGCAACAACAACAAAAAGCCAGAATGGTGCTAGGGGCTGGGTGCGCCAAGAGGGCTGAGACTGGCCCTGCTCTCATCAGTTCCAAGTCTCATGGGGGCCCCGTGCATGGATGGACACCCATTAGCACAGATGGCCCTAAACAGGAGTGTGGAGCATGCAGCACTGAGGGAACCATGGACTCCATGCAGAGATCAGGAAGGCAGCATGCAGAGTGGACCAACAGCTAAGCCTTGAAGCTGACGAGGACTTCCCCATATGGAAGGAGGGGGAGGGCGTCTCCAGCAAAGAGGGCAGTGTCTGCCTAGGTCCAGCTGCACAGAATAGCCTGGCACATCGGGGGAGTTTACAGTCATTCCCTTGGTGAGGGAGGGAGTAGAGAGATGGAGGCGCTCAGGGGCCTTGGATTGGCGGGGGAAGGAGTAGAGAGATGGAGGCACTCAGGGGCCTTGGATTGGCGGGGGAAGGAGTAGAGAGATGGAGGCACTCAGGGGCCTTGGATTGGTAGGGGAAGGAGTAGAGAGATGGAGGCGCTCAGGGGCCTTGGATTCCTTTTGTGCCTACTCGCTTTTTTCTTAGGTTATTTTCTCTCTTAAGAGTGTTCCCAGCCATTCTGGGTCATCAGTGTGTCTTTCAAAAGCTGCCACCCACTTGAACCATATCTCTTGCACAGTAATTTAACTCAGACCCAAACTTCCTTCCCTGGCACCTGCTGATCCGCTCCAGGGCCACGTCTCTTCTCCCAGCCACGCCTGCCGGGAGACCCTGGATGTCCGCAGTCCAGACACACTGGGCACTCTGCCTATGGGTGCTGACCCCCCTGTTCTCCTCCTTATTTTCAGCGAAAGGCAAGCTTTAGAACCCGTCTGCATAACGCTCGGGGATCAGCAGACTCTCTGGGCCCTGGACATCCATGGGAACCTGTGGTTCAGAACTGGCATTATTTCCAAGAAGCCCCAAGGAGATGACGACCATTGGTGGCAAGTAGGTGTTCAGCTCTGCGCCACGTGCCGAGGTCTCCCGACCTTTTCTGCTTCCCCTTTTCTTACTTCTCTCTTTTCCTTAACGATACTAGATTAAATTTAAAATACTCACTTTTTTATTATTTGTTTGTTTGTTTTGAAACAAGATCTCCTTCCGTCATCCAGGCGGAAGGGCAGTGGTGCAGTCACGGCTCACTGCAGTCTTGACTTCCTGGGCTCAGGTGATTCTCCCACCTCAGCCTCCCAGGTAGCTGGGACTACAGGCGTGTGCCACCATGCCTGGCTAGTTTTTTGTATTTGTTTGTAGAGACAGGGTTTTGGCATGTTGTGCAGGCTGGTCTCAAACTCCTGAGCTCAAGAGATCCACCCAGACTGGGCAGAGTGGCTCACACCTGTAATCCCAGCAATTTGAGAGGCCAAGGCAGGCAGATCACTCGAGTCCAGGAGTTCAAAGCCAGCCTGGGCAACATGGTGAAACCCTGTCTCTACCAAAAATACAAAAATTAGTTGGACATGGTGGCACACGCCGTTGGTCCCAACTACTCGGAAGGCTGAGGTGGGAGAATAGTTTGAGCCCAGGAGACAAAGGTTTCAGCCAAGATCACACCACCACACTCCAACCTGGGCAACAGAGCTAGACCCTGTCTCAAAATAAATAAAAATAAAAAAGAGAGAGAGAGAGAAATCCACCCTCTCCGCCTCCCAAAGTGCTGGGATTACAAGTGGAGCCACCACTCCCAGCCAATAGTATTCCTTTTTTCTATTTGATGGATTAGACTTTGCTGTGTTTGAGTGCATTAGAAACATAAAGGACTTTTCATCATAGGAAATAATTTGCAAACTCTTTGTGTAAATAATGCACTTAATTTATTTATTTTGATATTGTTTATATATTTATTATTATAGGCTAAATAAACCCAGTGACATCCATTTGAAGACCTAGGTAATAATGATGTTTAATTATGAACAAATGTGCTGAGAAAAGAGCCCAGATAATAGGTTTGAAAGCCCAACCCAGAATTAAAATTGAGCTGTCTCTGCTTATTCAGAAGGCCTCTAAGTAGATGGTATTTCAGCAAAGACAGGAGAATTTTCCCACGTGCTTCCAGAAAAGGAAACACTATAAGAAACAGGATGAGGGTATAATCAAGCTCACTGTGTGTGATTTGGTCCCAGCAAGAGCGCCTAGAATGAATTTCTCTTTTCTTTTTCTTTTCTTTTTTTCTGGGGCAGAGTCTCACTCTTTTGCCCACACTGGAGTGTGGTGGCAGGATCACGACCCACCTCAGCCTCCCAAGTAGCTGGGACCACAGGCACATGCCACCATGCCTGGCTAATTATTTTGGTAGAGACAAGGTCTTGCTGTTACCCAGGCTGGTCTCGAACTCCTTGGCTCAAGCAATCCTCCCACCTTGACCTCCCAAAGCGCTGGGATTACAGGTGTGAACCACCACCCTCGGCCCTAGAATGGATTTTCAAAGGAGTGTCTACTTTCCCCTTCTTTGGTATAGTTTAGTGTTAGTGTTGCTCCCACAGTCTCCCACTGTGGTAGGTAAGATTTCACTGATAGTCGATGGTCGTGAAATATTTGATGTTTCTTTTTTTTGAGACGGAGTCTTGCTCTGTCACCCAGTCTGGAGTACAATGGCGCAATCTCGGCTCACTGCAACCTCCGCCTCCTGGGTTCAAGCGATTCTCCTGCCTCAGCCTCCTGGGTAGCTGGGACTACAGGCACGCACCACCAGGCCCAGCTAATTTGTGTATTTTTGGTAGAGACAGGGTTTCACCATGTTGGCCAGGTTGGTCTCAATGTCTTGACCTTGTGATCTGCCTGCCTCAGCCTCCCAAAGTGCTGGGATTATAGGCGTGAACCACCGCGCCCGGCCAGTATTTGATGTTTCTGAAGTATCTTGCCCCATTGGTTTATGTTTTATTGTCACCTCAGACTTGCTTTGTTGAAGGCTTGTCTTGCATTGACTGCTCTGAGGTCTTTCAGATGAGAATGTAGAAAAATGAGTTGTGTTTACTCTTTGATAAAATATGTATTCTATATAATATGTACATTATATACAGATGTATCTAATTTATATACTAGGTAATATTTGATAGTCATGCAAATGATTTTAAAATACCTTTTGTGTACTTGTAACCATATATATACATATACATGTAAAAATATACATATATGTATTTTTGTAGAGACAGGGTTTCACCATGTTGGCAGGCTGGTCTGGAACTCCTGACCTCAAGTAATCCACCTGCCTTGGCCTCCCAAAGTGCTGGGATTACAGGCGTGAGCCACTGTGCCCGACCAGGAGTAGGGCATTTATGCCAGTGATGTTTTATGTAATCAAACCCAGCAGGGCAGAAATGTGAGTGAACATCATGGAGAATCAGATTTTCACTCATAAAGAATTTGCCTTATATCAAGCTGCCCAAGAAGAGAAGAGCTTCCTGCAGGGAGGGGTGGTTGGAGAAATGTCTGAGGTATATGAATGCTTTTCAGGAATGTTATAGAAGCAAGCTACCCTTCTGAGCTAGGGTTAGAGTCTAGATACCCAGGATGGTCCTAGTTGATGCTCTTGCCCTGGAGTAATTATTAGTAGTCCCAATTCAGATCATAAATTAGTTCATCACAGCCTTGCATGGTGGCTCACACCTGTAATCCCAGCACTTTGGGAGGCCTGGGCGGGCGGATCACCTGAGGTCAGGAGTTCAAGACCAGCCTGGCCAACATGGTGAAACCCCATCTTTACTAAAAATATAAAAAATTAGCCGGCTGTTGTGGCGTGCGCCTGTAGTCCCAGCTACTCGGGAGGCTGAGGCACGAGAATCTCTTGAACCCAGGAGGCAGAGGTTGCGGTGAGCCAAAATTGCACCACTGCACTCCAGCCTGGGTGGCAGGGCAAGACTATGTCTCAAAAAAAAAAAAGTTCATCACTCTACTTGTGATACCTTTTTAGATGCATATTATGTTTCTAAGTACCGTATACTGTTGTCCATTGGAAATACCTGATTTAAAAGCAAAATTAAAGCTGGGCATAGTGGTTCATGCCAGTAATCCCAACACTTTGGGAGGCCAAGGCAGGGAGATCACTTGAGCCCAGAAGTTCAAGACCAGCCCTGGGCAACACAGGGAGACCTGTCTCTACAAAAAATTTAAAAATTGGCTACATGTAGTAGCATTCGCCTGTATTTGGGAGGCTGAGGTGGGAGGATTGCTTGATCCTGGAAGTCAAGGCTGAGTATGATTGTGCCACTGCATTCCAGCCTGGATGCCAGAGCAAGACTGTCTCAGAAAAGATGGCAAAATTATTCTTTCTCACTCTGATTAGAATGAAAGTCTTCTTAGAAGGGGTGTGAGGGGGTGATAATCACAAAAGTAATACATGCTTGTAACAGATCCATGTTGTATAAAAGTATATAAAATGTGAATATATTCTTCCATACCTTTAAATCCAACCCTACGAAGGAGCTGGAGTTAGCATTAGCAGTTTGATGGCATCCTGCCACATTTTTTTGGTCCTTTCACAAGCGCACACGTGCACATTTGTGTTTGGATGGTCATCTTGTTACTAGAAATGCAGAGGTGTGGACCTGAGCTAGAACCTTCCCTCAAGGCAGAGAGTCTACACTTGTAACTGCTCTGACAGCAGGGCTTTTGCTTGTCTCCTCCTTCCAGGTGAGCATCACGGACTATGTGGTGTTTGACCAGTGCAGCTTATTTCAGACGATAATCCATGCCACTCACTCGGTGGCCACAGCAGCCCAAGCCCCCGTAGAAAAGGTGGCAGATAAGCTGCGCATGGCGTTTTGGTCCCAGCAGCTTCAGTGCCAGCCAAGCCTTCTCGGGGTCAATAACAGCGGTGTCTGGATCTCCTCGGGCAAGAATGAATTCCACGTCGCTAAGGGAAGTCTCATAGGTGGGTGAATTGCTGTAATTTTCACACTGGCTTTATAGGCAGCCTCACTTTAAAGCCAACATTTAAAGAAAAGCTTTAAGATCTCAACTTGAAAAGATAATTTAGTGCCAGTGGTATGAAGTGTCTAGTGGAGGCACTCTATGCTTTGTGATCAGTTTCTCTCCTTTTTAAAAAATCTGTCATTCCTAAAACTCGTATCCCTGTGTCTGGATAGTGTTTCCCCTGGAAACCTTTTATGACATAAGAAAAGCAAATGGAGGTCATTTTTATGTTAACAATTTCACATTTTAAATGAAAAAATCCACCCAAACCTAGTGAGAGAGAATGGTCCACTTCCTGGAGGGAAGGTGATCGCCACTGTTGGAAATGCAAGGCTCTGGCCAGGTCTGTGAATGTAGATGCCAGTCTACACATCCTGGGGTTTGTTTCTGTGAGTGAACCCCTTGCTTTTCTCCAGCCCTCTCCCTGCTGCATGGCCTCCACGACCCTGGACTGGGTGTGGCTCTGCCTGGCAGTATTCAGAGGGAGATGAATGTTAGGCTGTGATTGCTCATGTCGCTTTATTTAGGGACACTCTAGAATTATCTGGAGAAAGGGTTTGAAGGCCAGCTGTCGTCCAGAACTAAGATCTGAAGTGGTTTTGTCTATGCTTTCTTTCTTTAACACATTCTTCCTATTTACTCTTTCCAGGCACCTACTGGAATCATGTGGTTCCCCGTGGGACAGCTTCTGCTACAAAATGGGCCTTTGTGTTGGCTTCTGCAGCTCCCACGAAGGAAGGTGGGTCAGTCTTAGCCTCACTGAAGAATCTAGAGCACAGCTTGGCCATTGGAAAGGTTCAAACCACAGTCGGACTGTGGCCTTGTTGGTTATGGGGCATGCCTCGGAGACTGACCACGTGAGGGTGTCAGAGGCCAGTAGCCCTTGTTAGCTGAGCCGAGGGCCCTGAATCGGGATAGGCCTGACCAGGAGAGCCTCTGAGAGGGACCGAGCGTGGTGAAGATGAGGGAAAGTGTCCTTCTGAAGGAGGGGCTCACACAGTGCAGCCACCGGGGCTGGCAGCTGGTGACTTCCAGTGGCACATGGCAGGGGCCACAGCTTCTTTGGGCACCTTCCCATCTCCCCTCGAGAATCCTTCTGTCACCTCCCAGCAACTTCCTTCCGTCTTGTTCACAGCCTCCGGATAACCTAAGTCCGACATTTGCACCGCATTAGGCAGACCTGCCCTGCAGCGGGGTGCTCCTGCCAACCACATTCTGGGCAGAACTCAGTGTCCCTGCGGAGTACAGGGTTTGTGAGGGAGCCAGGGCACCAGAGGGTGAGGGAGCTGGCATCTGCGGCCGGGAGGGGCACTTCCCCCACCCGCTTAGCTGGGAGCCCCGGCAGTCAGGCGACCTCTCTGGGAAGTAGCTGTACCTCCTCCCAGGATTGCCTGAGGATGAAATGCAAAGATGCTGTGAAATCTGTGGTGAAGAGGGAATCGTTTGCTTAGTTCAAACCATTAGTCCCACTAGGATGCAGGTGACTGGGTCAGTACAATAACTTCTTACTCACCAGATTGTTCGGACCACAGTTCTGGAACCCAGAAATCTCTGAAAACAATGTTATTTCTTGAGTCTGGCATAAATTAATTTGGCAGCAAAACCTGACCGGATCTCACATAGCTGCCTCCAGCCTTGGTTGATCTGTTGGCTGTGACCGCATCCATGTTGCAGGGATGTTACCGCACTTCACCGGGGAGCGCCTGGCCCCTCCGTGGTTGTTTTGTAAACCTCTGGCATACCCATTAGCTTAGGTTTTCAAAAATCCAGAAAAAGTTTGAATTCCAAAACGTGGCCACAAGTTGTAGATAATACTTCATATAACGTACTGTGACCAAGATTTTAACTGCCCTAAGGATTATTTGCATTTTAAACAGAATCTGTTAAACCTAAAGGACTTTTTTAAAATGCTGTAGGGAATGAAAGGACATGATTTTGAGGCAAGGGTGGGAAGAGAAGCACTTCCAGCTTCCTAAGCCTTCTCCAGCAGCTGCCCCACCCCCCGGCCCCATCCCCAGAAGGTCCGGGAGAGCACCATGGCGCCATCCTTCCTAGGAACTGCCAACCCTCCCTCCCTCCAGGGCACCGAGTTGATAGTCTTCTCCTCTTGGTAAAATTAACTTTCTACATTAAAAATGCTTTGGTGCCTTTGTTCAAGTGAAAAACTTCTCAGCCCATGAAAAATGGGAGGTCAAAGCCACTAAGCCAACATTATGGCCTTCATAAAATCTCCTAAGCCTTGCCTTCTTTCCATTTCTTTCCAACATCTCAGGCGTGTTTCTTGTTAGTCACGGTGTTTCCCTCTGCCTTCTACCTTAAAGTGCTACACCGCTCCTGCCCGTGTGGGAATGGGCAGGTGAGTGAGCTGGCATCTGTGGCCAGGTGGCTAGCGTCTGCTGAAAGGCAAAGGCTGCCTTGTGCATTTAGGGCAGGCGGCTTGGTGCAGACAACACCTCGATGACAAACATGACCCCTTTCTGCAGGAAGCTTCCTGTGGCTGTGCCAGAGCAGCAAGGACCTGTGCAGCGTCAGCGCCCAGAGCGCACAGTCGCGGCCCTCCACGGTGCAGCTGCCTCCCGAAGCCGAGATGCGCGCCTATGCCGCCTGCCAGGATGCGCTGTGGGCGCTGGACAGCCTCGGCCAGGTGTTCATCAGGACGCTCTCCAAGAGCTGCCCCACGGGCATGCACTGGACCAGGCTGGACCTCTCCCAGCTAGGTACGGCCACCTCGTGAGTACACCTGCCGGTGCCCTGACTGCCCTAAACCGGCATCACAACGTGATGTCGGACAAAACTGCCCGGCCTGTGTCCAACCTGTGAGAGTTCTGAGGGGGTGTTTATAAGCTGCTGAATTTCAGGAGCTCAGTTGGCCACTCTTTCAGACTAGACAGGCTCTGGGTTTTGTCCCTTCCCCTGCCCCTTAGAGTTTGCAGGGCTGTCAGAACCCGAGGAGGGTGTGCGTCCTCAGGTCAAGGGGCCACTCGCTGCGAGCGGCTTGAAGGATACTGGTGATGCAGCTGCCCCGTCAGTCTTTCTGAATATGGAACATAGCTTTATGACCTGAAAAGCTGAAAAGATGGGTGTTCCCTATGACAGGATCAGTGCCACGTTTGTCTATCTCCTCAGGACAGTACCTGGCGGAGGAGAGTGGCTCAGCACACAGGTGCTAGCTCTCCTTCAGCTCAGCCAGATATAGGAGGACCTGCATCCACTAGCTCCTGCTTTTCTCTGAATCTTCTATCAAAAGCCGTGGAGTAGGCTAAGAAATGTAGTGCTATTTGTAGGCCGGGCGCAGTGGCTCACACTTGTCATCCCAGCACTTTAGGAGGCTGAGGTGGGTGGATCACCTGAGATCAAGAGTTCGAGACCAGCCTGGCCAACATGGTGACACCCTGTCTCTACTAAAAATACAAAAAAAAATTAGGTGGGCGTGGCAGTGCACGCCTGTAGTCTCAGCTACTCAGGAGGCTGAGGCAGGAGAATTGCTTGAACCCGGGAGGCGGGGGTTGCAGTGAGCCGAGATCATGCCATTGCACTCCAGCCCAGGCAACAGAGCGAGATTCTGTTTCAAAAAAAAAAAAAGAAGAAGAAAGAAAGAAATGTAGTGCTGCTATTTGTAAATAATTCATTCATGTTCCAAGAAATAATAACATAAGCCCACAACATTAGATTTCTCTCTGAGTAGATTCTTGGTGGATCAGGCAGCATAGGTGTGGTTTGCCTGAAGGTGGAGTTGTGCAGATGGCCCCCAGGGCCCGGATGAGCCCTGCACTTGCAGCAGGACTGACTTAGGAACTTCCTGGCTGCAAGGCTTCCCAGTTTTTTTAACTTAGAACCAGCATTTGGTTATGTGGTAGACTTGAATTGTATAAGCATTTAATGTTTGAAAACTCAATCACATGTACTCACCAAAAAAAAAAAAAAAAAAAGGATGGGGAGAAAGAAAGCAAGAAGAGGGCTGGGCACAGTGGCTAATGCCTATAATCCCAGCACTTTGGGAGGCCAAGGAGGGCGGATCACCTGAGGTCAGGAGTTCAAGACCAACCTGGCCAACATGGTGAAACCCCGTCTTTACTAAAAATACAAAAATTACCTGGGTGTGGTGGCACATGCCTGTAATCCCAGCTACTTGGTTGGGAGGCTGAGGCACGAGAATCACTTGAACTTGGTAGGCAGAGGTTGCAGTGAGCTGAGATCCATGCCATTGCACTCCAGCCTGGGTGACAGAGCAAGACTCTGTCTCAAAAGAAAAAAAAAAAAAAGAAAGCAGGAAGAGAAGGGCTTGTTCCCCTTCTCCCCAAGCCCCTGGCTGCATTGCAGTCTGTATGCTACCAGCTGATGAGAGCCTCTTGCCATTCCGTAAAGCAAGCATCGTCCTAGGCTGCCTGGCAGTGGTTGGTGTGCTCAGCCCCGGGGGCTCCTACAGGGTGCTGAGTAGACATCACCCATTCTTTTGCCTGAAAAGGCCCCTGAACACTAACTCAGCTGAAGAAGCAAGTTCTGTTCCAAGGCTTGGGGACTGAAGGTTTGTCCAGGGCAACTTTTGTTCTTTATGCTTTGGGCCTCCCCACCTGCCTTTTGGACCCACCAGTCACCATCTAGCTTTTTGAGAACACCCGCCTCTCCACATCACTGACAGTGACTGATAGACAAGGCTGAGGCTGAGAGTGGCCTGAACATTGGTGCTGACTGACCTGCCGCCTGCCCTGGAAAGCCTTTCATTTGTTCAGAGACCCTACTGGTCCTGAGCCATTCTCCAGCAGCTCCTACCCAGACTAACTGGAAAATGCCGCTAGTTCCCTCTGAGGGTAAAAAGTCCAGGGCTTGGTGTGTATTCTCCCTGCTCCTGAATCTTGAGCACTGTGGGAGGCTGTGTTCACCTGCACCATTTGGGTGAGAAGCAGAACTGCTTCCCTTGCACGTCCCCTTCCCAGCCCCTCCAGGAAGGCTGCTGCACCGTGGTGGGATTCAGAGTGAATGGGCATCATGCCAGGTTCTGCACTGCTGGAGCCAGCCCTGCCTGGGCCTCCTGCCTCCAGCACAGCTCATGCCTCCCTCCTGGCTCGATCCAGTCCTCCCAGCACCGGCTAGCTGGCCAAAGTGGTGCAGGTCTCTAAGGTGTGTATTTGGGCTTCACTGGGAGGTTTCTCTCGGGGAGAAACCTGGCTTGAGTGGGATTGAGTCTCAAGAGTGTGAGGGAAACAGGAACAAGTCCATCCTGAGTCCAAGATGGCCTTGGGCCATCTGGTGTTCAGCAGATACTCATTGAGGGGTTGGGTGTGTGAACAGAGGGATGGCCTGGGGATCCTGGTCGCTGTGGATGGGCAGGTTTTCACTGACCTCCTGTGTTCCGCCTGCAAAATCATTAGCAAATCAATGTCAGTATCCGGCTGACCCCGAAATGAATCAGACAGCAGTGGGTGCAAGGAGGTCACAGGCAGAGGTGTGGGGACTCATGGCAGAGGCAGGACAGAGCTGGGCCCCAGGCGGGCTCTGGACTCTGGGCAAGCTGCTGTCACCTTGAACCGCAATTTCCTCTCCTTTCTTTTTTTTCCAGGTGGGGTCTCACTCTGTCATCCAGGCTAGAGTGCAGTGGCACGATCTTGGCTCACTGCAACCTCTGCCTTCCCAGGCTTAAGCAATCCTCGCACCTCAGCCTCCCAAGTAGCTGGGACCACAGACATGTGCCACCATGCCCACCTAATTTTTTTGTTTTTTGAGACGGAGTTTCGCTCTGTCGCCCAGGCTGGAGTGCAGTGGCACGATCTCGGCTCACTGCAGCCTCTGCCTCCCAGGTTCAAGCAATTCTCCCTGTCTCAACCTCCCGAGTAGCTGAGATTACAGGCACCCACCACCACACCTGGCTAATTTTTTGTATTTTTAGTAGAGACAGGGTTTCACCATGTTGGCCAGTCTGGTCCTGAACTCCTGACCTCAGGTGGTCCGCCTGCCTCCGCCTCCCAAAGTGCTGGGATTACAGGCGTGAGCCACCACGTACAGTCCCTGCTAACTTTTGTATTTTGGGTAGAGATGGGGTTTTATCATGTTGGCCAGGCTAGTCTTGAACTCCTGACCTCAAATGATCCACCTGCCTTGTCCTCCCAACGTGCTGGGATTACAAGTGTGAGCCACCATGCCCGGCCTTGGTTTCCTCTCCTTTCTAATGGGAGCAGCAACCCCCAAGCCCAACCCCCTGGAGGATGCACGGGGCATCCCGTCTAAATGTTGGCCATCTCCGGGCGGTGTGGTCATCCTAAGGCTGTGACACGTCTTGCTTGGGGGTGCTCTCTAGTCTTTGTTAGCTGCTGGTGGTGGGGCTTTTGCTTGTGTTGCCCCAGTTTGTGCCACAGGGAGGACAAATCCAGCATCTCTTGTTAAAGCACCACCTCGCTTAGTCCTTATCCTGCCCTGAACTTTAGATTTTGTTTATTTGAGTTATCTGGTTGATCTTGAAATGTCAGATTAAGACTCCTTTCCTGTTTCCTACACATCCTGAGAGAATGCAGCAAGTCCAGGGTTGGCAGCTTTGTGTTGGGGCAAGGGAGGTGAACAGGCAACCGGGACTCCCAGGCTGTTCCTCTGCACACGCACCTATCCCCTCAACGAGTATCTGCTGAACACTGGAGGGCTCGAGGCCATCTTGGACTCAGGGTGGACTTGTTCCTGTTTCCCTCTCGCTCTTTTTTTTTTTTTTTTTGAGACAGAGTCTCGCTCTGTTGCCCAGGCTGGAGTGCAGTGGCGCAATCTCGGCTCCCTGCAAGCTCTGCCTCCTGGGTTCACGTCATTCTCCTGCCTCAGCCTCCCGAGTAGCTGGGACTACAGGCTCCCAACACCACGCCTGGCTAATTTTTTGTATTTTTAGTAGAGATGGGGTTTCACCGTGTTAGCCAGGATGGTCTTGATCTCCTGACCTCGTGATCTGCTCGCCTCAGCCTCCCAAAGTGCTGGGATTACAGGTGTGAGCTACCGCACCCAGCCTCCCTGTCACTCTTAAGTTGAGACTCAATCTCACTGAAGCTGAGTTTCTCCCCTAGAAAGAACAGCCACCTCCCCAGCCTTCACTATGCCAGGGTAGGGGCAGTGAGCATCAGGCCAGGGGCACCAGGTGTTCAGTTATTAGGCTCTCTCCAGGTATGGTCTGTGTCCTGCAGGAAAAGCAGGTAGGTCAAGAGACTTCTCTTTTTGTTTGTTTGAGACAGAGTCTTACTCTGTTGCCTAGGCTGGAGTGCAGTGACACAATCTTGGCTGACTGCGACCTCCGCCTCCTGGGTTCAAGTGATTCTCCTGCCTCAGCCTCCCGAGTAGCTGGGATGACAGGCATCCACAGCCATGCCCGGCTAATGTTTGTGTTTTTAGTAGAGACGGGGTTTCACCATGTTGGCCAAGCTGGTCTCGAGCTCCTGACCTCAACTGATGCACCCGTCTTGGCCTCCCAAAGTGCTGGGATTACAGGTGTGAGCCACTGCGCCTGACCCAAGAGACCTTTTAATAATTACTTATTTAAGTGAAAATTTTGAATGCAGGTGTGCTGTCTGCCCAGGAGCCCGTGTATGACTGTGCATGGCGGCTGTCATCAGGTGGCATGCATTGAATGGGGATTATTGACTGTAAAGGAGAGTCATCAAGCTGACATGGCTGCTGCCTGTGTTACTTATCTGGAATTAATTGGGGTGCTTCATTTATTTTTTACAAGTCAGCAGTGGGCCGGGTGCAGTGGCTTACACCTGTAATCCTAGCACTTTGGGAGGACTGCTTGAGGCCAGGAATTTAAAACCAACCTGGCCAACATAGCAAGACCCCATCTCTAAAAATATTTGTTAAAGTCAACAGTAGGGGGTGCACACAGCAATGAATGGAAACACAGTGACTGCATTTGAGGATGTTGTTCAATATCAAATTTAGCCTCCCCCAATTGTGCTCTTCTTCCTAACTTCGCTCCTCTGCTCCCACTAAATTCCCTTTTTTTTTTTTTTTTTTTTTGAGATAGTGTCTCACCATGTTGCCCAGGCTGGAGTGCAATGGTCTGATTTTTGACTCACTGCAACCTCCGTCTCCTAGGTTCAAGCGATTCTCCTGCCTCAGTCTCCCAAGTAGCTGGGATTACAGGCCTGTGCCACCCCGCCCAGCTAATTTTTGTATGTTTAGTAGAGACGGTGTTTCACTGTGTTGGCCAGGCTGGTCTCTAACTCCTGACCTCAGGTGATCCACCCGCCTCAGCCTCCCAAAGTGCTGGGATTATAGGTGTGAGCCACTGAGCCCTGCTGCTCCCAGTAAATTCTGCTGGAAAGACCAGAGTGCTCTTTTGGCCAGTCGCTCAGCAGTGTCCTGGCCATCTACCCGAGGATCTCCCTGCTTCTGGACCTCTGCTTCCCTCCCACCACTGTCAGGGTGGAGCCCCCTCGTCACCAAGTTGCTGTACTGCAGTAGCTGCCTCCTGGCACCAGGTGTGCCCACCTCCCACCACGGCTACCAGAGCTGTCTTCCTCAAACCCAGCTCAGATGGTGTTGCCCTCCACGTTACATGGCTCCACGCTGCCACTAGAATACAGCTCCAGTCTTTGGTGTGGCACCCAGGGTCTCGCAGCCAGACCCGGCCTGCTGTTCCGAGGCCTCGTGCGTTGGGGACTCCAGCCACTCCTGGCCTTTGTGTTGGGGCCCTGGCTAACTTTCATATTTTGGGTAGAGATGGGGTTTCACCATGTTGGCCAGGCTGGTCTTGAACTCCTGCCCTTCCCTAATGTGTGGTGCATGTTCATGCCACCCATTTGCTTCTCTTCCTGGGGCCTAGCATTCCTTCCGTGGGCTGCTTTCCTTCAACTCTTCTTCCTTCAGGACTCAGTTGAGATCGCACCTCCCCACCAGACATTCTTCATTGACTGTCCCCATCATAGCACTGTGCTTCTACCTGTCATTTCAGAGCCAAGCACGGTGGCGCACACCTGTTGTCCTAGCTACTTGGGAGGCTGAGGCAGGAGGATTGCTTGAGCCTGGGAAGCTGAGCCTAATCTAGGCAACAGAGCAAGCTCCTGTTTCTTAAAAAAAAAAAAAATACACACATATATATATATATATATATATATGTAATTTTAGTTTGACTCACATTATTTTTGTTGAAAGTTTACACACGGAGTGTGTAGGGACTTTACAGGCAGAGACCAATTGCTTGGTGACAGTACGTACCCAACAGGATTTTTGTTTTAATTTGGGATGGGGTCTCACTATGTTGCCTAGGCTGGTCTCAAACTCCTGGGCTCCAGTGATGCTCCCACATCAGCCTCCCAAAGTGCGGGGATTACAACTGCATGCAGCTGCACCAGCAGGATTTAAAATGTCAGGGAAAGTCAGTACTGTTTGCAGCTCCATTTCTGAGTAACTCTGGGATGTGAGTTTTGATCCTATATTTGGCCATGTTACTGGTAGTCAAAGATAAAACTGCCTTCCATGCAAGTACAGGATGTCATCACACACAGTAGCCTGGTGGATGATGTGACTCCCACCCTCCCAGGAAAATTCTCATCTCTTGCTCTAAGTTGCCATCAGCCTTCCCAGGGCATGAGGCAGAAGATGTTAGGTTATAAAAACTTGTCGGCCAGGCATGGTGGCTCACACCTGTAATCCCAGCACTTTGAGAGGCCAAGGTGCGTAGATCACGAGATCAAGACTATCCTGGCCAACATGGTGAAACCCCGTCTCTACTAAAAATACAAAAATTAGCTGGGCATGGTGGCTTGCCTGTAGTCCCAGTTACTCTGGAGGCTGAGGCAAGGGAATCGCTTGAACCCGGGAGGTGGAGGTTACAAAGATCATGCCATTGTACTCCAGCCTGGGAACAGAGCGAGACTCCGTCTCAAAAAAGCAAACCAAAAAATCTTGTTAGAGATACATTTACATGTGTTCTCCCTTCAGCCCTGGTGTTTTCTTTACAAGTGTCTTCCTGGTTGTATGAGTAGCAAGCAGCCTTGGACAGCATGACCTCTGCTCCCTCGGGGACAGTGTTGACCTTGGGCAGCACTAACTCATTGTTAGGTCAGGACCATCATCAGTCTTCTCTAAAAGGCAAGCAGAAATTTTAATTTCAGACTGGGTGTGGTGGCTCACGCTTGTAATCCTAGCACTTTGGGAGGTTGAGGCAGGAGGATCACTTAAGGCCAGGAGTTTGAGACCAGCCTGACCAACATAGCAAAACCCTGTCTCTACTTAAAATACAAAAATTAGCTGGGTGTGGTGGTGGGCGCTGTAGTCTCAGCTACTCAGGAGGCTGAGGCACAAGAATCGCTTGAACCCGAGAGGCAGAGGCTCCAGTGAGCCAAGATTATGCCACTGCTGAGCCAAGATGGTGCCACTGCACTCCAGCCTGGGCGACAGAATGAGACTCTGTCTCAAAAAATACTACTAATAATAATCAATTAATTAAAAAACAAGGCCAGGTACAGTGGCTCATGCCTGTAATCTCAGCACGTTGGGAGGCCAAGGCAGGCAGATCACCTAAGGTCGGGAGTTTGAGACTAGCCTGGCCAACATGGTGAAGCCCCGTCTCTACTAACAATACAAAAATTAGCCAGGTGTGGTGGCACATGTCTGTAATCCCAGCTACTTGGGAGCCTGAGGCACAAGAATCCCTTGAACCTGGGAGGCAGAGGTTGTAGTGAGCCGAGATCACGCCACTACACTCCAGCCTGGGTGACAGAGCAAGACTCTGTCTCAAAAAAAAAAAATTAAATTTTAATTTCAAGGATGAGGATGACTTTAGCGAAGTATCAAATAATGAACATGATTTCTACCTTTAATTTTTTTTTTTTTTTGAGACGGAGTCTCGCTCTGTCGCCCAGGCTGGAGTGCAGTGGCACGATCTCCGCTCACTGCAAGCTCCACCTCCCAGCTTCACGCCATCCTCCTGCCTCAGCCTCCTGAGTAGCTGGGACTACAGGCACCCACTGCCATGCCCAGCTAATTTTTTTGTATTTTTAGTAGAGATGGGGCTTCACCGTGTTAGCCAGGATGGTCTCGATCTCCTGATCTTGTGATCCACCCGCCTCAGCCTCCCAAAGTGCTGGGATTACAGGTGTGAGCCACTGCGCCCAGCCTCAATTTTTTTTTTTTAAATACAGCTTCCCTCTTCTTTCTACCCCTATACAAATTACCAGAGCAATTACTGCTATAGGATTAAATTAAAGGAATTCTTAAATTAAATGGTTGGCTGCTGAACCAAGTTGTAGCAGTTGAATATGGAATTTTGTAGTGATTTATTATAATCCTAGTTTTTGGAAGAAAATTTGCATCACTTAGCAGATATTTAAGATGCTTGTAACATTTCATTTCCCAGTACACATAAATATGCATTATGTCAGGCATTGGAATGTTTAGCAAACTAATGAAATTTGTAATTTAATTTATCAGGTCACAGCATTTAATGAAGAACTATTCAGTGTCAGTTTATGCCGTTAGGTAACAAACAGGATTGTGTTACGCAGTAATTTATACAGAAAAGTATTTTATAAATAAAATGTCAAATAAATGCCACTTTTTGTTTTAAAATGATATGTTTAAGAAATAATCCTAAAGGGAAAATGTCTGCTTTGTCGAATAAAGTAATTAAAGCATTTTTTTAAAACAAGAGAAAAAAATAAGGACAAAGCAGGGACAGACAGGAAAATGTCAGTGTGTTTGCATCAGCCAGGCTGGGCTGTGCTTCGGTAGCAAGCCCCAGATATCAGCGACTTCACACAGTGAACCGTGGCCCCCGCTCCACGAAGCTGGCCCTGCATCTGTCCTCTTCTAGGGCAGTGGTCCTCCAGGTGGTGGCTTCCTGATCCTGCCTGCTTTGCTCTGCGGCTCCACCATCTCGGTTCCTTCTGCTCAGAGCCTGTTGCCAGTACTGGTCGTGGGTCCTGCCTAACTCTAAGGGAATGTGAGGGAGCCATGGAGTGCTTGGGGAGGGCTGTGGTCTCTGCCACCGCGTTCACCACATCCTGACCACTTCTTCCATGGAACAGGTTCACAAACCTCATTCATCCAGGCGGCCTGGGTGACACTCTGGGGTAAAAGTCTGCAGGAAAGCCCTCAGTTCAACTTTGTCATCTTTCACCTGTCTCTTCAATTCGGAATAAGCTGGTTTATGCACTGGAAGTACATCATCTAGTAGTCTTTTATATGTGTTCTGAAAGGTTGTTCACTGTGTAATGTGAACTCCGTGTTCTGTGAGCAGTGTTGTTGCTGCCAACTCTGAGATGCTGGCCTGGTGTGTTTTTGTCACCATGTGACTCTGTTAGCATGATCACTGCTGCCTGTAGTTTCTCTTAGAGGCAGGTTGAAGACTCTAATGTAAAATTGTCTTTTAATTAGCATTTGTTTCTCAGCTATTTCTAGAGTTACTGTTGAAGGTACTTTATTTTGACTGGTACAGATCTTTGCATATGTAATGTTAGAGTTCCAGGGAATTCTGTTTAAACTCCCCGGTAAAACATTCTGTACAAGATCAAGGAAGGAGAAAATACAGTTAATTTTTGGAATAGAGAAATTGTCATCTTTAGAAAATGCAAAGAGGAATAATGATAATTTTTTGTGTAGCAGTGAATGAATAGCTTTAAGTTGATGTCATAACTGAAGACACATGAGATTTTCACATGGCAGAGTCATGCCTCTGTGTTTTGCTACACTCCGTGGGCTGTCATCTGATACCAGTGACAACTGTGCAAGGGTGGTACCTCCCGATTCTGCACCCAGTGTGGGGCGTCCTCCACCTGCCCCTCTCCAGCAGCACCACCAGCTAATGGAGCTGCACACCTTTTATTCCCCGGTTGAAAGTCAAAATAACCCATCAAAATTAAAAACTTCTCATCCAAAAACACTATTAAGAAAATGAAAAAGCAAACCACAGACTAGATTTACAATGCACGTATCTGACAAAAGACTAGTACCTACAATGTGCAGAGAACTCCTCTAACTCAGCAGTCAGGAGAAAGTTCATTTTAAAATGAGCAAGACTTGAACAGGCACTTCACAAAAGAAGATATACAGATGTCCATAAGCATATTAAAAGATTCCCAGCATCATTCCTTAGCAGGAAATACAAATTAAAGCCACGACATGATACAACTTCACCTCTCCTAGAATGGCTGCCGTGGAAAAGGTTCAGGGGTGCGGGCAGCCAGAACCCGCAGACACGGCTGTGGGTGTGGAGCACAGGATCTCCATTGGGGAAACTGGCGGTTTCTTTAAAAATGAAACAGGCCGGGCGCAGTGGCTCACACCTGTAATCCCAGCACTTTGGGAGGCCGAGACGGATCACCTGAGGTCAGGAGTTCAAGACCAGCTTGGCCAACATGGCAAAACCCTGTCTCTACTAAAAATACAAAAATTAGCTGGACGTGGTGGCAGGTGCCTGTAATCCCAGCTACTTGGGAGGCTGAGGCAGGAGAATGGCGTGAACCCGGGAGGCGGAGCTTGCAGTGAGCCGAGATCCCGCCACTGCACTCCAGCCTGGGCGACAGAGCGAGACTCCGTCTCAAAAAAAAAAAAAAAAAAAAAAAGAAAAAAACAAAAAAACAGGAGGCAGAGGTTGCAGTGAGCCAAGATCACGCCACTGCACTCCAGCCTGGGCAACAGAACGAGATTCTGTCTCAAAAAAAATAAAAAAGCAGTCAGTTCAGCAGTTACCTCAGGGTAGAGGGCATTGGCCAGAAGGGAGTTGAGGGAACTTTTTGGGGTGACTAAGTTGTTTAAAACCAATTGGGACAGGCGTAGTGGCTCACACCTGTAATCCCAGCACTTCGGGAGGCTGAGGTGGGTGGATCACTTGAGGTCAGGAGTTCGAGACCAGCCTGGCCGACATGATTAAACTCCATCTCTACTAAAAATACAAAAATTAGCTGGGCGTGGTGGCACGCGCCTGTAATCCCAGCTACTCAGGAGGCTGAGGCACGAGAATCACTTGAACCCAGGAGGCAGAGGTTGCAGTGAGCCAAGATTGCACCCCTGTACACCAGCCTGGATGACAGAGCAAGACTCCATCTCAAAAACAAACAGAACAAAAAACAAAAACAAACAATTCAACTTAGCCCTGAAGATCTGTGCATTGTGCTGTAGGTAAAGTCTCAGAGGTCAGAGGTTGCTGATGCAGAGGACCCAGGCTGACCCAGGTCCAAACCTTAGATCCTCCTTTGCCTCCTGGCCTGGCCACCTCCTGCCGTGTGGCCCTCAGCAGATCTCTTTCTGGCTGAGTCCCGACGGTCTCATGGGTGAAGTGGGATGATACTAATCGTGTATCATTGTTGTGGGTTTGAGATGAGTATATGAAGACCTGGCTGACAGCCTGTCCACAGCAGCTGCTCAGGAACTGTTGACTGCTGTTCTTTTAGCCAGACTATTATCAAATGTAATTTCTATTTTTAAAAAACTCTTCCCATTTCCTTTCCTCTTGCAATCAGTCTCAATAGCAGTAAGAAATAAATAAAAATGAAGATTCTTTGGGAGACTTAGTTTTGTTTTTTTTTGTTTTTTTGAGATGGGGCCTCGCTCTGTTGCCCAGGCTGGAGTGCAGTGGCACCATCACAGGTCACTGCAACCTCGACTTCCTGGGCCCAACCGATCTCAGCCTCCCGAGTAGCTGGGACTACAGGTGTGTGCCACCACACCCAACTAATTTCTGTGTATTTTGTAGAGACAGGATCTCACTATGCTGCCCAAACTGGTCTTGAACTTCTGGGCTCAACCGATCCACCCGCCATGGCCTCTGAAAGTGCTAAGATTACAGGTGTGTGCCACTGTGCCCAGTCAGTTTAATTCTAATTAAGATCAAGATTATCTGTAAATACGAGTTCCCTCTCTCCAAATCTAGAATTTGCTGGCATTAGTCACATGTCTGAGGAAGCTGACGATGGGACCCACATTGAGATACTAATCCCAGGGCTCGGTGGTTCAGGGCACTGTACTGACAGCATCTTGACTGCTTTGCCTGTTGCCTGGAAGGGGTGCCGTGTGGCGCCTGGCAGGTGGCAGAGTGGCCAGAGGCCATTATTACTCTCTTGAGTTACGGTGTTCTCAAGCCCAGCTGAGTCCACACAGCCGATGTGGATGGACTAGGACAGATCCGATGACTTAGTGTCCAAGTTCAATTGCAAATGCAGCCTCATTTCTTTCTTTGAAGTAGAAAATCAAAGTTCATAGATTAGATGAAAGAATAGTCATTGTACAAAAGTAATTATAGTGTGTGTACTTTTCTTTATCTACAGGAGCTGTAAAATTGACAAGCTTGGCATGTGGAAATCAGCACATCTGGGCCTGTGATTCCAGGGGTGGAGTTTACTTCCGTGTAGGGACTCAGCCTCTCAATCCCAGTCTCATGCTTCCAGCCTGGATAATGATTGAGCCACCTGTCCAGGTAAGCAGAAGTTAGCTGGTGGAACTCACTCTTCAGTAAGACAGAAACTGTGAGGATGCTGGTACTGGGAAAAAGGATCTGCACAGCCTCTAGAGGCCTCCCAGCAAATGCGGGGAGCCATGCCCCCAGGGTCTACACACTCTCGTTCATCAACATCACAACTGGAATTCGGGATTTGTGAAGTTTAGAGCTGAACAGACTGTTACAGATTATGAGTCAACACGTATATTTTCTCTTTCAAAATAATAATATTTCGTTTTTGACTTTTTACTAAGTGAATATTATTTTTTAAATCTGCCTATATATTGGAACCTCTATTTTATAATAATAATGATAATAAATCAGTACCCAGAAGTATAAAGAAGGTAAAAGTTACTTTGAATCTTGTCATGGAGAAAATGCTGAGTGCCTCTCCTGGTTTGTTGAAGAAATTCCGTTTCCTGTCCAGCCCACTGCTGGCCAGCTCCTGCCATGTTTCAGCTGACCGTGCATCCCAACACAGAGTCTGTGTTCTCCTGACCTCCAGCACTCAGCTCACAAGGAGAAGTCTGATTTGAATGTACTATCTAGTTACCCTTAAAGATCCCACAGGCTTGGTTCCTGTGCTGAATAGATTTCTGTTGAAGTTTATAACTGGGGGCTGTGGTTTTTTGAGACTTATTTGCCCAGACTCCTGCCAGCCCCCATTTGGTGACTCTGTTGGGAAACAGGTGAAGTTGCCAATTGTGGAGGCAGCAGTGGGGCAGGGGGGATGGTTCGTTGTTGGGCAGAGAAACCTTCAGTGGAGTCAGGAAAGAGGTAAAGAGTAGGGTAAATGCCTTTGTGCATAACTGTCTACATTTTGGTCATGGTGAGGCCTCAGGGATGAGGACACCAGTGGTGTCCACCAGCCCTGGGGAGTGTGGTGGTGGGAGAACCTTTACTGAAATCAGCATTCGGCTCCAGAGCTCTGTGGAGGCCACCACTAGCGGTCATGGCCACAGGGAGGCTTCTCGTCCTCCTTGGTGGGTCTTCCTCCTCCAGAGGGTGATGGGGATGATATTGTCTATGACAACACTTTGTGAATGATACGGCACTGTCAAACATGAGGTTGTACATAATGAATTATAACACATGCTCTGTTTTCCCTCTGCACACGGTGACGTACTCATAGTGGCACAGAGGGAGAGTCCACCCTGCAGAGAGGAGCCTTCCTCACTGCCATGTTTAGCACTGCTGGGGCACAGTGATTATGAAAAGCAAGCCGCCTGTCGTTAGTTTCATTATTGTCCTTAAATTCTCTGGTTGCCCGCACCCAGGTGGACTCCTTTGACACACCACTGTCAATACGTTCCTTTTTTTCCTTCTAACAACTTTATATTTTTCCTTTTAAGTTACAACCCGCATAACATAAAATTTCAGCCTTCTACAGTGTGCAGCTCAGTGGCTTTAGCATCAGTTAGCAGCAGTTAGCACCATCCAATTCCAGAGGGTTCCCATCACTCCAAAACAGAGAGAACACCCTTACCCATTAGCAGTCACTTCCTGTTCTCACAGAACCAGCCCCTCCGCCCATGGCAGCCACTCATCTGCTTTCTGTTTCTATGGCTTTGCCTATTCTGGACATTTTATATAAATTGGATCATATAATATGTGGCCTTTTTTATCTGACATCTTTCACTTTGTATCATGTTTCGGAGTTCATCCACGTTGTAGGTGTATCAGTTCTTAATTCCTTTTTATGACTACATCACAGCTCTGTTGTATGGATAGGCCACATTGGTTTATCATTTCACCAGTGGATGGACATTTGGATTGTTTCTGCTTATTGGCTACTGTGAATAATGCTGCTGTCAACATATGTGTGCAAGTCTTTAGGGAGGATGTATGTTCCCAGTTCTATTGGGTATCTGTCTGTAAGTGGAATTGCAGGTCATGTGGCGATTCTGTGTTGAACTTTTTAAGGATGTCAAAGTGTTTTTCACAGTGGCTGCACCATTTGTGTTCCACCAGCAAGATATGAGAGTTCTAGTTTTTCCCATCCTCACCAATTTTTTTTTTTTTTTTTTTTTTGAGCCAGAGTTTCGCTCTTATTGCCTAGTCTGGAGTGCAATGGCGCCATCTTGGCTCACTACAACCTCCGCCTACCGGGTTCAAGCAATTATCCTGCCTCAGCCTCCTGAGTAGCTGAGATTACAGGCATGCACCACCATGCCCAGGTGATTTTTGTATTTTTAGGAGAGACGGGGTTTCACCATATTGGTCAGGCTGGTCTCGAACTCCTGACCTCAGGTAATCCACCCTCCCCCGGCCTCCCAAAGTGCTGGGATTACAGGCATGAGCCACTGCGCCTGGCCTTTCCAATTTTTTGTTGTTATTTTATTTTTCTGGTCTCAGAAACTGCCTCATATGTCTAATTTTTTAATACTAGTCATCATAGTAGTTGGAAAGTGGTATCTCATTGTGGGTTTGATTTGCATTGACCTAACAACTAATGATATTGAACATCCCTCTTTTCATGTGTTTATTGGTTATTTGTGTATCTTCTTTCAAGAACTGTGTGTTCCTTTTTTCTTTTTTTTTTTTATGATGGAGTCTCACTCTGTTGCCCAGGCTGGAGTGCAGTGGCGCAATCTCTGCTCACTGCAATCTCTGCCTCCTGGGTTCAAGCGATTCTCTTGCCTCAGCCTGCTGAGTAGCTGGGATTACAGACATGTGCCTCCACGCCTGGCTATTTTTTTTTTTCCATATTTTTTTAGTAGAGGCAGGGTTTCACCATGTTGGCCAGGCTGGTCTCAAACTCCTGGCCTCAGGTGATCCGCCCACCTCGGCCTCCCAAAGTGCTTGGATTACAGGCGTGTGCCACCACGCCCAGCCTCAAATCTTTTGCTCATTTTTAAATTGTGTTATCTTTTACTGAGTTTGTTTGTTTGTTTTGAGATGGAGTCTTGCTCTGTCGCCCAGGCTGGAGTGCAGTGGCATGATCTCAGCTCACTGCAACTTCTGCCTCCTGGATTCAAGTGATTCTACTGCCTCAGTCTCCTGAGTAGCTAGGATTACAGGCATGCACCGCCATGCCTGGCTAATTTTTGTATTTTTAGTAGAGATGGGGGTTTCACCATGTTGGCCAGGCTGGTCTTGAACTCCTGACCTTGTGATCCGCCTACCTGGGTCTCCCAAAGTGCTGAGATTACAGGTGTGAGCCACCGTGCCCAGCCTGTTGAGTTTTATATATGAGTTCTTTATGTATTCTGGGTACTAGACCTTTATCAGACACATGATTTACAAGTATTTTCTTCCATTCTGTGCATTGTCTTTTACTTTTTTATGATGTTCTTTGATGCACAAATATTTTTATTTTGATGAAGTCCAGTTTATTAATTTTTTCTTCATTTGCTTCTGCTTTTAGTTGCCTAATCCAAGGTCACAAAGATTTACCTCTATGTTTTCTTCTAGCAGTTTTGTAGTTTTAGCTCTTACATTAAGTGCTTCATCCATTTTGAGTTGATTTTTGAATATGGTATGAGATAGGTGTCCAAATGCATTCTTTTACATGTGGGTATCGAATTGTACCAGCACCATTTATTGAAAAGACTATTCTGTCCACATTAAATTATTTCAACACCCTTGTCAAAATCAATTGATTGTAAATATAAAGGTTTGCTACTGGACTCTTAGTTATATCCCAGTGATCTGTGTATCTATCCTTAAACTACACTGTCCTGATTACTTAGCTTTGTCGTAAATTTTGAAATCAGGAAGTATGAATCCTCTAACTTTTTCTTTTTCAAGATTTTTTCAGCTACATGGAGCCCCTCCTACATCCATGTGAATTTTGGGATAAGTATGTCAATTTCTGCAAAAAAAAATACTAACTGGAATTTTGAAAGGAATTGTGTCGAATCAGTAGATAAATTTGGAAAATCTTCCAGTCTGTGAACATGGGATGTCTTCCCATTTATTTAGATCTTCTTTACTTTCCTTCACCAATGTTTTGTAGTTTTCAGAGTATATGTTTTATACTGCTTTTGTTAGGTTTATTTCTAAGTTCTGTATTCCCTTTGATACTATTGTAAATGGAGCTGTTTTCTTCATTTTCAGATTGCCCATTGCTAGTATAGATTTTTGTATATTGATCTTGTGTCTGGCAACCTTGCTAAACTTGTTTATTGGGTCTAACAGGTTTTTGTAGATTCTTTTGCATTTTCTATAGATGAGATCATGGCTTCTGACATGGTCTGCCAATAGAGATAATTTTACTTCTTCCTTTCTATCTGTATGTCTTTTATTTTACTGTCTTGCCTGATTGCCCTGGCTGGAACTTCTAGTAAAATGTTGAGTAGAAGTGGCGAGAATGGGCCTCCTAGTCTTGTTTCTGATCTTAAGGGGAAGGCATTCAGTCTTTTACCATTAAATATGATGTGAGCTTTGTGTTTTCTTAGGCTCCCTTTATTAGGTTGAACTTCCCTTCTACTCCTAGAAGGAATTCTAGGAGTTCTTTCTGTTCCTAGTTTGTTCAGTGTTTGTTATGATGAAAGGGTGTTGGGTTTTGTCAAATGCTTTTTCTATGCCTATTGAGATGGTCATCTGGTTTTTTTCCTTTATTAATATGATATATTATACTGATGGAGTTTTATATGTTGAAACACAGTTTCATTCCTGGGTTAAATCCCAGTTGGTCATGATGTGAAATCCTTTGTATGTATATGTTGCTGGATTTGGTTTGCTAAAGTTTTGTTGAGGATTTTTGTGTCTATATTCATGAGAGATATTGGTCTTTGGTTTTCTTGCCATGTGTTTGTCTGGATTTGGTATCAAGGTAATGCTGCTGGCCTCATAGAATGCACTGGGAAGTGTTTTCTTCTTTTCTACTTTTTGGAAGAGTTTTTGAAAGATTGGTTTTATTTTTTACACCCCATTTGTTAGAATTCGTCATCCCATCCATGAATTCATGTAGCCATGTAGGCCTGAACTTTTTTTGTGGGAAGTTTTTTTGACTACTGGTTCAATCTCTTTATTCATTATAGGTCTATTCAGAATTTTTTTTTTTTTTTTCTGACATGGAGTCTCGCTCTGTCACCCAGGCTAGAGGATGTTGGCGCGATCTCGGCCCACTGCAACCTCCGTCTCCTGGGTTCTTGCAATTCTCCTGCCTTGGCCTCCCTAGTAGCTGGGACTACAGGCATGTACCACCACACGCAGCTAATTTTTCTATTTTTAGTAGAGACGAGGTTTCACCATGTTGGCCAGGCTTGTCTTGAACTCCTGACCTCAAATGATCCACCCTCCACAGCCTCCCAAAGTGCTAGGATTACAGGCATGAGCCACTGCACCCAGCCTATTCAGAATTTTCTATTTCTTCTTCTTCTTCTTTTTTTTTTTTTTTTTGAGATGGAGTTTTGCTCTTGTTGCCCAGACTGGAGGGCAATGGCACAATCTCAGCTCACTGAAACCTCCACCTCCCAGGTTCAAGCAATTCTCCTGCCTCAGCCTCCCAAGTAACTGGGGTTACAGGCGTGCACCACCATGCCCGGCTAATTTTGTTTCTTGTGTTTTTTTTTTTTTTTTGAGACGGAGTCTCGCTCTGTCGCCCAGGCTGGAGTGCAGTGGCACGATCTCAGCTCACTGCAGCCTCCGCCTCCTGGGTTCAAGCAGTTCTCCTGCCTCAGCCTCACGAGTAGCTGGGATTACAGGCATGCACCGCCACACCCAGCTAATTTTTGTATTTTTAGTAGAGATGGGGTTTCACTATGTTGAATAGGATGGTTTTGATCTCCTGACCTCATGATCCACCTGCCTCGGCCTCCCAAAGTGCTGGGATTACAGACGTGAGTCACTGTGCCCAGCCTAATTTTATATTTTTAGTAGAGATAGGGTTTCACTATGTTGGCCAGGCTGGTCTCGAACTCCTGACCTCAAGTGATCTTCCCACCTCGGCCTCCCAAAGTGCTGGGATTACAGGTGTGAGCCACTGCACCCTGCCTCTCTTTCTTCTTGAGTCAATCTAAGTAGTTTATTCTTTCTAGGAATTTGTTCATTTCATCTATTTTATCTAATTTGTTGGCATCCAATTGTTCACAGTATTCTTCTGTAATACTTTTTATTTCTGTGAAATTGGTAGTAATGTCTCCTCTTTCTGATTTTATAATTTGAATTGGCTGGGCACAGTGGCTCATGTCTGTAATCCCACTTTGGAAGGTTGAGGCAGGAAGACCACTTGAGCCTAGGAGTTCAAGACCAGCCTGGGCAACATAGCAAGACATCATCTCTACCAAAAAAAAAAAAATTACCTGGACCTGATAGTGCACCTGTAGTCCCAGCTACTCAGAAGACTCAGGTAGGAGAATTGCTTGAGCCCAGGAGTTCAAGGCTGTAGTGAGCTATGATTGCCAGTTTTATTGCCAATTGCCACTATACTCCAGCCTGGGCAACAGAGCACAACGCTAATAATAATAATAATAATAATTTGAATCTTCTCTCATTTTTTCTTAGTCTAGCTAAAGGTTTGTCAATTTTGTTGCTCTTTTCAAAACACCTCCTTTTGGTTTTCTTGCTTTTTCTGTGTTGTTTTTCTATCCTCTATTTCTTCTATTTCCACTCTGTTACTTCCTCCACACATTCTTGTGCACAGTGCTTTGCTTGATAGTGATATTCCTCTGGTAGCTCCAAGGAATATTTGTCACAATTATCACGTACATGTGGAAGACCTGTGGTAACATTGGACTGTAAAGTTTGTAGGATCCCAGTGCAGAGGCAGGCTGCTGAGTGCAAGAGCGAGATTTGCAGGATGTGTTGTAGAAAGAACGTCCTTGAGTGGGTTGAGCGCCCATGTGCCTTGCCTCCTCCTTTTCCCAGCAAGCCAGAGGCCAGGATGCTGGAGAGTAGGGCAAGCAGGAAGCTGCCGATCTCAGTCCTCAGTGGGGCTGGAGCCACCCTTGCCTCTGCTGTGTGCACCTCTCTGCAGCCATGGGGCCACACAGGTACCTGGCAAAAGGGTTACATGGAGAACGGTGTGCAACCACAATTTCCTGTTCCTGTCTCCATGTAGACTCTAGAATAACCTCTAGGAAGCAAAGCTAAAATGGGGAAGAGAGCTTTGCTTAAAGTGCTCTATTGACTGTGGTGATCAACAGCTTTGCCAGGAAAATGGCCAAAATAGAACAAATTCACATGAAAGGACCTCAAAGCTCTGCTCTGAATAAAGTAGTGATTGCTAAATGGGATGTTAAGCATGAACTATTTCAAGTAGTTCTGCTGAATAGAGCCACATTTTCTCATTGAGTTAGCTTTTAGCATGCTATGGAAGACATTCAGTTTGCCATGGATTCTGTAGATACAAAATGCTTTTCAAGTTGGTTTCTGTGGGAAAGAAATCAGGCTTCACATGTACACAGGCCTTTCTACTGCACTTTGCCAAGCACTGCCTTATCCTTAACCCTTTTATTGCCCCAGGAAATAGAAAAGTCCGTAGTTCCCCCTACTTTACGAGGAAATCTGTTACCCAGAACAGTTGAGCAATTTGCCCAGGATCCCAACTCTGGTGTGTGCCAAGCCCAGGCAGGGACCCAGGCCCCCAGCTCCCAGGTGCTGCCCCTGCCGAGGCTCCCCTGGGCTGAGGAAGGCGCTTCTCCCGGGCTGCTGGCACTGACGATTGTTTGCTGAGATCAGAAGTGAAGACAAGCTCTGCTGCCAGGCGCTCGCCTTGTGCCAGGCTAATGCCTGAAGCACATCTTTCCCTCAGTCCTCACAACAACCTGGGAAGTGACTGCGTCTTTCCCCATTTGACAGAGGAGAAAACCCTAGCTCAGAGGTTCAGAAAGTTGCCTGAGGCCTCATAGCGGGCAGGCGGCAGGGGTGGGACATAGACCCAGGTGTGTGACACCCGCCTCTGCCTCTCCTGTGGCTCTGAGGTCCAAGGCCTGGGCCAGGACCAACTGCAGGATGGCAGCAAGCACCAGGTTGTGGCGACATGTCATAGGCTTAGTGGCCTCACACGTCGTATTTTAGGACAAAGCCTACACATGCGAATCTTTAAATCGCAGAGGGTCCTGCAAATGAGCCCAGGAGTGAGGGGAGATGGGGGTTCACTCTGAGGACTGGAACGTCAGAAGAGTTGGTTGAATCTGAGGATTGGAGAACAAGCGGGGTTTATGTATTTTGATTATGTTCTACATCTTTCCACTTTGTTTTATTTGTTCTTCGACTTGAGCTTCTTCATCTGCGTAGAGGATGTATTTGCAGTGGAAAAGGAAATGGAGGCAGGGGATAGATGCTCAAGGGCACATGAAGTGAAGCCACAGAAATCTTTTAAAATTAGCATCAGCTTCTCTATTTAGTTCTGTTGTCCTATTCTCTTCTCTGGGAAGATACCCCTCCTGTAGTAGTTTTGCGGTAAAGTTTTAACAAAGTACTCAAAACAAATGACTCAGTTTTCAGATTTGCTAACACTTGCAAGGGTTTGGAGAAAATATTTATAGTTGTGTTTAGCATCTTCATAGTCTGGAGTTTGCTGTTTGAGTTAGAGAATTTTCTGTCTGTGTTAGAGGTACCTCTAACGCAAGCATAGTTGGTGTGAAGTTTCACATTCTGTGTGCCCCATGTGCTTGAGTAGAAGAGGTGTCTGTTCTTACTGTGCTTACAGTGGACTCTGAAATGGTGTCTATGGTGTGGTTCCAGTTTTGTAAAACAAAACTATAAAATCCCACTAGGCTGGGTGCAGTGGCTCATGCCTATAATCCCAGCACTTTGGGAGGCCAAAGTGGGAGGATCACTTGAACCCAGGAGTTCAAAATCAGCCTAGGCAGCGTAGTGAGACCCCGTCTCTACAGGTAATTTTTTAAATTAGCCAGGTGTGTTGGCGTGCACCTGTGGTCCCAGCTACTCCAGCTACTCAGGAGGCTGAGGTGGGAGGATCACTTGAGCCCAGGAGGTCAAGGCTGCAGTGAGCCATGTTTGTACCACTGCACTCCAGACTGGGCAACAGAGCAAGACCCTGTCTTAATCAATTAATAAAAATAAAAAATAATTTCTCACTGAAAACCTAGAAGAAACTACAACAAAGGTGACTGTTATGGGGCCGGGCACGGTGGCTCATGCCTGTAATGCCAGCACTTTGGGAGGCCCATGTGGGCAGATCACCTGAGGTCGGGAGTTCAAGACCAGCCTGACCAATATGGAGAAACCCCGTCTCTACTAAAAATACAAAATTAGCTGGGTGTGGTGGTGCATGCCTGTAATCCCAGCTACTCAGGAGGCTGAGGCAGGAGAATTGCTTAAACCCGGGAGGCGGAGGTTGTGATGAGCCGAGATCGCGCCATTGCACTCTAGCCTGGACAACAAGAGCGAAACTCCATCTCAAAAAAAAGACTATTTTGATCCAGGGATTATAAGTGATTAAAATTTACCATGTTTTCCCATAATGGGTAGGAAAACTTTTTCATGATCAGGGAGAAAAATAGGTATATTTTACAAGGGACCCATCTTTTGTGGGTCAGTGAGCAACCTTTCTTCTCCGAGGCACGTCTCTGACCTACCCAGCCCATATAAATCTGAACCCCAGTAGGTTGTCCCCCCTTCCCCCTGCCCCACACAAAGATTTTAGAGCTAGAAGGAGACTGGAAAACACATAACCTTGCCACTTCCTTCTGCAGATGAGGAAAGCAAGGCCTGGCAAAAGCAAGGTTCCTGGTCTCAGGGTAGTCAGTGGTTGTGCCGGGCCTCCTCAGCCCCTCATCCTCAAGGCCCACAACAGAGCAGCGGCAAGAACAGTCCCATCCAGGGACACTCACAGGCTACCGTAGAGACACACGCAAACCACTGGCGCCTGTGCTTCCAGAGCTGTGGGCAGAGTGCCATGGAGCCAGCTGGAGAGGGAAGTGCTGTCAGGGCCTTGGAGTGGTCAGAGGATCTCACAAGAGGTGGCACTGGTACAAGAAAGGCAAGTAGGAGTGTAGCAGGCAGGCAGGACAGAGGGTGTTCTAAGCAGAGGGGACATGAAGTATAGGCACTGAGCAGAAGGCACCCTTGCCCAGGGTGCAGAAAGGGGCTGTATTGGGAGACTGGCACAGGCCGGGGCAGGGAGGGCTGGGCTAAGGCATTGGCATCATTCTTGAAGAGTTTGAAGCCAGGCAGGTGGCCTGGTCAGACCATGTTTGAGGAAGGAGCCTGTGTCACAATTCCCTGTGACCAGTCAGAGGGTCTTCTGCTGGACAGATCACATGCACCCATAAGTAGGTCAGATGCCCAGGAGTGTTTTGCCTCAGATATGGAGCAAAATTAGCCTGACAGTAAATGCAGCTCTGGTCCTACCTACTGGAGCTTAAAGCAAGACTCCGAAGAATCAAACTGTTTCAGAGTAACTTACCAGCATCTTAGAACAAAGCTCAAGAATATTTACAGATTGCAAAAATATCCAACATCAGCAAGATAAAATTCACATGGGCAACCAATTAACATTTACCCAACAAGCAGAGAAGCAGGAAAATACGACCTGCAATGAAAGGGGAAGAAATCCGTCAATAGGAGCTGACCCAGAAATGATACAGATGGTAAAATTCATAGACAGGACATTAAAACAGTTGTTACACCTTTATGTGTTCAAGAAGCTAGTAGAGAGATTCAGCCTGTTAAGTAGAAAATGAGAGATAGAAAAACTCCAGGCTAGGCCAGGCATGCAACGGCTCACACCTGTAATCCCAGCACATTGGGAGGCTGAGGTGGGCAGACCACCTGAGGTCAGGAGTTGCCTGGCCAACATGGCAAAACCTCATCTCTACTAAAAATACAAAAATTAGCCAAGCGTGGTGGCACACACCTGTAATCGTAGCTACTCAGGAGGCTGAGGCAGGAGAATCACTTGAACCTGGGAGGTGGAGGTTGCAGTGAGCAAAGATTGCACCACTGCACTCCAGCCTGGGCAACAGAGCGAGACTCTGTCTCAAAAAAAAAAAAAAAAAAAAAAAAACAATATCAAAAAACTCCAGGCTGGGTGTGGTGGCTCGTGCCTGCAATCCCAGAACTTTGGGACGCTGAGCTGGGAGAATTGCTTAAGCTCGGGAGTTCAAGATGAGCCTGGGCAAGATGGCAAGACCCTGCCTCTAAAAAAAAAAAAAAACAACAAAACAAAAAACAACAACTCAAATCAAATTTGTAGGGATTAAAATTGCAATGTCTGAGCTGAAAAATATCACTGGATGAGATTAATGGCAGCATAGAAATTGCAGAAGAAAAGACTAGTGAGCTTGAAGACACAGCAGTGAAAAACCATCCACACTGAAGCCCAGAGGGAAAACAGGCTGGAAAATGTTCAGAGAATCAGTGAGCACAGACCCCTTCAAGTGGCCTCACGTAAATGAAATCCAAGTCTTAAGAGGGAAGAAGGGTGACAGGAAAAAAAGATGTGAAGAAGAAATACAACTGAAAGTTGTCCAAATTTGATGAAATAATTATGCTGAGTCAAGAAGCCAAAGAATACATACTGTTATCATTTCATTTATATAAAATTTGGCCAGGTACAGTGGCTCATGCCTGTAATCCCAACACTTTGGGAGGCTGAGGCGAGCAGATTGCCTGAGCCCAGGAGTTCAAGACCAGCCTAAGCAACATGGCAAAACCCCGTCTGTACAAAAAATACAAAAATTAGCTGGGTGCCTGTAGTCCCAGCTGCTCAAGAAGCTGAGGTGGGAGGATCCCTTGAGCCCAGGAGGCAGAGGCTGCAGTGAGCCATGATGGCTGCCACCTCACTCCAGCCTGGGTGATAGAGCATGACCCTGTCTCAAAAACAAACTTATTTATATAAAATACTAGAAAATGCTAACACAGGCCAGGTGCTGTGGCTCATGCCTGTAATCCCAGCACTTTGGGAGGCCAGGGCGGGTGGATGACCTGAGGTCAGTAGTTCAAGACCAGCCTGGCCAACGTGGTGAAACCCCGTCTCTATTAAAACTACAAAAGTCAGCTGAGTGTGGTGGTGCACACCTGTAATCCCAGCTACTTGGGAAGCTGAAGCAGGAGAATTGCTTGAACCTGAGAGGCAGAGGTTGTGGTGAACCGTGATGACGCCATTGCACTCCAGCCTGGGCAACAGAGCGAGACTCCGTCTCAAAAAAAAAAAAAAGGAAAGAAAATGCTAACACAGATCAGTGCTTACTCAAGGCCTGGCAGAAATTTCAAAGGGGAGGTGTGGCAGTGGCTTCAAGAGTGTATGCATATGTCAAAGCTTACCCAATTATGTACTTTAAATGTGTGCATTTCATTGTATGTCAGCATACCCCTGTAGAGCTGGTTTTTTTTTTTTTTTTTGAGACAGAATCTTGCTCTGTAGCCCAGACTGGGGTACAGTGGTGCGATCTCGGCTCACTGCAAGCTCCGCCTCCTGGGTTCATACCATTCTCCTGCCTCAGCCTCCCAAGTAGCTGGGACTACAGGCGCCCGCCACCATGCCCGGCAAATTTTTTTTTTTTTTTTGTATTTTATGTTGATACAGGGTTTTACCACGTTAGCCAGGACATACAAAAAATTAGCCAGGCGTGGTGGCGGGCGCCTGTAGTCCCAGCTACTCAGGAGGCCGAGGCAGGAGAATGGTGTGAACCCAGGAGGCGGAACTTGCAGTGAGCCGAGATCGCACCACTGCACTCCAGCCTGGGTGACAGAGCGAGACTCCGTCTCAAAAAAAAAAAAAAAAAAAAAAAGAGTTAGCCAGGACGGTCTAGATCTCCTGGCCTCGTGATCTGCCCACCTCCCAAAGTGCTGGGATTACAGGCGTGAGCCACCGCACCCGGCCTGTTTTTGTTTTTTAGAGACAGAGTCTCACTCCATTGCCCATGCTGGAGTGCAGTGGAGTGATTGTGGCTCACTGTAACCTCAAACTCCTGGGTCAAGCCATCCTCCCACCTCAGCCTCCCAACTAGCTAGGACACTACAGGCATGCACCACCGCACCTAGCTAATTTTTAAAAAAATTTGTAGAGGCATAGTCTTGCTATGTTGCCCAGGCTGGTCTTGGACTCCTGGCCTCAAGCAAGCCTCCCACCTTAGCCTCCCAAAGTACTGGGATTACAGATGTGAGCCACCATGTCTGGCCTCTGTAGAGTTGTTTTAAATATTAAAGTGTACAAAAAAAAAATTTAAATGGGCCGGGTGTGGTGGCTCATGCCTATAATCCCAGCACTTTGGGAGGTCGAGGCGGGTAGATTGCTTGAGCTCAGGAGTTCAAGACCAGCCTGGGTATTATTGTGAAATCCCATCTCTATGAAAAATACAAAAGTTAGCCAGGTGTGGTGGCATGTGCCTGTAGTTCCAGCTACTGGGGAGGTTGAGGCTGCAGTGAGCTGTGATCATGTCAGTGCGCTCCAGCCTGGGTGACAGAATGAGACCCTGTCTCAAAAAAAAAAAAAAGTTTTAAATGAAGATTATAGGGTACCCTACATTGTGTTTGGTTTGCAGAGGGAACAGAAATGAGTGAAGCTGCCTAAGCATGGTGGCTCACACCTGTAATCCCAGCACTATGGGAGGCCGAGGCAGGTGGATCACCTGAGCTCAGGAGTTCAGGACCAGCCTGAGAAACATGGTAAAACCCCATCTCTACCAAAAATACAAAAAATTAGCTGGGCATGGTGGCACATGCCTGTAATTTCAGCTACTCGGGAGGCTGAGATGGGAGGATTGCTTGAGCCCAGGAGGCGGAGGTTGCAGTGGGCTGAGATCATGCCACTGCACTCCAGCCTGGGCGAAAGAGTAAGGCCCTGTCTCAAAAAAAAAAAAAAAAAGGAAAAAAAAAAGGAAATGATTGAAGCTGTTTTTGGAGTTAACTGACCAAAAGTTAAATGACTAAAAGAAGAGCGAGGCAGGAGGTTATAGAAGCAATCATGAAAAAAATACAGATCCCCAGGGTCCCAAACCTGGTTTCCGAGGATGGGTAGTGTTTGAACTTGGACTTGAGACTCAATGGGCATTTTCAGTGACCAGCAGGTAAAGAGGCTTGGCCTAGTGTTTCTGAGTAGGGAAGAGTGCTCCTCCCTGCTGCCTTGGGAGGACTGTCTGCTGCTGGACCACCCTGAGGACTGTGAGACATTAGCTCTGTGGGCTTCTAGGCTCCTGGCAGTGAACCTCTGGGAGTGAAGGATGCACAAAGGATGTTGTGGGAAAGAGAAGATCTGAGATGTCCTTTGGGTCATCTTTGGAGGATCTTGACTCTGAGGCTGGAGGGTTTGTGGCTAATTCCATGGGCAGTGGGGGCTGTTGGAGGCTCTTGAGCAGGGCCGGACAGGACCCAAATGGAGAAGGTCTGCAGTGAGCTGTGGAAATTCTTTGGCCTGATTCGCTGGATTTGTGGTGCACATCTGTGAGATGTGAGATTGGGATGGAGTGGACATGGGGACTCTGACATGGATTGTTTTGGGGCAGAAGAAGCCAATCCATGCTGGCGTCCCAGCCTGGGTCTGTAATCTCATTAATCTCCTTTTGGTGACTGGACCAGTTGCCTGTACAAGTGCCTCTTGGTCTCCTTGATCCAACCTCACTGAGCCAGCGTCGCTTGTATGCATGATACTGCAAGACTTCCTTCCCAGCTGGCCTGCACGCAGGTGCCTTGGAGAGGCATTGGGCAGATGGCATGTGGCCATTTCCAGCAGTGGGGCGCAGTGCTCAGGGAGACTGCAGCATCCTGGAGCCCTGCCAGCCAGGAGGGACTGTTCCCATTGCGGGCAGAATCTGTTACTTGCAATCAGAAGAACTTCAACTAATACTTGTTTTTTGCCTGTAGATTCAATTGACCTTGGGAATGTTGCTTAAACTCGCCTTTCACTTTCATTTTCCTATCAGTAAAGTGAAGGGTCATATCCACATTAGAGCCATCAGAGGAGCTTATTAAAAATGTCCAGGCCTCGGCCCTCCCTGGAGATATGAATTCAGCAGGTCTGGGGTGAGGCCCAGGCATCTTGGTTGGTTTTTTTTTTTTTTTTTTTATTGATTTATTTGAGACGGAGTCTTGCTCTGTCGCCCAGGCTGGAGTGCAGTGGCATGATCTCGGCTCACTGCAAGCTCCACCTCCCGGGTTCACGCCATTCTCCTGCCTCAGCCTCCCGAGTAGCTGGGACTACAGGCGCCCACCACCACACCTGGCTAATGTTTTGTGTTTTTAGTAGAGATGGGTTTTCACTGTGTTAGCCAGGATGGTCTCGATCTCCTGACCTTGTGATCCGCCTGCCTTGGCCTCCCAAAGTGCTGGGATTACAGGCGTGAGCCACCATGCCCGGCCTATTTTTTATTTTTGAGACAGAGTCTCAGTCTGTCATTCAAGCTGAAGTGCAGTGGTGCGATCATAGCTCACTATAACCACAAACCCCTGGGCTCAAACAATACTCCTGCCTCAGCCTCCAAAATGGCTAGGGGTATGCACCATCACACCTGGCTCATTTTTTAATTTTTATTTTGTAGAGATGAGGTCTTGCTGTGTTGTCCAGGCTGGTGTCAAACTACTGGTCTCAAGTGATCCTCCCACCCCTCAGCCTCCCAAAGTGCTGGGATTGCGGGCGTGTGCCACTGTGCCTGGCCAGTTTTGTTTTTTGGTTTTGGGTTTTTTTTTTTTTTTTTTTTTTTGAGATGGAGTCTTGCTCTGTCGCCCACTGGAGTTCAGTGGGGTGATCTTGGCTCACTGCAACCTCCGCCTCTTGGGTTCAAGTGATTCTCCTGCCTCAGCCTCCTGAGTAGCTGGGAGTACAGGCACCCGCCACCACGCCTGGCTAATTTTTTTTTTTTTTTTTTGAGACAGGGTCTCACTCTGTCACCCAGGCGCGTAGTGCAGTGGCACAATCTCAGCTCACTACAACCTCTGCCTCCTGGGTTCAAGTGGTCCTCCCACCTCAGCCTCTTGAGTAGCTGGGGCTACAGGTGAGTGCCACTATGTATTTGTATTTTTAGTAGAGACGGGGTTTCTCCATGTTGGCCAGGCTGGTCTCAAACTCCTGATCTCAGGTGATCTGCCCGCCTCGGCCTCCCAAAGTGCTGGGATTGCATGCGTGAGCCACTGTGCCCAGCCACACCCAGCTAATTTTTGTATTTTTAGTAGAGATGGGGTTTCACTGTGTTGGCCAGGCTGGTCTGGAACTCCTGACCTCAAGTGATCCACCTGTCTTGGCCTCCCAAAGTGTTGGGATTACAGATAGGAGCCACCACACCGAGCCTGGTTTTTATTTTTCATGAAAGTCATACATGAAATGCCAAGTGTGGTGGTATGTGCCTCTAGTCCCACCTACTCAGGAGGCTGGGTGGGAGGATCACTGGAGACCAGGATCATCCACCGCACTCCAGCCTGGGCAACAGAGTGAGCCTCCATCTGTAAAAGAAAGAAAACAGAGTCACATGTGAAAATCAGTAGGTTGACATGTCAGTGGGTTCTATAAGATGTGCTATAAGAAACATGTCTCTCCTGCCAATTTTGCCCTCTCTGGAGAGTTCCTTTCAGTTCTTTTCGCTGCCTGTCTCTGAATGCTGCTTCGGGAGCTGTGTTTGGTCCCCTGACTTCAGGTGTTTCTGGTTGACTCTCTGCGGGAAGAGAAGCATGCAGAGCTCTTGCATCCCCCGTCCCCCATTCCCCCAGCCACCCACCTCCCTTCCTACTTCCACCCTGCCAGAGCTGCAGTGCTTCCTGGGCACGGGCCTTGCTGTGAGGACAGAGGAGCTCTTCACAGCGGAGGCAGGGGATGAATCACACCTGCAGTTCCTTGTCTGTGTGACTCTTTGTTTTCCCTGGACTTGATAATCATCTTGTTTGCTCATCTAGTTTTTTTTCTTTTTTTTTTTGAGACAGAGCCTTGCTCTGTTGCCCAGGCTGGCGTGCAATGGTGCGATCAATCTCTGCTCACTGCAACCTCCAACTCCTGGGTCCAAGTGATTCTTCTGCCTCAGCCTCCCGAGTAGCTGGGCTTAACAGGCGTGTGCCACCACACCCAGCTAATTTTTTGTATTTTTAATAGAGACAGGGTTTCACCACATTGGCCAGCCTGGTCTCAAACTCCTGACCTCAGGTGAGCCACCTGCCTTGGCCTCCCAAAGTGCTGGGATTACAGGCATGAGCCACTACACCCAGCCTGCTCATCTAGTTTTCTAAGTGCAGTTCCACACATTCAATCCCAAACTCTCTGCCAGTTGTCTCACACATTAGGAATGTGTCCTCTCCATTTCTTCCCCCTGCAGAGATCTCTCCTGCACCCTCTTGGCCAGCTCCAGTCTGGCCTCGTTCCTCTCTCTACCCGGGACCCAGCTGTTGTCCTAGCGTCACCTTTGACCTCCCCTCATGTTAGAGCCCCTTTCTCCCGGATCCCGGGTCTTCCTCTCTCTGTGTCTGTGTTTGTTTGGGTGGAGTTTATCTTCCAGTCGGTTCCCAAGGAAGGGTTCATGGTTGGTGACTTTTTGGAGGTATTGCATGTCTGAAAAGTCTTTCATCTGTGTTCACCCTTGACCTTGCTGGATATAGCAGTCTAGGTTGGAAACCATTTTCCTTTAGGATTTTGAGGGTCTTTCTCCATTGTCTCTCGGCTTCCAGGATTGCTACTGAGAAGCCAGAAGCCTTTCTTTTTTTTTTTTTTTTTTTTTTTGAGACGGAGTCTCGCTCTGTCGCCCAGGCTGGAGTGCAGTGGCATGATCTCGGCTCACTGCAAGCTCTGCCTCCCAGGTTCACGCCATTCTCCTGCCTCAGCCTCCCGAGTAGCTGGGACTACAGGCGCCCGCTACCACGCCTGGCTAATTTTTTTTTTTTTTGTATTTTTAGTAGAGATGGGGTTTCACCGTGTTAGCCAGGATGGTCTCGATCTCCTGACCTTATGATCTGCCCGTCTCGGCCTCTCAAAGTGCTGGAATTACAGGCGTGAGCCACCTCGCCCGGCCCAGAAGCCGTTCTAACACCTGATCCTTGATACTTGACCTGTTTTTCTTTCTGAAAGTTTGTAAGGTCTCTTTGTTCCTAGTGTTATAAGAACAGATACATAGTGGTATGCCTTGGTGAGGGCTGTGTTCATCCTTGCAGCCAGGTGGTTGCAGCCTATGTGCTGGTGGGTGTCTGGGTCCTCTGCTGGGGTCCTCTTCTGCCCCGCCTCTCTTGTTTTCCTTTTTTTGTTGTTATGTTTTTGTGTGTTGTTGTTGTTGTTGTAGGGTTTTTTGTTGTTGTGGGGTTTTGTTTTGTTTTGTTTTGTTTTTGAGACGGTCTCTCACTCTGTCACCCAGGCTGGAGCACAATGGCGCAATCACAGCTCATTGTAGCTTTAAACTTCTGGGCTCAAGCAATCCTCCCACCACAGCCTCCCAAGTAGCTGGGACCACAGGCATATGCACCATGTTCAGCTAATTTTTTTATTATTTTTTGTAGAGATGGAGTCTCACTATATTGCCCAGGCTGCTTTTGAACTCCTGGGCTCCAGCAATCCTGCCACCTTGGCCTCCCAAAGTGCTGGATTCCAGGCATGAGCAACTGCACCTGGCACCCCTCCTGTTTTCTGTCTGCTCTGGCTGAAGGCCTCCTTTTCCTTTTCTTTTTTTTTTTTTTTTTTTTTGAGTTGGTGTTTTTGCCCTTGTTGCCCAGGCTGGAGTGCAGTGGCGCAATCTGGGCTCACTACAGCCTCTGCCCCCCGGGTTCAAGCGATTCTCCTGCCTCAGCCTCCCACGTAGCTGGGATTATAGGCACCTGCCACCATGCCTGGCTGATTCTTATATTTTCAGTAGAGACAAGGTTTCACCATGTTTGCCAGGCTGGTTTCGAACTCCTGACCTCAGGTGATCCACCTGCCTTGGCCTCCCAAAGTGCTGGGATTACAGGCATTAGCTACTGTGCCCAGCCTGGAGGCTTCCTTTTGTATTGTGGACTTTCTAAGCTGGCCTCCACTTTTCCTTTCTCTCCTGTTTCTGTCTTTTTATGCTTTTATCCTGCTTTCTAGAAGACATTCTCAACCTTATTTCTCCAACCCTCTGTCAGATTATTTCCATGATCACATGTTTAATTTCTGAAAGTTCCTGTTGTTGTTTGATGGCTGTAGAGTCAGTCTTCTCTCATCTCCCTAAGGATGTTTTGGAAGTTTCTTCTCCCTGCCTGGTCTTTGTATGTCCCAAGTTGTGTGTTTTCTGTCTAGTTCGCCTTTTACATGGCAGAGGCTTTCTTCAGATGTTGGCAGTCCCCTGGTTGGAAGAGTGAGGCCCAGCAAGGCTGACTGGAAGCCCTGAGCACATGCATGGAGCCTGTGGGCCCCGCGGGTCTCTGACAGCAATCTGGCTGGGCTGCTGGGTGGGGAGTCGTTGCTTTTAGCCTTCCAGGGCCCGCTGAGTCCTTGCCATGCATCCCCCACTTTCCAGCTTCCAGAATTGTATGGCTGCTTCCTCCCCTCATTCTCTCTGTCCTTAGGAGATTTGAACCTTTTTTCTTTGAGATGGAGTCTTGCTTTGTCACCCAGGCTGGAGTGCAGTGGCCCGATCTCAGCTCACTGCAGCCTCCCCCTCCTGTGTTCAAGCAATTCTCTGCCTCAGCCTCCCGAGTAGCTGGGATTACAGGCGCATGCCACCATGCCTGGCTAATTTTTGTATTTTTGGTAGAGACAGGGTTTCGCCATGTTAGTCAGGCTGGTCTCGAACTCCTGGCCTCAGGTGATCCGGTCTGCCTCGGCTTCCCAAAGTGCTGGGATTACAGGCGCGAGCCACTGCGCCCGCCCCGTTTTTCTTTGTTTAACCCATTCCCTCTCATGGTAGTGGTGCTTGAGAAGGGAGTGAAAGAGTAATTGTGTGCTCATTATCATCACTGCCCAGAAGCTTCTGGCTTCTTCAGCGCCCTGCAGGTGACTCTTGCACATACCCAGCGCTGAGCACCATGGTGCAGCTCATCCCCTTCACCTCCACGGTTCTGGTATCACAGTCTTCAGAGTATAGCCACTATTTTCCTCTAAGCCTCTGAACATCTTTGAGTGGTATTTAGGTGCTGGTGGGGCTGCCTGTTACACTGTAAGTTGTTCCGTCAGCACAACTATGCTGCCTGCAAATGAAGGTATGAAACCTCCCCAAACTGCTGTCTAATGGTGTGGGATGGAACCAGCTCCCTTTGAGAGAAACTAAATTGTTTTTTGCCACTTCCTTTAATTTTTTCCATGTTGCCTTTTTTTCCTATACCTCCATTTAAACATCTATTGTTTTTGAGCTCTCTTCTTCAAAACTTGCTTCTAGGAACTATTACCCCTCTTCACCATATTGAACTCTAAGTCTTTTCTCTCATTCTGGAAGGCCATGATACCTAGAAGTAGACCACAGGGTTCTAACGGGGTGCCCTGGGTCCTGCAGCAGTCCCCTCATCGTGCTTTAACAACTTATGACCCAGTAGTTTAAACAACGACCTAGGGAAGCTTGTCCCAGCCTGCCCTGCGTGTGCCCCCAGTAAAACCATGAGCGGCAGGAAGGGGAGCCCCTCGCGATGCTTGCCATGACCCTAGAGGAGCAGAGCCCAGAGATCATCTTTAGGGACCTCTCCCTCTGGGCTGCACTCATCCAGAAGGTGCTTCCCCGAGCCTGTCTGTAGAGTCAGCCACAGAGCAGGGCGATGAGCTATCAGAGACCAGGGTGTGTGCCACTGGGTCCAGCTTCTGCTCTTCTTGTCTCACAGCAATATTTGAGTCCTGGTGCTAGCCATGGCGCAGTCGTTGGGCTGGTATCAGTGACAAGGTCTGGAGGGTAGACAGGAAGAGTGGCCAGTTGGCTCCACCAGCCCCTGCTCAGGAAGGACAGAATGTGACAGGCACCCAGGAAACCTGCTTCTGAGCGTTTTCTTTAGCGCACCCCCTACAATTAGCAGATGCAGCTTCTTGCTGGATTCTGAGGTCACACCTCAGACCAGATGTAGAGGCCCAGCAGTAACTGGAGTCAGTGCAGAAGGACCCACCACGGAGAGGGAGAGGCCTCTGACAGGCCAGAAGAGAGCAGCAGTGGAGCCTGTTTCTGTCTGGAGCCCTGCTCTGCTGGGCCAGAAGTTTCCAAATGTTTTTTAGCAGTGGGACCCATTCTTCAAATTAAAAAAAAATTTTTTTGAGTTAGGCTCTTGTTCCGTCACCCACGCTGGAGTGCAGTGACACAATCTCAGTTCACTGTAACCTCAACCTCCTGGGCTCAAGTGATCCTCTTACCTCATCCTCCTGAGTACCTGGGACTACAGGTGTGTGTACAAAATACAAAAAACACTCCCAGCTGTCCAGCCTTAAATAAAATCTTGTACATAAGCCAGATGTGTTCAACAAGTAACAGCAAAACTGGTCCCATGAAACTGCCCCTTCCACAGGGGCCCTGAGGCACCTCTGCAAGGCCAGGGCCCCACAGGCGCTGCTGGAAAACTGCTGGTCTTCGGGCCAGTGAGGACAGAGAGAGAGCTCAGCACAGCAGGCCCCGGGCAGCCATACCCACCTCGTACCACGGTCAGAGTCTCGAGGAGCCTCAGAGATCATGGTCCCCGGCTCCTCCAGCTAAGGACACAGACCACGAAGAGGAGGTCCTCCTAGTGTGTCAGCCCTGGCTCTGAGAATTTACCTTTAATTTAATTCTAGACCTATTAACATGGGTATCGGGTTTTTAAGCCCATCTGAAATTGGGAAGAATAGACCAGAAGCAGGAAGAGGGTCTGCTACAGGGAAAAAAGAACTAGAAAGACCAAACAGAAGTCAGAAAGTACAGCTACCACGGGGCCATGTGACAAATGGCCCAACCAACCCACACGCCTCAGCGCCCCCTGAGGCTGCACGGATAGACGGACAGACACACAGCAGCACCATGAATCCTTGAGGGAAAGTAAAGCTCAGCATGTGTCAGTCTTTACGGGGATTCAAGGTTAAAACAGGGAGGGAGAGAGACTTGGAGGGAAAAGAAAAGGCAGTGTGGAAAGCACAAATGGCCGCCTGGATAACCGTGGTTTGTTTGGGTTAGGATTATTTCCAGAGGCGTCTTTCCTGGGGCATTTGTGCTGCCGCTTCAAAAACCCTCGGTCCACCCTGGTATTCCTGAAACATTCCTGCTGAATTTCTTCCAAGTTCTGATAAGTCCATGCCAAAATGGTCTGTCTAGATACATGTTTCCTTTGGCTGTGAAATCTTCAGCATGTTTTTGTTTTTCAGCCTGGGTTTACCACATTCTGACTGAGGAACATGTGTGAGTGTGTGTGTGCGTGCGCACACGTGTGTTGATAAAAGCTATGATAAAAGCTCAGCTACAAGAAGTTTGAAGAACTGTGGTCTGAGCCCCAGACACTTGTGTTTTCTTTTTCTTTTCTTTTCTTTTTTTTTGAGATGGAGTCTCGCTCTCTCCCCCAAGCTGGAGTGCAGTGGCGCAATCTGGGCTCACTGCAAGCTCCGCCTCCCAGGTTCACACCATTCTCCTGCCTCAGACTCCCGAGTAGCTGGGACTACAGGCGCCCGCCACCACGCCTGGCTAATTTTTTGTATTTTTAGTAGAGACGGGGTTTCACTGTGTTAGCCAGGATGGTCTCAATCTCCTGACCTCGTGATCCGCCCACCTCGGCCTCCCAAACTGCTGGGATTACAGGCGTGAGCCACCACGCCCGGCCTGTTTGTTTTTTTTTTTTGATACGGAGTTTCACTCTTGTTGCCGAGGCTGGAGTGCAATGGCGCGATCTCGGCTCACCACAACCTCTGCCTCCCGGGTTCAAGCGATTCTCCTGCCTCAGCCTCCTGAGTAGCTGGGATTACAGGCATGAGCCACCACACCTGGCTAATTTTGTATATTTTTTAGTAGAGATGGGGTTTCTCCATATTGGTCAGGCTTGTCTTGAACTCCGGACCTCAGGTGATACGCCTGCCTCAGCCTCCCAAAGGGCTGGGATTACAGGCGTGAGCCACCACGCCCAGCCTCTTTTGCATTTTTATGAAGTTTTTAATATGAATAAGCCAAAATTTTAGATCACCTACTACTTTTTTTTTGTTTTTTTAGTAGAGATTAGGTCTCGAGCTACTGGGCTCAGGCAATTCTCCTGCCTCAGTGTCTCATAGAGCTGGGATTATAGGTGTAAGCCACTGTGCTCGGCCTTTTTTTTTTTTTTAATTGAATTTTTTTTTATTTTTTTGATACGTAGTTTCACTCTTTTTGCCCAGGCTGGAGTGCAATGGCGCAATCTTGACTCACCGCAACCTCTGCCTCCTGGGTTCAAGCAATTCTTCTGCCTCAGCCTCCTGAGTAGGTGGGATTACAGGCGCCCCCCACCACGTCCGGCTAATTTTGTACTTTTTTTTTAGTAGAGACGAGGTCTCTCCATATTGGTCAGGCTGGTCTCAAACTCCCGACCTCAGGTGGTCCGCCTGCCTCAGCCTCCCGAAGTGCTGGGATTACAGGCATGAGCCACTGCACCCGGCCTAATTGAAATTTTTATTGAGATAATGGTCACTGCACTTGTATTTATAAGAAATCCTGAGTACCCTTTACCCAGTTCACAGCAATGGTAACTGCAAAACTATAGTACACTGTCACAACCAAGGCTTGTCTACTTTTTTTTTTTTCTAAATTGTGATAAAATACACATGAGATTTACCGTTAGTGACAGTACATTTGCAATGTTGTGCAACCATTGTCACTATATAGTTCCAGAACATTCTTTTTTTTTTCTTTTTTGAGATGGAGTTTTGCTCTTGTTGTCCAGGCTGGAATGCAGTGGCACAATCTGGGCTCACTGCAACCTCTGCCTCCCCAGGTTCAAGTGATTCTCCTGCCTCAGCCTCCCGAGACACTAGGACTACAGGCATGCGCCACCATGCCTGGCTAATTTTGTATTTTTAGTACAGATGGAGTTTCACCATGTTGGCCAGGCTGGTCTCAAACTCCTAACCTCAAGTGATCTGCCCACCTCGGCCTCCCAAAGTGCTGGGATTACAGGCATGAGCCACTGTGCCCAACCTAGTTCCAGAACATTCTTATCCCTCAAGAAAGCCCCTAGCAATGTGAAGCCACTCCCCATTCCTCCTCCCTCCTCTCTCCCAGCCTGTAGCAGCTGCTCACCTGATTTCTACCTGGGATTTTCCTCTTCTGGATGTTTCATAGAAATGGAATCCTGGCTGGGCGCGGTGGCTCACACCTGTAATCCCAGTACTTTGGGAGGCTGAGGTGGGTGGGTCACAAGGTCAGGAGTTCAAAACCAGCCTGGCCAAAATGGTGAAACCCTGTCTCTATCCCAGTACTTTGGGAGGCTAAGGTGGGTGGATCACAAGGTCAGGAGTTCAAGACCAGCCTGGCCAAGATGGTGAAACCTTGTCTCTACTAAAAATACAAAAATTAGCTGGGCATGGTGGCAGGCCCCTGTAGTCCCAGCTACTCGGGAGGCTGAGGCAGGAGAATCACTTGAACATGAGAGGCAGAGGTTGCAGTGAGCCAACATCACACCATTGCACTCCAGCCCGGGCGACAAGAGCAAAACTGTGTCAAAAAAAAAAAAAAAAGGAATCCTACAGTGTGTGGCCCTGAGTGATACGTGCTCTCTCTGACAGCCCCTGAGTGTGTCTGGGTTTTGTCTGTTTAAATGAGGGTTTATTCAGCCCCAGACTTCTGGTACAAACCAGGGGACAGCTAGCCGCTCTTGCACTCAGCACAGCTAACAAACCAGCAGTGCCAGGCTCAGCCGGGAGTTCTTTTGCCTCCAAAGAAAGGCTTGAGAAGAATCTACACTAACTTTAGTGGAGGCACTTACATCAGTGCCTCCACTAAAAATAAAGCAAAAACAAGCAAATCCAGGTGACAGTTACAAAAAAAAAATACAGTGAGTTTATAAAATAAATACAGCAAAGGTGTGTTGAGACCGCCAGTGAATCAGGTCACTGTGATGAAAGCCGCACAGCAGGTCTGTGTGTTAACCCCACGCGGCACCTTCCTTGGTCACTGTGAGCAAACAGTGGAATTCCCTGCTCCCAAGATCCTGTGCTGCTTCCCACTGGCACCACTCTCAGACCGTAAGAAATCGGTTTGCTCCAGAGGAAGATGATGAAGTCATTTGCTTTGAGGTCCAGTGATTATCATTGTTTCTGACCTAATAGAAAATCATCCCTCACTGATGCCCAGCCCTGCTGGTCTCGAAGCCCCTCACAGGCATCATGTCATGACACCCAGGGTGTGCCCAGAGCCCCAGCAGGCAGGACTGCCAGGCAGGGCTAGGACCAGGCCTCTCTGTTACTAACCTAGAGAGCAGTCAGCAAAGCAACCCCCGAGTTTGCCAACTTTTCAAGCGTTGGTTTTTTGTCTGTTGAAACCTCGGTGTATTTTAGCAGAGGCGCCTTCCCGAGTCACCCGACATCTGTGGCTCGGGGTCATGATTGCCGCGACCACCCGGGGTGCTGAGCTCCGCCCCGGCCTGGCGTCTGCTCTGAAAAGGTCCAGACTCAGGCAGAGCAGACACCCCAGGGCCACTTTGCCAGTCCTTCAGCAGGCGCCATGGGCTCCTCCTCCAAACCTGTTCCATCGGCCTCTTAGGGCCTGCCTGTACCACCAGCCCCTGGCTTATTGCACCAGCGTCCGGAACGGGGTTCTTGTTCTACCTGCCCTTCCCTGCAGCTTGTCCTCACTGCAGCCAGAAGGGTCCTCAGACGACATGTGCTAGTTCATATCTCTCCTCTTTTTTTGTTTTTTTGGGTTTTTTTTGAGACAGAGTCTCACTCTTATTGCCCAGGCTGGAGTGCAATGTCACGATCTCAGCTCTCTGCAACCTCTGCCTCCCGGGTTCAAGTGATTCTCCTGTCTCAGCCTCCCAAGTTGGTGGAATTACAGGCGCATGCCACCATGCCCGATTAATTTTGTACTTCTAGTAGAGATGGGGTTTCATCATATTGGTCAGGCTGGTCTCAAACTCCTGACCTCAGATGATCCACCCGCCTGGGCCTCCCAAAGTGCTGGGATTACAGGTGTGAGCCACCGCGCTCAGCCCACATCTCTCCTCTTTTTTTACTTTTATTTTGTTTATTATTACAGAGGGTCTTGCTCTGTTGCCCAAGCTAGAGTGCAATGGCACGAATATGGCTTACTGCAGCCTCAAACTCCTGGGCTCAAGTTATCCTCCTGCCTGAGATTCCTAAGTAGCTGGGACTATAGGCACATGCCACCATGCCCAGATAATTTTTTAAATTTTGGTAGAGACAAGGTCTTGCTGTTGCCCAGGCTCGTCTCAAACTCCTTGGCTCAAGCAGTCCTCCCTCCTTAGTCTTCCAAAGTGCTGGCATTACAGGTATGAGACACCGTGCCCAGCCCTTTCCTCTTTTCACACCCTTCTGGCAGCTTCCCACGTCACTCAGAATGAAATCATACTTCTTCCCTCAGCCTGAAGCCTGCCATCAGCCCTAGCAGCCACTCTGGCCTCACCACTGGGCTGCAGCCTCCCAGCCTCCTTGCTGCAACCCTGAGCTACCCTCAGTTCTACACTTGCTGGGGCTGCTGGGTACCTTCCCTAGGTGTTGGCAGGATCACTGCCCCTCCACTCCAGGCAGAGTCAGGGTGTCCCTCTGGCCCTTCTCTCTGTTACGCAGTATGGCATTGGTTTGTCCGGGTTGTGCCCCACCCTCCCCAGTAGGATGGCAGTTCTGGGTGGGCAGAAACAAGTGTTTTGTTTGCAGTTGAGGTTTCCCCAAAACCCAGCATGTGTGGGTGCTCATTTGTCGAACAAATGATCACATGCCTCCAATTAGAGGTGTCCAGGAGACAGCTGGTGTGAGGCCTTGGGCCACATGAGCCCTGCCAGTGGTAGGGGTGGTATGGTGTACCATGGAACCCAGTCTGGGAAATACTGGGTAAAGGCATGAGGCAAGATGATAAACCTGGAAAGATGTGTCCAGAATGACTTGCTCTTCCTCTTTTAAAGAGCATTTACTGGTGTCCCCATGTGCTTTTCGTCAGACTGTGCTCTCCCACCCTCTGAGACCTGGCCTCCATCCCTACCCCTTCCTGAAGCCCTCCTGGGCTGTCTGCAGGCTGGCCTCTCACCTAGAGTGAGGGCCCTGCCAGGGAGTGCCAGTCCTCCTTTCGGAGAGAAGCCACTATGCCATGAGCTTCCGTCGTGTAAAGTCAGACCCAGACAGCCCAGGCCCTGGTGTCAGGAGTGTGGCAGCAGCCAGGGCCGGGGCTCTCCTTCTCCTTCTTGGGCCAGCCACTGGTCACACAGGTGCACTCAAATTGGGAAGCTCTGTCATGCTGTGCACTTAGGATTTGTGTAGTTTTCAAATGTATATTTTCCTCCAGTAATACAAAATAGAGTTTCTTTTTATTGGATAAAAGCGGGTGAGGGGCTGGGGACGCAGAATGTTTCTGAGGGAAGCAGGTGGTCAGGGTCCATCCTCCACGCACCTCCTCAGCATCGGGCTGGGCTGGAGCTGGGCAGACGTGGCCTCCTCCTGCAGGGAGCTCCCAGGCAGCACAGGGGCCCTTCCCAGAGGCCTGGCAGGCAGCGTGAGTGGGGTTGTGAAGGGTGGGCAGCAGCGTGCCAGGTGAGCAACGCGTGAGGGGGCGTGTGTGTCCGGAAGGGACGACTGGCAAGGCCAGGGTGAGGCTGGGCCCCGCTTGCTCTTCCCACCATGTTCTGTTCTAGCGGCTTCTAGTAAAGGCTGTTAATGGGCGGAGGCTCACATTAGGAGGCAGAGCCCGGAAGCGAGAGAGCCAAGGGAGACAGGGAAGTTTTATGTTCCAGAGACGTTGCGAGGTGATGGAGAGAAGAGGAAAGGGATGCGGGGTAGCCATCCTCTGCCCGCTCACGAGCACTTCTCCGCCTGCCACCGTGCTGCTTCCAGCGCCCATCTTTCTCTATCTGGAGACCCCTCAGAGACTCCACTTTGGTCCTTGCTGTTCTTGCCCTTCTGCTGAAGCACAGTCATCTCCTCCTCTCTCCATCATTCCCGTTGTCCTTGACTTACTATTCAAAAGCTAGCTGCTTCAAACCACAGCGCGTCTCAGCTCTGGGCCAGGACTACGGGCAGTGTGTGGGGGAGTCCTGGCTCTGCTCCACCACGTCGGGGCCCTGGCCAGTGGGCTGAATGGCGAGGCCTGGGCCGCTTTTCTGTCTTCTCCACGCGGCCTTCCGAGTGGGGAAGGCGGGAGCCTGGCGGGAGCCTCTCCTCCACATAGCCTGGTGGCCTCAGCCTCGGCCTCAGCTGGCAGGCCTCTCCCCTCCCTTCCCTGGAGCCCCTGCATCCCCTGGAATGGGGGCTTAGCCTAGAACAGCGCTTCCCCAAATCTGCACCTCTGAACCCCAGGTCCATGGAATGGAAATGGATGTGATGTATGGAAAGGGGGTTCCATAGCCAAACAAGTTAAGCTAAGTTCAGAGGGAAGGTGGTGAATAGAAATCCCAAACATCTGATCCCAGCACAGCTAGCGGTGGGGACTTGCCTTGAGTGCGCTCCAGGTGGTCCCTGGGGACTCGGTCCTGGCACCCCTGCCCTCCTGGATTGCATCCCACAGCCCTGCTGGCCGCCCCGCCCCAGCCTCCCTGCTGTGACAGGGGCAGGGGCTGCGGTGACCCTGCAGCACAGGCGCGGCTCCCTCGGATCCCTTGGATCTCACCGGTGCATCTGAGGTTCTGCGTGGAAAGTGGCTCGGGCTTCCAATGCCGCTCTGCTTTAAGCTGGGACCGCTGTCCAGGGTGGTGCCCAGCCTTCTGGCATCTGCCATCCAACCCTTCCCTCTCTCCCCTCAGTGGCCCTGTGTCCTCCGGGCATCAACCCTAATGCCACCTCCTCACCTGACCACCCACTGCCAGTTGCTCATTTTATTTCCTGGTGGTGCCTCCCATATCTGAACCTAGCCTGGTGCTTACGTCCAATTGCCTGCTCTGGTGCTACCTGAGAGCCCCATCCAGCCCACTCACGAAGGCTTCCAGAGCCTGTGCCTGTAACTTGGGCAAATGTGTGGAGTGAGCGACCAAAGGGCTGAGGGAGCAGCGAAGGGAGCCCCTCGCTAGGACTCTAGGACTCTGTTCTCTCTGTGTCTCTTAAAATAGCTCACTCGTGGCTGGGCGCAGTGGCTCACACCTGTAATCCCAGCACCTTGGGAAGCCGAGGCAGGCAGATCGCTGGAGGTCAGGAGTTCTAGATCAGCCTGGCCAACATGGTGAAACCCCGTCTCTACTAAAAATACAAAAATTAGCTGGGCTTGGAGGTGGGCACCCATAATCCCAGCTACTTGGGAGGCTGAGGCAGGAGAATCCCTTGAAACCGGAAGGCAGAGGTTGCAGTGAGCCAAGATCACGCCACTGCACTCCAGACACAGTGAGACTCAAAAAAAAACTAGCTCGGACGGGTGCGGTGGCTCACGCCTGTAATCCCAGCACTTTTGGGAGGCCGAGGTGGGCGGATCACCTGAGGTCAGGAGTTCGAGAGCAGCCTCAACATGGAGAAACCCCGTCTCTACTAAAAATACAAAATTAGCCTGGCATGGTGGTGCATGCCTGTAATCTCAGCTACTCGGGAGGCTGAGGCAGGAGAATTGCTTGAACCTGGGAGGCGGAGGTTGCGGTGAGCCAAGATCACACCATTGCACTCCAGCCTGGGTAACAAGAGCGAAACTCCGTCTCAAAAAAAAAAAAAAAAAACTAAACTAGCTCATTCACCTCACTGGCAGGCTGAGACCTGCAGTCACTCCAGCGGCACCCTGAGTGAGCTCACACAAGAGAGAACTTTGGCCAGGCACGGTGGCTCACGCCTGTAATCTCAGCACTTTGGGAGGCCAAGGGGAATGGCTCACTTGAACCCACGAGTTCAAGACCAGCCTGGGCAACATGGTGAAACCCAGTGTCTACAACAAAATACAAAAATTAGCCTGGTGTGGTGGTGTGCACCTGTAGTCCCAGATTCTTGGGAAGCTGAGGTGGGAGGATCACTTGAGCCAGGGAGATGGAGGTTGCAGTGAGCCGGGATTGCGCCAGGGCACTCCAGCCTGGGTGACAGCGAGACCCTGTCTTAAAAAAAATTTTTTTAAAGAGAACTTTCTGACAGCCAGAATCAGGTGGGGGCAGGAGGGAGGGGGTGGCCCTGTGCCTGTCAGTGTTTTGGCTGCGGAGCTGCGACCAAGTCTGGATGTGTTTGGGATTTCTATTCACCACCTTCCCTCTGAGCTTAGCTTAACTTGTTTGGCTATGGAACCCCCTTTCTATACATCACACCTATTTCTATTCCATGGACCTGGGATTCAGAGGCGCAGATTTGGGGAAGCGCTGTTCTAGGCTAAGCCCCCATTCCAGGGGGATGCAGGGACTCCAGGGAAGGGAGGGGAGAGGCCTGTGATCACTCTGCAAAGCAGGGCTGGGTGGGGAGGCCGGGCGGCTGGGGAAGAAACCTGCCATGTCTGGGAAGACCGGTTGGTCCTTAGAGGACCTAGCAGCAGCAAAGGCAAACACTGGCTCAGGCAGTGGTGACTGGTGGTGATGTGCCGACAAGAGCGGCCACCGCCCCGTCCTCCTTGCTGCTCTGTCTCTCCATCCTCCATGTCCTGATCCACTGGGACTGGCCCTGGGGCTGAGGTGTGAGACTTGGTGCCCACGGGAGGCATTTCATACATGCGTTCATCAGCCCACAGTTAGGGGCCCCTGCCCAGAGCAGCCGGCGGGTGAGGATGCGGGCAGCCTGGAGAGGGCACCTCGATCCGGGAGGTGCAGGTGGAGGGAGGTCCCACTGCCTGAGGGCCCTGAGAGTGTCTGGCCCCGGCAAGTGTGTGACACGGGCACTATGACAGGAGCACTGTGCGGCCAGAGTGTGGCACAGGGCATCCAGTGTGATTGTATTCACGGCAGCCCTGAGCACAAAGCAAGGAGCAGGAGATGTGTGGCGGCAGCGAGGGATCTGCCAGTTTCCACTGGGTGGCCCACTCGGTCCCATGGAGGCCGACCAGGAGGGCAGGGACCCAAGACCACAGATGTAGCAGGGAAGACTGTGGGTTCCAGAAAAGCAGGCAGTGCCAGGCAGTGGGGGACAGCCAGCCCCTCGGGGCTCGGGTCACCCACCAGCACTGCTGGTGACCAGAGGCCCAGATCCTCCAGACAGTGCTGTGCTCGCGGGCATGGAGGCCTGGTCCAACTGAGGGGTGGGAAGCCCTGGGGCAAACTGGAGTTGCCGGTGGACAGCAAACAGGACACTGGAGGGACTTCCTCCTGTCCTGTGAAGAGCAGACAAAGGACCGGAGATGCTGAGCATGGACAGAGGCTGCCCAAGGACCAGGGCAGGGCGGCAGTCTTGTGCCGCGGCCTGGTCAACGCAGATGTTGCCTGCCCGGCAGCACATTCGGGAGGACAGCTGTGCCTAGAGGAGAGGGGCCTCAGCTGAGCCAGGATGGTGAGGGCAGCACAGGCAGGTGGCAGGGGCTCCTGGGCTGGCGTTTTTGTTTCTCACAGTGCCCACCATGGTCCTTCACAGCCAGGTCCGCCGCATCTCTCCTCTCATTCCTCCACTCTCTGTTCACCTGGGCCATCCCTGCCCTTCTTGGCCTCCTGCTGGAGTCCATGCTGGTATCTGCTGGGCTGTCCCTCAGTCTGGCCCACCTGACATTCTGGAGACAAGTGACCATCTCCCCCGTGAGACTGGCACTAGGGGCAGGACGTGGCCTCTCTGCCTCCTGCGGGGCCCACACTGGCTGCTGCATGCTGCCACTAACATGTCCCCAGTTCCGGAAGTCTCCTGTCCTTTCTCTTGTCACCCAACTCCTGCCTTCCCTGAAAGTCCCTTCCCGCTTCCAGCCCGCCGGGGTCAGCTTGGTCAGCGTCCATTCCAGCCCCAACGACCAGATGCTGTGGGTGCTTGACAGCAGGTGGAACGTGCACGTGCGGACCGGGATCACCGAGGAGATGCCTGTGGGGACCGCCTGGGAGCATGTGCCAGGTAGGAGCCTGCAGACAGGGCCTGTGGTGCCGGCCAGCCGGGGCTACCATCACTGGGGGCTGCTGGGCGCTCCCTCCAGGCCGCTGTCTGTGAGGCAGCCTTTGTGCTGGGGCTGTGCTGTCGCCGCTGCTTCCTGGGCCAGGGGACAAGCCTCCCATCATGTTCCTTATCAGGGGAACCCAGGCCGTCCTGCTGGTGCTTTTGTGGGAGGGCAGTTTGCACACTGCCCAGGCCCTTCTGTCCTTTGACTTCTGGCTTTCGGTGGCTTTGCTGGCCCTGCCAACTGGTCGTCCTTTCCCTCGGCTCCTGCCCCAAGCCCAGCCCATCATGGGCACTCCGTCCCCGCAGGGACCCTGGTGGAGGTGTGCAGCGTCACAAGAGTCGGCTTGGGAAGCAGCGGCCCATCCCGTCCATGGCAGGGGCTCAGGAGGGACCCTGTCTGCCCACAGGGTTGCAGGCCTGCCAGCTGGCGCTGAGCACCAGGACCGTGTGGGCCCGCTGTCCAAACGGAGACCTCGCCCGGCGGTACGGCGTCACAGACAAGAACCCCGCCGGGGACTACTGGAAGAAAATTCCCGGCAGCGTGTCGTGTTTCACAGGCAGGTGCCCGGGGCCAGTGGGCTTAAGGCCCCTTGGGGTTCCCAGGGCTCCTGTGGACGATGTCGGGGGGCTCTCAAAGAAGCCGACCCCACTGGGCTCCAATCTCTCAAAGCAAGAACTGAGGGCAAAGCCAGGAGTGTGTCCCAGGGAGGGAAGGGGCTGGACACCTGGGCTCTGCCAGAGTCTCCTGGGCAAGGACAAGGTGCTGTTGACATCCACTTACAGCTGAGGGTACGAAGTTCACATGGAGATGGTGGCTTGTCCAGTGTCCCCCACCTAGAATGTGGCAAGCCCAGACCTGCGCCCAAGCTCCCAGCTCCATCTGTGCCCACCCCACAGGCTGTGTGATTGACAAGTATGTGATTGGCTCTTGTCCCTGCAGTGACTGCGTCAGATGAGCTGTGGGCTGTGGGCCCGCCCGGCTACCTCCTCCAACGGCTGACAAAGACGTTCAGCCACTCGCACGGCACCCAGAAGAGCAGCCAGGCCGCCATGCCCCACCCTGAGGACCTGGAGGACGAGTGGGAGGTCATCTGAAGGAGCCCTGGCCGAGTCACGCGGAGGGGCCCGGCGTCTGTGGCGGGCACAGGGGCTTCAGAGTGACTCCCTGGTGGACGCGCTGCCTCAACACTTGTCCAGACACCTCTGGCCAGGTTGGACCCGCACACTTACTTTCATCTATGTTGGTTTCTGTCTCGTTCCAGAACCCACAGCCTCCACCCGTGGCTGGCGTGATTGCTGCAGCAGTGGCGCCTCCTAGCTCAGGACAGTGGCGACTGCCCGGCTGCATGCACTCCGATTACCCACGTGCTGCCGTCCTGGTCTCATCCACAGATAGCTCCAGCTTTTGTTGGTGGGAGTGGTCTCCGGAGGCCTCCCAGAACCAAGGGTAGCCGGGCAGCTGGTTTGGCCCAGGGCCTCCTTCCACATTAGTAGCCCCAGGGCCAGATGGAGCCAAAGGTCAGCTCTCTGCAGCGCGGGATGTGCTCGGTGATGGCTTTGTCCCATCATAGGGGGGTGTCCCCCCAGAGACAAAGCTGCAGAGCACATTCCATGCCAGACGCTCTGGCCAGGAAGCTGAGGCCGGGCTTGAGAGGAGAGCGCTGGCCATGCCAGGAGAGAACCCACGCACATGCACACCACAACACACAACACACCTCACCTCACACCACAGCACACCTCACCACACCACACCGCACTGCACCATACCTCACCACATCTCACCACACCACAGCACACCTCACCACACAACACACCACACCCCACACCGCACTGCACCGCACCGCACCGCACCGTACCTCGCCACATCTCACCACACCACACCACACCACACCTCACTGCCCACACACGGCGCAGGCTGCCCGCCTCCTGGAGAGCACACTTCAGCTGAAACAGTAAAGCCTGATGGGTGCAAATGGAACCTGGATGTGTGCACGTGTGTCCCAGGTAGGGACGGCACAGGAGGGTGCATGGGGCGTGGGGGAGCTGAGCAAGGGTCGCTCACTTAGAAATGTCTTTGGAATGGTGTTTAACTAATGCTGCTGGCGGACATCCTAAAACCAGATGCATCCTCAGAGGACGAGTCTACTAATTATTGCCTTTGTTGTTGTATTACAAATCTGCATAAAATACCTCATTTCAAATCAAATCTTACAAATTTAGAAGAGAGATATGTTTTCCGAAAACAGTGGAAGCCCTTTGTTCCTTCCCGGGTTTGTCCTGAGCCTGCACTGTCCTCGCCTGCAGCCTCAGAGGGGCAGGCATCCCCGCACAGACTTGACTGGCAGGGCGGTCACGGGACCTGCGGGCTGGCTCCGAGTGGCAGCCCATGCCTTCTGCGGGGTATGGGTTGACACTTGACAGGTTGAAACCAGTGCCTCTATGGACGGCTGCTGTGGCCCCTTCAGACAATGGGCAGTGCCCACCCCGCCCACTGGCATCTGCGTGTGAGGGCTAGGCCGCCCTGCCACACATCCCGCCCCCTCCCGGAGGCAGCTTCAGGACAGGACACCAGGCTGGCTGCTTTTTTTAGCCTGCCCCTGGCCCAGGCCCAGTCCTTGGTGTCAGGGAGCCCCCAGGCCGCAGGTGGAGGGTGATAAAATATGTTCTCTGACAGGACCCAGCCAGCCACATAGGTGGAGGTTTTCCATGTCCAAATGAGGTCAAGATGCCGAAATCCCAGATCTGACTTCACACTTCCCTTTTCTAGAACCTTTTGTAAAAGTTGGTGGCAGCAGAGGCAGCCCCAGGCCGGGCTGCATCTCTCTGTGTCTGTTGTGCCTTGCCCGGCGCCTCACGGATGGCAAAGCTCTCCTCACCCATGGGACTGTAGTGCAATTAAACCCGCGTCTAGGTGATGCTTTTAAAGTTGTAGCTTCGTGCTTTGTACAGTTTTCTTTCTGGTTTTAATTTTTAGTTGTGCTTTGAGTCAGTGCAATAAACTAGACTTTTTCCAAACCTGGCCGAGTGTGGTGCCTGAGCTGTGAGAAGTGTCCTCAGCCGACACTCACGAGGGCAGTGCAAGGGAGAACCTGCCAGCCCAGCCCCACCACAGGGAGAGTGCGTCAGCAGACCTGTCCTGGCCTGGCTGGTGTTGAAATACACACCGGTTTGCCCAAGTGGCTGTTATGGGGGAATGGCCGCTCCAGAGCTGGCTGTACCCCATGGTAGCCTCTGAGGAGGACGCTGTGGGGTGAGGTCCAGGGCTGCCTCCTCATGGAGCTGTGTGTGAGCAGGCGTTGGAGGGGTTCGAGCCCCTGGTTCTGTATCTTCAGCCAGCAAACGAAACCATATCGCAAACCAGAGCTGCTGGAAACCAGCACACGCAAAAGATGACGCCCAGCACAGCAGCAGGACACACCATGTGCCAGGAAATGACCTCAGCAAGAAACCTCAGGCCGTGTGAAGAGCAGCAAAGCTTTCCAGAAGGCATAAAAGGAAACTTGAATAAAGGAAGATATGTTCCACATTCCTGGATGGAGGACTACACACATTATGGAAAGACCTCATTCTTTCCAAAGGAATTTATAGGTGTAGCTTGATTTCAGTTCAAATCCCCACTGGGATTGTTTTGTTGGGGCAGGCAGGGAGGAATAATGTTAGTACCCACAAATGCCCATGACTGTGCCCAATGTGCTTCTCACCAGAGCCCTGCAAGGGGAAGTCTCATTAGCCCCTTGAGACTCAGAGAGGTTAGGTAACTTGCTCAAGGTCACACAGCACTGGGACTGGAAGCCAGCTCTGTAGAACTGCAGACCTGTGCTGTTTGATGCCTCCTCACTGTCCCGTCACTCCTGGGAAGAAGAAACGGGTGAGAACTGCTAAGTGATGACAGGTGGAGCCCCAGCAGGGGCCACTCTATTGAATGGCATGGCCCAGACCCTCGGAGGGCCAGGCAACAGGCTAGCAAGGCCCACAGGGAGGGAGCAGAATGGAGAGGGCATCTCAGATGCGCTTAAGGAGCGGCGGGGGCGGGGCATGGGGGGTGTCACAACTAATGTGGCCACTGCTTCATTCTCTGGGCAAAATAATATTAAATGGATTAAAGAATCTAAAACCAGTGGGAAAACTGTCTGATTTCTGGATGGCAAAGGCTTTCTAAACTCAAAAGTGATAGGACAAGCTACAGAGGAAAATAAGTACATAGATTTGATTTCTCCAAAATACAGAAATGCTGCTGGGCACAGTGATGTGCAGTTATAGTCCCAGCTACTTGGGAGGCCAAGGCAGGAGGATTACTTGAGCCCAGGAGTTTGAGGCTGCAATGAACTATGATCACACCACTGCACTCCAGCCTCGGCGACAGAGCAAGACCTTGTTTCTCAAAAATAAATAAATAGAAGGAAATAAATGTAAAAATGCTGCAAATTAAAAACCTCAAAGAAGGGAAATAATTGCAACAAATGGGAATTGATGTTGAATATTTACCTTAAAAACCTATACAACAATAAGAGGAGTGCGCCCTTCAGCAGCATGTATACAAAAATTGCAACGATACAGAGATTAGCATGGCCCCTGCACAAGGATGACTCGCAAATTCATAAAGCTTTCCATAAATATATTTATTAAAAACCAATAGGAGGAGCACTTCGAGTCGAGTGTAAGGGCCCTTCACAAAAGCAGAAGGAACACTGGCCCAAACCCCCAGCACCCCGGAAGCAGAGGTGAGATGGGAGCAGCTTGGGAGCCCCCCATTGGCGCCGCCCTACTGGGGAAGCCGGTCCGTACGTAGGCCTTGCATCTCGCCACCTCCACTTCTGTCCTCAAGAACAAGTCCTAGGTCAAGGGAAACAGCACAGCCTGTTTATAATTAGGAAACACTTAAAACAGCCTGGCATTTGGGAACAGCCATGTTAACGTGAGCAAATTCCTCTCATGAAATAGCCTGCAGCTATTAAGAAGCACGTGTGTGCAGGAAGCGGAGGCGCAGGACCTCACCGCGCCAGCGTGAAGTTCCCGGGCATGGTCATGAAAGCGTGGTTCTGTAAGAAATCAGAGGGAGAAAGGGAGAGAAGGGGGAGGGAGACAACCCAAACGTTGGAGGGTATTTGTTGTAAACTTCAAACTTTTGGCAGGTTTGAAATTTTTCATAACTCCGGGGAGGAGCAAGAGGGGTGAAAAGAAACAAGTTCTCTACTTGTGATCAGCAGCTGGTCATAGTGGTTGCCTGGAGTATATGCCTTTTTGTATCCTTTGAATTTCCAGCCATGTAAATGTATTATTTATTCCAAAAATAAAGCAGATTTACATTTTAAAAATTCAGTTGTCTCTAACTACTCTTTGTTATCAAGGCTGGTTGAGTCAAATATCACAAAGTAGACACCAATGACTTCTTAAAAATCATATTTACAAAGTACAATGGGGGAAATGCTTATACTACATTAAGGTTAAAAAAATACTAAATTGTGTAACTGATCTGGTTTCATATATATATAAATATACACAGAAAAAAATGTAATATATATCTGCACAGAAAAAAGCTGAAAGAAACATATGCCAGAATGCTAGCAGTGCTTGTATGCGTGCAGATGACGCACTCAGTCAGCGCCTTTACTTGTACGTGAGCGCTTAGGGGCCCTGTCTCTGGGGACCATGTGGGGCGGTGGGGCGCTTGAGACAGTGTTTCCCTGCATCGTGGCCGGACCTCTCTACTCAATCCCCAGTGTTCTACAGTGAACATGAATTTTATAAGCAGAAAGAAATTACTTTTAAGAGCCAGGCGCAGTGGCTCACACTTGTAACCCCAGCACTTTGGGAGGCTGAGGCGGGCGGATCACAAGGTCAGGAGTTCGAGACCTGCCTGGCCAACATGCTGAAACCCAGTCTCTACTACAAATACAAAAATTAGCCGGGCGTGGTGGCCAGCGCCTGTAATCCCAGCTACTCCAGAGGCTGAGGCAGGAGAATCGCTTGAACCCAGGAGGCGGAAGTTACAGTGAGCTGAGACCACACCATTGCACTCCAGTCTGGATGACAGAGCAAGACTACATCTCAAATAAATAAATAAATACATAAATAAATAAATTACTTTTAAGAATCACCAATAGAAATCTGTCTTTCCATCTTTTTTTTTTTTTTTTTTGAGATGGAGTCTTGCTCTGTCGCCCAGGCTGGAGTGCAATGGCGCAATCTTGGCTCACTGCAACCTCCGCCTCCTGGGTTCAAGCAATTCTCCTGCCTCAGCCTCCTGAGTAGCTGGGAGTACAGGTGCCTGCCACCACGCCTGGCTAATTTTTTTATTTTTAGTAGAGACGGGGTTTCATCATGTTGGTCAGGCTGGTCTCGAACTCCTGACCTCATGATCCACCCACCTTGGCCTCCCAAAGTGCTGGGATTACAGGTGTGAGCCACCGCGCCCAGCCTTTCCTTCCATCTTGATTGCAGTGGTGATTACACACATGTAGACATTCATCAGAACTCATCAAAGTATACACTTAAGTCTGTGCATTTTATTACATGTAAGTAACACCTCAATCTGAAAAGTATCAGGGCAACACCACACACTGCAGAGGGGCAGGGCTCCTCCGGCAGTTACTCACTTCCCTTGAAACAGAAGCTCAAACATGGAGTAGTCTTCTGTGACTAAACTTGTTTTCCGCCCTCCCAACTTCCAGGAAGAACCTTCTTCTGAATAGGATTTGAGGTAACTTAGGAAACTGCTCTCAATACGGAATTTTAAAGTTGGTGAGGAAGTCGACAGAAGGGGAAGTCACAGTAGGAAAATCAAGGTACTATCAGGATGAAGTCAGCACGCAGAGCAAGGCCAGCGAGGCCCAGGCGCCAGGCCTTGGTCCCTGCCCACCTCACCCAGGCCAGCCAGACAGCACGGACTGCCCTACAAGGTCACCTCAGAGAGATGGGGGTGTTCTCTCACTGCTGGCTTTTGATGAGCCCAGGAGGGCTCAGCCTTCACTATCCTCCCTAACAGGCATTTGGGGTGCAGAGATGCTGACGCCTGAATAAGGTTGGGATTCGGGGCCCTTGGGAACACTGGGCACCTGGTGGGTGGGTGGAGGGGCAGGACCGGCTGCAGCCATGTTTCCCTTAGAAACAGACTGCTGGAATTAACGAACTAAACAAATGAACCAAGGTGCTTCACCCCCCAAAAAAGTGAGTTTTGTTCTGCGTGGAGCGATTGCCTTTGGGAAGCCACCAAGGCCACCTGCCAACAGGCAAATGCTGTGCTGCCGTCTGCCTGGCTGACTCCGGCCCTCCCAGTCCTGCAAGCTCATGGCCAGGACGATAACGATGACAGGGGCAACACCATGGTCCTCGCTGCCCTTCCTGGGGCAGGAGGGCCCAGAAGACTGATAAGCTAAACCCAGGGCCTCCCTCGGCTGCTTATCTGCCCAGCACCTTTCCTCTAGGTCCTCTCCTCCCACCAGTACAGGGGTCTGGGAGGGGGTTGCAGGGGGTCCTGAACCACAGATCCCTGGAGACTCAGTGGGAGCAGCTGTACTAGGAATCAGGCACCACTCCGCTGCTGTAAGTCTTCGTGAGAGCCACTGGCCAGCTTCCTCTGACTTCCCTGTCCCCTCACCCAAATCGATGACATCAGGAGCTAATGGCCCAGGCTGCCCTCCTGCTGCAGTGCCCATAATTCTTCCGGCAGGCCCCGCCCTGCACTCCACGACCAGCCTGGGTTCTTCATCCTGGTAACCTGACAATGGATTTCGTGGGGCCCACTCTCAGTGCCCGCCAGCCTGTGTCCTGCCTGGCCAGGCAATGAGTACCGGCGGCAGGCAGCTGCCTCACCCCTGCATGACCCCCCCAGCCCAGGGGACTCAATGGCGCTGTCATCAAAGGGGCAGCTGTAGATCTAGGAGGGACGTGGAGGGGGCTAGCCCTGGGCCTCTGGCATTGTGGAGGCTGACCTATAGAGAACAGAGCTGGAGCTGGGGAGACATGAAGTCTGCACATCTAGACCCCAGTGAGGAGCCCAGGCTTTCTAGGCACAAGCCCCATGGGCTCCCCGGGCCCAGCCCCTAAGAACCACGGCAGCTGCGCCAGGCCACTCCTGTCTCCACTTCCATACCCTCCAAAGGAGAGGCACCTCCCCCCCCCATGGCATCTCCAATCTGAGGACCTGCCACCTCCCAGAGGACCGGAGGCCCTGATGCCCCAAGAATTGGGCTTGGAAAGATGTTAATATCCACTGCCCCAAGTGCCAAGGTTCAGAGGCACTGGTCCAGGACACACAGCAGCGGGGAAGTGGAACCCTCACTCCAGCCTGCAGTCTGGGCTCTGTCACTGTGCTGTCTCTCCATCCTTCCCTCCCCACAACCAGGGCTGTAGGCCCACCTAACACACCACACACTTCCCAGAAACAGGAGTCACATCCTTTTCAGGGCTGGTAGGGTGGCTGAAGATGGCCCAAAACCTCCTGAATGGAAAAACCTTGATGGGGAGACTGAGGGCCAAGGCAGAGGTTTGTCCAAGGTCACCCCCAGAGTGGCGGATCCAGGACCCTGGGCAAGATCTTCCTACTGTCCAGGCCTCTCCCCCACCTCTCTTGTGTGGCCCAGCACCCTGGACTCCTCCATGCCCAGGTGTGCTCCCCCCAGGCACGCTGGGGGCAGGGTGGGCAGCAGGTGCCCCCCACCAGGATAGTGGTTCTTCCTCCTGCAGACCTTCAGCCCTCTGCTCCTGGCAGGACACTGTGGCCCTCCTGCCCACGTTGGTGCGGGTTGAATTTGACGGCCCAGCAGAATTCCCAGGCAGGGCAGCCTGGCTATCCTCCCTGGTGTCTCGGCTCTGAGAGCGGAGACCCAGCCTCCCAGCCTGGAGTTGTGGTGAATTCGCAAACAAGTCTCCATCTCCAGAACCTTCCTGAAGAAAACAGCTCTCCAGGCTGGGGCAAGAAGCCTGTCCCTACAGTGATACAACCACCCCTCAATAACCCCGGGCACCACCTGGCACCCACTGGGGGCCACCAGGGAGCCCACCAAGCCCACTCCGGGCTTGGACAGAGGGCAGGCCTGGAGGAAGGCACATCCAACCCCACTGACCGGCATGCACCTGGGGCCAGGGGCCTGCTGCCACTGCAGAGGTGAGAAGCAGGAGCAGCAAGACCTGGTGCCCATTAGTCATGGGGGAAAAGCAAAAGGGGGAGACAGGGACAAATCCAGGCCTGGGTGGGCTGCCTGTCAGGGGGAGTGATATCCAAGGAGGAACTGGTGGTCAGAGTGGGGTGGGGGATACCCGGTACAATTTGTTCATGCCTCAACACCAGCCACCGCGGGCCTGCCAGCCCTGTGTGCCCTCCCTGGCCCGGAGTCCACAGGGTGCAAAAGGCTGACCGCACAGGACCTCCCGTGAGAACCCTACGCTGCAGAGCTCGTTCTCTTGGCTTCCAGGCCTTTTTATACGCTGTCCTGCTGCTTGGACATGCCAGTCCCCACCCCTGCACCTACCGAGCTCCTGCGGCACTCAGCTGTCACCCATCTGGGACGCACACCTGTCCGAGGCTCTAGATCAAGGTGGGAGGTTAGTCCTCACTCCCTTCAGGGGCTGGACAGCGAGCTGAAGGCCCGAGCCCAGCTGCACCCAGAAAACCTGCCACTTGGAACTCACCTGACCATCCAAGCCCAGCCCCCAGTGCATGCGACAGATGAGGCAGAGATTGTGCCGTACAGAGATCAATATATATAAAGTGCCGGTACAACGCTCTGAAAAATAGTTTTGTCCCAAAATCCAGCGCCTAGGGTGCTCCGGGCCTAGCCTTTGCCAGTGAGGTCCAACGGCTGCAGGAATGGGGGCAGCGGCAGCTCGTCCAGGGCCTCGGGGAAGCGGCCTGGAGAGATGGCGGTGACCAGCACCTGCATGGCGCGCGCGAAGAGCGAGGGCGGCGCCAGGCCCGCCAGCCACTGGAACTTGTCCTCACCCAGCAGCCGCTGCCAGCGCGGCCGGTCGCCCAGCAGCTCCTGGCGGGCCGAGCCGGCGGCACCCACGGGGGTGTACAGCGCCAGGAGGTCCAGCAGCAGCAGGCGGCGCTGGCGCGGCTCCCCGGGAGCTGAGGCGGGGGCTCCGGCGGCGGAGGGAGTGGCCCCGGCGTCGCGGCCCAGCTGGCGCAGCAGCAGCTCGAGAGGCGTGAGGCCGCCGCCGTCCCGCAGACCGGGCGAGGCGCCGTGGCCCAGCAGCAGGAAGAGGCACTCGGGGCGCGCCAGCTCACAGGCCACGTGCAGCGACGTGCCACCGCCCTCCACGCGGCTGCAGCCACGCCGGTCCAGCACGCGCGCCCGCTCCTCGGCCGGGAAGTCGCGCAAGGTGCGCAGGATGCGGCGCAGAATGCCCACGCGGTTGTAGCGCACTGCCAGCGCCACGTGCGGCCCGGGAGCCGCGCAGCAGCGGAAGCCGGCACTGGGCGGTGCGAGCGCGCGCCGCGGGAACGTGGCCAGCAGGTAATGCGCGTACGCTTGGTGGTCGTGCACGAGCGCGTAGAGCAGCGCCTCAGAGGGCGAGTAGGCGGCGGCGCGCCCGCGCTCGTCCCAGTGGAAGGCCTCGCTGGCGCGCATATCCTCCAGCAGCCACACGGGTAGCAGGTCGCGCACCGCCTGGTAGAAGGCGAACGACGACTTGCGGCACTGCTTCTGCGCTCGCGAGCGCGCCGCGCCCGAGGCCTCGGGCCCGCCGTCCGCGCCACCCCCAGGCCGCCGCGCGTCCCACGGCATGCTGGCGGCGGGGCGTTCCTGGGCCTCAAGGCATGGATCCCGCGAAGGCACACCTGCGGGGAAAGGAAGAGGCCACGGTGAGGCGCGGGGAAACTGGGGAGGCCCGGGGACTCCCCTCTGCCCCTCACACAGCCCCTCCGGTCCTGGCCCACCAGGCCTGTACCTACCTCCAGCCTCGGCCAGGCCCTTCCAGTCACCCTACAGCTCCATCTCTCCGACGCCCAGAACCACCGCCTCCATCCTTGATCTAGCTGTACCTGTTCTCCCTCCTTGAAACTGACTTGCTCTCTGGCACCTCTGCTGGAAATGCCCTTGCTGCCCATGCCCTCAAATCTCCCCTCCCCTCTCCAACCCAGGGACCCACTGGAAGAGCTTCTGTTCCCACCTAAGCCAGGTTCATACGACCCCAAATAAAGAAAAGGCCAGGGAGGGGATGAGAAAGCTTGGGCCCACATCTCAAGCTGAGGCAAATCCACTCTCCAGCCCAAGCGCAACCCTGACCCTGATCTCCGACCCCAGACCACTTGGAGGCCCCTGGAGCCTCTTCCTGGGCTGTTCAGAGGCATGATCCAGACTCAGACCTACCTGGTTCCTGCACCGCGATCACCTAGTTCCGGGGATGTGGGTATATCACAGTCCCTGGCCGAGCCTCAGCTTTATCTGTAAGAAAGGGGAGGGGTGGACGACGGCTGTGCGGGCGGGGTGAGCCTGGGGCGTGGCACCAGCCCTCTATCCAAACATGTTTGCTTACACGTTAGCTCCTGGGAGGAGATAGGAGGGTGAAAACAACCTGGAGACCGGTGTGCACCGCACTGCACAGTCTGCCATCCTCTTCAGGTCCCATACCTCTCTTGATCTCCCCGACTACTAGATGAAGCGGGTACTGCCATCCCACTTTCCAGCAGGGCACAAGCTTCTCCAATTCTCCAAGGTCAGCAAGCCACGGCAGAGCCAGGCCTAGAACTCAGGTCCCCTGCGTCTCAGTTTGGGCTCATTCCAGAATTGGTGGGGACCCCCAACCCACAGGCAATCGAGCTTAGGCCCTGACCCTGCCCTCTGAGTCCCCAGCCCCGACCTGAGCCTAGGCGTCTGACCTCTGGCTCCGTCCCAACCTCCCTACTGCCTTCTTTCAAGGGTAAGCCCTTGGTCACAAGGGGCCTGGGACAGAAGGCAGGCCGCGTCCACACACACTGACTGGGTCACTATCACTGGCAGTAACTGAGTTAAAGAGAGCGGCGCGGTGCGGGTAGGCTGTGGCCCGTGGGCAACACCGTGACTGGAGCCCCTTCCCCAAGCCTGGGCCTCCGGGCCCCAGATATGCCCTGTGCCGGCACGCGTGGGGCGCCGGGCGGGTTACGTAAAGTTCGGCCTCCCCACGTCACCGGGCAGAGTCACGGCCGCGGCTCGTGAATAAGGGGGTTGGGCCATCGAAGGCAGCGCCGCGCCCGGGGCCACCCGCCACCTCCTACCCGTCCCCTCCCGGCCTGCACGGCCAGACGTCGGGCGGCGGAGGGTCGCGGGGCCGAGCGGGGCGTCCGCGCGCAGGTGGCCGGCGCAGCGAGGGCTGCACCTGCGTGCGCGTGTGCCGGAGGAGGAGGGGGCGGCGGCCGCGGGCGCGGCGCGGGGGACGGGGACTCACCATGGGGGGCGCGGGGGCCACAGGCCGGGCGTCCCCGCCCCTGCCGCGGACCGGAGCGCGCGCTGTCCCCCGCGGGCGAGCGGGCAAAGGTCCCACGACGGACGCACGGGAGGGAGCCACCGCCGCCCGCGCCCGCCGCAGCCGCGCTCTGAGCCGCCGCGGCCGGATCGCAGGGCGGCGGTGCCGTCGCCGGCGGCGGGCGGCGGGCGGCGGGCGGCGGGCGGCGCAGTGCGGCCCCGGCCAGGCAGGACAGCGGGACCGTCCGCCGCCGCCATTGGCCCGCGCCGCCGGCCCCCGCCACCACCCATTGGCCGCCGCGCTGCACCATTGTTACGTCACTGGCCGGCGGGCGGGGCGCACCGCTGGACCCGCGGAAAACTTCGGAGAAACTTGAGGGAGCGCCGGCGGGGAGAACGGAGAGGAGGGGCGGGGCCGTGGCGAAAGGGGCGGGGCGTTGATGGGCGGGGGCGGGGCTCCCGGAACCCGAGCTGCGGGCGAAGAAAGGCTCCGAGCTCCGAGCTGCCCTAGCCCGGGAGGGCGCCGCTGCTCTGCGAACTCGGGCGCGCGCGTAGGTGGCCCGCCCTCCGCCGTGCGTGACTTTCCTCGTCGCGTCCAGCTCCCCTTTTCTTTGACCTTACGTGACCTTGGGAAAAACCTCCAGGCTGCTACCCCATCTGCACATGGGAGGGCCGGGGGTAGGAGCCGCGACCCCTAAGGGCTCCACCGCCTTCTGCCCGGCCAGGGTCGTGCCTGGCGCGCCCCCGCTCCAGCTGACCCGCGCAAGGGAGGGAGGGGCGGACGGATGGGGACAGCTGTTTAGGAGCGCGCACTGCGCCCATCTCGGCCTCAACACTCATGTTTCCACTTCGTTTCACGACCACCAGCCACAGTGGACACGATGATCCCCAGTTCACCCGCCAGCAAATCAGGGCTCAGAGAGGTGGCCTCAAAGAGAGGAGCGGCCAGGAGGGAAGCCGGGGGTTTGCCCTGCGGTTCTTCCCACATCTGGGCGGGATAGATTCGATTGGGCCTCGGCCACCCCCACCGTCTCCGTCGGGGGTTCCAAGGTTTGGGGTCATGACCTAGGGGGCTTAGGAGCCTGGGTCCATCTCAACTAATTTATGGCCTCACTCGCCCCCAGCGGCTGGGAATTCTAGGCCCATTTTACAGATGTGGACGCAGATCTGGAGAGGGGCAATGACTGCTCAACCCCCCACCCATCCTCCCAGACACGACCTTCCACCTGGAATCCCCCCACACACGTTCTCAGAGGCCAGGCAGCCGGGGTCTCATGGTGAAATCCCCACATTCCATGCAGGGGCTCTTTCTGGTTCCTTCCCTAGAATGCTGTCCCTGCCCTTCCAGTACTATCTCACCAGGGAGACCCTCCCACTCCCCCACTCCGCTCCAACCAAGCAAGGCCTCTGCCTCGCCCCGGTGGGAGGGGCCTCGTCCAGAGGGCACGCCCCTGCACACACAATCAGCCCTGTCCTGGCTTCTCTGTGTGCCCCAGCCAGTCAGTCTGGGTGGAAGTCTTACCTGGGCCCTCTCAACAGACCTAGGCAGGCCTCTGTCCCCAGCCCAACGAGCTCAATCCCTTAAGCACACACGCCACAGAGCAGTCCTGAGAGGCCAGGTGGACAGTACCATGAGGCAGACAAAGCTGTGAGGCCCAGAGAGGGTCAGGCCACCCCAGCCCAGGTAGGCACTCACATGTATCCTGCCCAGGCTGCCATGCATGGACCCACCAGGGGGATGACCAGACCCCACCAGCCCTGCCCCACCTCAGGGCGGGGGACGTTCCAGGCCACGCCATCTCTCCCAGGGAGTCCATGGCAACTGCCAAGCTTACAGCAGCCAGGTTGTCAGCAGGAGTAGGGGTATAGAGGGCACTGGGCCTGGCATCCGCACCCGCCTTTGCCTCAGCTCCACATGTCTCCTCCTGTATCTAGGCCTATCTCCCTAGGGCTTCTCCCATCTGCCGGTTCTGGATGCCTCTGAGTACGATGGTGGGGAGAGCAAAGTGAGTGAAGGTCCTGGAGTCAACAATCGGCCTTTGGGAGCCCAAACCCTGGGGGACATCTTGGGGAGATGGTGCCCATGTGGGCTGTCTGTGGCTCAAGGCTCCCCTGCTCTCTTGCCCTCTTCGAAGGCTGGAGTTGAGATACAGCCGTCTCCATGGCTACTGGTGGAATGAGGGTGAAAGGGCACCAGTGGATGCCAGGCTGTGCACTGGGCCTCAGGGCGGGTCTCTCTCCACCCCTTGATGTCTTCCCTGCCCCCGTGCCCTGACCTGCCCTCCTCACTGGGGATCCCAGAGGGTTTTTTTTTTTCCCAAGACAAAGTCTCATTCTGTCACCCAGACTGGAGTGCAGTGGTGCAATCTCAGCTCCCTGCAACCTCCACTTCCCAGGTTCAAGCAATTGTCATGCTGCAGCCTCCCAAGTAGCTGCAATTACAGGCATGCACCAGCACTCACAGCTAGTTTTTGTATTTTTAGTAGAGACGGGGTTTTGCCATGTTGGCCAGGCTGGTCTCGAACTCTTGGCCTCAAGTGATCTGCCTGCCCCAGAGACCTTTTTCTAAAAGCCAAGTCTGACCCTGTTTCTCTGCTGCCTAGAAGCTTCCTGTGGACATGGACATAGCCACAAAGTCCAGATGGGCAGAAAGAGGCATTTCTGGCAGAGGGCAAAGCAGGGGCCAAGGTCTGGAGTGTGACACAAAGGCTGCAGAGGCCACCTGACTGGCCAGGTCCCATGGGGCCTGGAATGCCCGGCAAGGATCCTGGATTTTCCCCTGAGGCCCAAGTGGAGGGGTTGGGAAGTGGTTTCACTAGTGAATTATTTTAGACACACATACAAAGAGCATCATGATGCCTGGGAGCCCGGGACCCAGTTGAAGGAGCAACACACGGCAGATCGGAAGCCCTGCGTGCCTGTCCCCTCCCTCCCCAGCCAGCCTCAGTGTGAGTCCGCGTGCGTCTTTCCCACTGTAAGTGCAAGTGGCAGCAGACATAGTAACACTCCCTGCCATGGGGCTCCACAGCACTGCCTCACCTCAGCCTCTTGCCTTTTTCTCCTGAGGTCACTTTTAGATCCAGCCCCAGGGGAACCCCCTGCTTTGGGTTGCAGCCGCCATCTCTGCTGCAGTGTCTTCTGATGAAAGCTGTCCCCTGTGGGCATGAGTGTGGACATGCTGCACCTCCTAAGGCAGCAGTGCCAAGGCTGATGGTGCCCTCCACGGTGGTTTCATGGCATCGCTGCTGCACTAGAGGCTGCCCAGGGACGTGTGAACAGCTGTGAAGGGGCAGGTTCCTCAGGGAGGGAGGATGGGCTGCGGGGAGGGTGGCTGGGGCAGGGGAATGGGCAGAGCATGACTTCCAAACACCTAGGAAGCCCCAGGTGGAGGGCGGAGGGGGGTCTTGCCATCTTGGGATAGGAGTTGACCTTTGACCCCATCATGCTCCTGCTGGGACCTGACCCAGGCACACTCCTCTTCCTCTGGGAGGGCTTGTCCCACCAGGGCAGGGGTCTGTGTGTGCCCAGGCAGGGAGCCACAGGCAGTAGGGGGAGGCTGGGGCTGCAAGCACAGAGGCCCCGGAAAGTGTGTGAGGACGCTGGGGAGTGGGAAGGGCCCTCGGAGGGGTGGTATGGCCGGCTTAGGTTTTCTCGACAACTCTAGTTGAGTATGCACTGCAGGGAGACGGAGAGGCCGCAGCCACTGAAGCCAACTGTGCTGGAGCAGGCGGAGGGCACCAGGGGTCCCTGGAGAGAAGTGCCGCCTCCTGCCAGGCCCCTGACCTATAGGTGAGGGTGTGAGCAGAAGAGGAGAATCTAGGAGGCCTCCCGGGTATTAGGGGAAAGCTGAGCACCTGGAAGATGGCAGAGCCAAGAGGTGTCCATGGCCCTGGAGATGGGGTCATGAGTATAAAGAGGGCGCTTGGAGTGTGAGGCACCAGGGATGGGAGGTGAGAGGCCCGAGGCCCCAGCCGGGGCTTCCAGGAAAGGAGGTGGGAGAGGGTCTTGGGGCCAAGAAGGCACAGGGCTTCCCGAAGCCAAGGTGTCCCAAAAATAAGGGAGCGGTCGGCTGGGACAGATTCAGATGTGGTGGCTCACACCTGTAATCCCAGAACTTTGGGAGTCCGAGGCGGACAGATCACCTGAGGTCAGGAGTTCAAGACCAGCCTGACCAACATGGTGAAACCCTGTCGCTACTAAAAACACAAAATTAGGCCTGGTGGTGCATGCCTGTAATCCCAGCTACTCGGTAGGCTGAGGCAGGAGAATCGCTTGAACCCAGGAGGCGGGAGGTTGCGGTAAACTGAGATCGCGCCATTGCATTCCAGCCCGGGCAACAAGAGCAAAACTCGGTCCATAGGTCACAGTGCCCTTTACAGAATGTCATGGGGTTAGGGGAGAAACCTGTTTGGAGAGAGTTCAGGAGCAAGCGGGGAGCGGGATAGAGCTGTGAGGACAGGAGAGGAAGGGGCAGGCTTAAAGAATGAAACGGTGGAGATAACACACGTGCACATGCATGTATGTGCACTCAGACACGTGGGTAGGCCCACACATGCATCTGTGCATCATGGGCGGCACGCTGTGTGTGCATGCGTGTGCGTGGGCAGCATGCTGCAGCCTGCATTTGTGTGTCCTGTGTGTCCATTATGTGTGCAGTGCGCTGATGGGCAAAAACGCTGACGATGCAGGCCAGCTGATAACCTGGAGGAGGCCGGCTGGAGTGGGGCCTGCCACACGTGAGGGGTACCCTGGGCTGGCGACATGGGCAGTTCTTCTTGGGGGGGGGCAGCATGTTGGGCACAGACACAGAGGAGGGCACAGGTAAAGGTGCTCGGAGACATCTGCTCTGGTGGCTTCTATTTTCAAGGCCATCTGCTGAGAATAGGAAGGGGTGGATGGTGGGGAGGGGGCTGGAGGAGAGGGCTTCATTTGCTGACTACACTGAGATCCTCTCTGACCTGAGCCCCTGCCACCCAGCCAGGCCTGCGGAGCCTGCCATCTGCGCAACTGGGATGGGACAGGTGGCCGCGGCCAGGAAGGCACCACAGGTGCAGGCAGGAGGGCAGGCAGCTTCCTCAGGGAGGGGCTGGCACCAGACATGCTGGATCCCGCCTAATCAGCCACCCACCAGTGGTGGGACTGGGCTGAGCACCAGTCACTTATCTGTGACATGGGTCAGGTGGATTTTGGGTGTCAGAGGGAAGGTGTTTCATGTGGCAAGACTGGCAAGGCCAGCATGCGGAGTGGCTAGGACCGGGTGAGAGCCTGGGGGTGTCCCAACACTTGCCCCACCTCATGCAGGTTCTGTCCTTCCACTGCCTGGCCAGACCAGACCAAAGCTCACCTGGCCTTTAAGACTGGCACCTGCACCAGGAGCCACTACTACTCCCTCCTACGGTGGCAGGCTGGGCTCTGCCCCACCGCGTCTGCAGCCCCATCAGCTGGTCTCTCAAGGCTCAGCTTTGGGATGCCAGTACAGACCAAAGACAGGACAAAACCAGTGGAGACAAGGGACATCCTGGGAGCCGAAGGGTCCAGCATGTATAGCCAAGGAGTGGCGTCTCAAGTGTGCAGGGAGCCCCCAACATAGCTGGAAGATCGGCCCGGGGGAAGATGGGCGAGGGCACCATAGGTTATCCACATGCTGGCCAACAGACACGTGGAGATAGACATTCAGCTTTGCCAGGAATCAGCACGTGTACAGGCTCCTGGCGAAAACTGAGTAGACTGGGAAAGCCCGTGCTGGCCGGGTTAGGACTCAGGCACTTGCCCCACCAGCAGGGAAAACTCACATGCTTGGGGGCCCGGCAGATCCTTCTGTAGGCATCTTATCACAGGTGAATACCTGCCTGTGTACTAAGTTACATATACAATACAATGCTCACTGCTGTGGATTTTGTTCTCTTGCTTTTTTTTTTTTTTTTTTTTTTGAGACAGGGTCTTGCTCTGTTGCCCAGGCTGGAGTGCAGTGGTGCAATCATAGCTCACTGCAGCCTCACTCTCCTGGGCTCAAGTGATCCTCTCACCTCAGCCTCCCAGGTAGCTGGGACTATAGGCACATGGCCACCACACACAAAAAATAAATTTTTTAATTTTTATTTTTGTAGACATGACACCAGGTCTTGCTATGTTGCTCAGGCTGGTCTTGAACTCCTGAGCTTAAGCGATCCTCCTGCCTCAACCTCCCAAAGTGCTGGAATTACAGGTGTGAGCCACCTCAACTGACTTAATTATTTAATGTTTCATAAAATAATTTAGCAGCCGGGGGCAGTGGCTCACACCTGGAATCCCAGCACTTCGGTAGGCTGAGACAGGCAGGTCACCTGAGGTCAGGAGTTTGAGACCAGCCTGGCCAACATGGTGAAACCCCGTCTTTACTAAAAATACAAAAAAAAATTAGCCAGGCATGGTGGTGGGCACCTGTAATCCCAGCTACTCGGGAGGCTGAAGCAGGAGAATCACCTGCACCCGGGAGGCAGAGGTTGCAGTGAGCCGAGATGGCGCCACTGCACTCCAGCCTGGGTGACAGAACGAGACTCCATCTCAAAAAAAAAAAAAAAAAAAAAAAGAATTTAGCTGAATTTTGTATTTTCTTTCTTTCTTTTTTTTTTTTTGAGACGGAGTCGCCCAGGCTGGAAGCTCTGCCTCCCCGGGTCACGCCATTCTCCTGCCTCAGCCTCCCGAGTAGCTGGGACTACAGGCGCCCGCCACCACGCCCGGCTAATTTTTTTTGTATTTTTAGTAGAGACGGGGTTTCACCATGTTAACCAGGATGGTCTCGATCTCCTGACCTCGTGATCCGCCCGCCTAGGCCTCCCAAAGTGCTGGGATTACAGGCGTGAGCCACCGCGCCCAGCCTTATATTTCATGTCTATTTCATTATTAAAGCTTTGAAGAGAATACAAGTGCATACCAAGTACTAGGGAGATAGAGTCACTGCTGCATCTTTAATAAGGAAAACCTGGAAACTACCTAGGTGACCATCAGAAGGGGTATGGCTGACATGGTCATGGCGAAGCCTGCTGTGACTTTGCTGCAGCTTGAAGAGCAGTGAGTCAGAAGGGGCAACGGAGACCGGAGGGCCTGGCCCGGCCCAGGTCGCACAGTGCAGGGCAGTCCCAAGGGTGACAGCGGCCAGTGCGCGGGCGCGCCCTCTACCCACATGCCCCGACCCGCCGGGTCCCTGCGTCCGCAAGATCACTTTCCGGGCCCGAGGCGGGGAAGGGGCCGGGACATGGGTTGGGGACTGAGCGCCGCTGAACTGCGCCATGGTCGGAGAGAGTTTGCAGGGGCGGAGGTGTTCCCTGGTCGGACCCTGCCGACCGCCCTCGGGGAGAGGCGAGGCCCTGGCCCGTGACGGCTGGGTCCGGGCCTCAGTATCCCCATCCGCTCAGGGGAAAGCGGGCGGCAGCCCGGAGCCCGACCCCAGCGCCCAGCGCGGCCCGACACCGCCCCCTGGCGGCCGCGGACGTCACTGCGACCCGCAGCCTCCGCCGAAGCCGGGCGAGGGACCCCCGACCCGGGCGCACCAGGCTGCGGGTGCGGGGGCGGGGACGCCCAGCGCCCTGGCCCCGGGGGCGGGGTTCGCGGGCTGAGTGCCCACTCCGCTCTCCCCTCGCCCCGCGGCCTCGGCGGGCCCCCCGCCCACCAGGGTCTCCACCTCCCCCCGGGTGAAATGGCCACAGTCCCGCCATCCGCGCCGCCGCCACTGCGCCTGCCCCCGGCTGGGCCGATCGGAGGTCCCGGCGGGGCGGGCGAGGCAGGTGGTCCGGCGGGCCCCTTCCGGGTTCCCCTCCCCCAGCCGGAGTCCGCGGACCGCGCTGGGCGCAGGGAGGGGGCTGTGCGCGCCTCCGCTTCCCGGCCTTCCCAGCGGGGACGAGCGCCGACCCCCGCCCAGTCGGGAGACGCCCTCAAGGTCCCAGGCTCTGCTTCTGCCCGCCCGCGGCCCGCGGACTGCGGGTGACAGGGTCCCCGGTCCGAGCCCCATCTCCCTAGGAGAGCGGACCCCAGCGCTCCTGTACCCTCCACCTGGTGGCCGTCCACGCAGCCCGGCCTGCTCGCGCGTCCCAACTGCCACTTCCCTTGCCTTCCCCAGCCGCACGTCTACCAGGCTCCTGTGTGTCTGCCTGGCTGGGACTTCCGCATACTCCAGGCCCACTTTACAGGTGCAGATGCTGAGGCCAGAGCGCCTCAGGAGCTGGATGCAGGGGAGAGCGTGCGGGCAGTGTGGGGAGAGACTCGGCCTAGCCTTCCATTGCAGCTCCTATCCCTGCTGCGCCACCCCCTCGGCCTGTCATCTGTCCCCATCCAGGAACCCCCAGGACACTGTCAGCAGAGCCCACTGAGGGTCCAGTGCTGTCCAGGTGGCGGCATCAGGATTCCCAGGAGCCAGCCCTCACTATGCCACCCTATGTCCGTATGTCCAGCAGGGATCTGAGGGCCTGGAGGGGTGCGGAGGCCCTGCCAGGAGATGCTTTCCTCAGTGCCCATTGTGAAGGGAGCAGAGGGCTGAACTGGAAGGGGCTTCCTGGCCCCAGGAGGGCAGTGATTAGGTAAACTGCCCACCCTTCAAAAGTGATGGACAGGAAGGGGAAAGGTGGAGGGTGGAGGAGCTGCAGGTTATGCCGGTGACCCCTGAGAGACAAGGAGATCTCCACAGTGTATCAGTTCTCTTCTGCTGTGCAACAAACAACCCTGCCAGGGTGGCTTTAAACAGCAATGATGTAGGATTGTTTGCGGTTCTCTGGATTGACTGGATGGCTCTTTTGCTTCCTGTGGCGCCCGCTGGGATCACTCTACAGCTGTAGGGATCTGGAGGCCCAACTGGAGTGAAATGTCCAAGTGGTTCATCCACATGGCTACAGTTGGTGCTGGTTGCCAGTGGGAGCTCGGCTGCCTCCAGCATGGGCTGCCACCCTGCTTCGGTGCTCCTTTGCTTGGCTTCTCCACGTGGCTAACTTGGTCTTCCTCACAGCATGGCAGGACAAGCCCCAGTGTGCAAGAGCTCATTAAACCTCTGCTTCCATCATGCTTTCTAATACCTCATTCTCCAAGACAAGCCCAGAGTTCACGTGGAATGAGACTCACAAAGGCATGAATCTCAGGAAGCCTGGTTTATTATTATGGGCATCACAGCTTAGCACAATGATGGGGAAGCAGTGGGGACAGATCGTAGACAGCAGACCTTCCAGGGCCAGAACAAGCAGGGAAGGCTCCTGGAGGAGGATGGGACTGGCTAAGGAGGGGCTGGGAACTCTCTTCCTTCTCCCTGAAGCTCCAAATCCTCAGGGCCTGGGGAGGTTGGAGGAGCACCAACCACTAAATCAAGATACAAACGCTCAAGGCTCAAACTCCTGAACTCAAGGCGGATCACCTGAGTTCAGGAGTTTGAGACCAGCCTGGGAAATATAGTGAGACCTCATCTCTACAAAAAATAAAAATAAAAAAGTTAGCCGGGCGTGGCCAGGCGCGGTGGCTCATGCCTGTAATCCCAGCACCTTGGAAGCCCAAGACAGGCAGATTGCCTGAGGTTAGGAGTTTGAGACCAGCCTGGCCAACGTGGTGAAACCCCATCTCTGCAAAAAATACAAAAAAAAAAAATTAGCTGGGCTTGATAGCAGGTGCCTGTAATCCCAGCTACTCGGGAGGCTGGGGCAGGAGAATTGCTTGAACCCGGGAGGCAGAGGTTGCAGTGAGCCGAGATGGTGCCATTGCACTCCAGCCTGAGTGACAGAGTGAAACTCCATCTCAAAAATAAAATAAAATAAAATAAATTAGCCGGGCATGATGGTGCCTGCCTGTGGTCCCAGATACTCAGAAGGCTGAGGTGGATGGATCACCTGAGCCTGGGAGGTCAAGGTTGCAGTGAGCCGTGATCATGCCACTGCACTCCAGCCTGGGTGACAGAGCAAGACCCTGTCTCACAAAAAAAAGAAAAGAAAAAAATCCCAACATACCGACTGTTGACAAGAACATGGAGCAACTGGAACTCTCATACAATCCCCCAGTGGGAATGCAAAATGATGCAACAACTTGGAAAAGCTTGGCCATTTCCTAAACTCATCATAGGAACCAGCAGTTCCACTCCTAGGTACCTGCCCAAGAAATGAAAACAATATTCTTTTTTTTTCTTTTATTTTCTTAGAGATAGGATCTCACTCTGTCACCCAGGCTAGAGTGCAGTGGCATGATCACAGCTCACTGCAGCCTCAACCTCCCAGGCTCAAGTGATCCTTCCACCTCAGCCTCTCAAGTAGCTGGGACTACAGGGAGCGACACAACACCTGGCTGATTTTTTTATTTTTATTTTTGTGGAAACAGGGTCTCACTATGTTGCCCAGGCTGAGTCGAACTGGGTTCAAGCAATCCTCCCGCCTCAGCCTCCCAAAATGCTGGGATTACAAGCGTGAGCCACCATGCCTGGCCTGAAAACATCTCTAACACAAAGATCTGTATGTGAACGTTCTGTGAGATAAAGTAGCACACCTAGGAAGCCAAGCATGCTCCTTTCTGTTTGCAGCACAGTTTCACAAAGCCCTACCTCTGTGACCACCTGCAGCTCTCCAGAAAGTTGCTTTGAAGACAAAACGCGACAGAGCACACAGTCCCCCTCCCCACGCCTCTGGCTTGAGTTGCTACATTCTCTAAAAGATCCATGACCCTAGCCTTGCCTTTCCCTCCTCATTACATCTGGTTAGGGCCGGGCGTGGTGGCTCACGCCTGTAATCCCAGCACTTTGGGAGGCCGAGGCAGGCGGATCACGAGGCCAGGAGATCCAGACCATCCTGGCTAACATGGTGAAACCCCGTCTCTACTAAAAATACAAAAAAAGTAGCCGGGCGTGGTGGCGGGCGCCTGTAGTCCCAGCTACTCGAGAGGCTGAGGCAGGAGAATGGCGTGAACCTGGGAGGCGGAGCTTGCAGTGAGCCGAGATCGCGCCACTGCACTCCAGCCTGGGCGACAGAGCGAGACTCTGTCTCAAAAAAAAAAACAAAAAAACATCTGGTTAGTGATGATGCTTCTGTGATCTATAACCAGATGTATTCTTACCCAAACCTTGATGTAACTCTGCCTCAGTGTAACTTCTGAGCAAGTCTGATGTGATTTTGCACGTATTGAACTCCCACAATTCATGTATAACTGTGAGCTGAAACTATTTTGGAGCAATCTAAGAAAACCTCACCAAGGAAATGTTCTGGGCTATCAGCCTCTGGGTAATGTCCTCAGGAGGCTTCTGAATCAAACTCACTCTTTTTTGTTTTTTGAGACGGAGTTTCACTCTTGTTGCCCAGGCTGGAGTACAATGGCACAATCTCGACTCACCACAACCTCTGCCTCCTGGGTTCAAGCGATTCTCCCGCCTCAGCCTCTTGAGTAGTTGTGATTACAGGCATGCGAAACCACACCCGGCTGATTTTTGTATTTTTAGTAGAGATGGGGTTTCTCCATGTTGGTCAGGCTGGTCTTGAACTCCCGACCTCAGGTGATCCGCCCACCTCGGCCTTCCAAAGTGCTGGGATTACAGGCGTGAGCCAAGGTGCCCAGCCATCAAACTCATATCTTTTTTTTTTTTTTTTTTTTGAGACGGAATCTTGCTCTGTTGCCCAGGCTGGAGTGCAGTGGCGCTATCTTGGCTCACTGCAATCTCCACCTCCCGGGTTCATGCCATTCTCCTGCCTCAGCCTCCTGAGTAGCTGGGACTACAGGTACCTGCCACCACACCCGGCTAATTTTTGTATTTTTAGTAGAGACGGGGTTTCACCATGTTAGCCAGGATGGTCTCGATCTCCTGACTTCGTGATCCGCCTGCCTCGGCCTCCCAAAGTGCTGGGATTACAGGCGTGAGCCACCACGCCCGGCCCAAACTCATATCTTTAAAAGCTTTCTTTCTTTCTTTCTTTCTTTTTTTTTTTTTTTTTTTTGAGATGGAGTCTCACTCTGTTGCCTGGTCTGGAGTGCAGTGGTGCGATCTCGGCTCACTGCAACCTCTGCCTGCCAGGTTTAAGCTATTCTCCAGCCTCAGCCTCCTGAGTAGCTGGGATTACAGGCGTTCACCACTGCATCCAGCTAATTTTTCTATTTTTAGTAAAGACGGGATTTCACCATGTTGGCCAGGCTGATCTCGAACCCCTGACCTCAGGTGATCCACCTGCCTCAGCCTCCCAAAGTGCTGGGATGGATTACAGGCATGAGCCACTGCACTCAGCCTTTTTTTTTTTTTTCTTTTTTTTTTTTTGAGACGGAGTCTCGCTCTGTCACCCAGGCTGGAGTGCAGTGGTGTGATCTTGGCTCACCGCAACCTCCACCTCCCAGGTTCAAGCCATTCTTCTGCCTCAGCCTCCCAAGTAGCTGGTACTACAGGTGTGCGCCACCACGCCTGGCTTTTTTGTTTATTTTTGTTTTTATTTTTTGAGATGGAGTCTCCCTCTGTCACCCAGGTTGGAGTGCAGTGGCGTGATCTCGGTTCACTGCAAGCTCCACCTCCCAGGTTCACGCCATTCTCCTGCCTCAGCCTCAGGTGTCCACCACCATGCCCGGGTAATTTTTTGTATTTTTAGTAGAGACAGGGTTTCACCGTGTTAGCCAGGATGGTCTTGATCTCCTGACCTCATGATCTGCCCATCTTGGCCTCCCAAAGTGCTGGGATTACAGGCGTGAGCCACTGCGCCCAGCCCTTTTTTTTTTTTTTAAGTGGAGACGGGGTTTCACCATATTGGCCAGGCTGGACTCAAACTCCTGACCTCGTGATTCGCCCACCTCGGCCTCCCAACGTTCTGGGATTACAGGTGTGAGCCACCATGCCCAGCTGCATTTTATTTCTTTAGTCAACATCCATAGCAGCATTATTCATAATACCCTCAAAATGGAAAGGCATATCCATTAACTGGTGAATAGATGTATAAAGTGTGGGATTTCCATACAATGGAAATTATTCAGCAATAATTATTCTCGCCATCTGCCCAGGCTTGTCTCAAGTGACCCACCTGCCTCAGCCTCCCAAAGTGCTGGGATTACAGGTGTGAGCCACCACTCATGGCCTACATCAATAAAACTCTTAGAGAAGGCCAGGTGTGGGTGGCTCACACCTGGAATCCCAGCACTTTGGGAGGTTAAGACAGGAGGATCACTTGAGCCCAAGAGTTCCAGGCCAGCCTGAGAAACATGGCAAAACCTCTTCTCTACAAAAATTTTAAAAATTAGCCAGGCATAGTGGCACGTGCCTGTGGTCCCAGCTACTCGGAAGGCTGAGGTGGGAGGACCGCTTGAGCCCAGGAGTTTGAGGCTTCAGTGAGCTGTGATCACACCACTGCACTCCAGCCTGGGTGACAGAGGGAGACTCTATCTCAAAAACAGAAAAAAAGGGCCAGGCGTTGTGATTCACGCCTGTAATCCTAGCACTTTGGGAGGCTGAAGCTGGTGGATCACGTGAGGTCAGGAGTTTGAGACCAGCCTGGACAACATGGTGAAACCCCGTCTCTACTAAAAAGTACCAAAAAATTAGCTGGGTGTGGTGGTGGGTGCCTGTAATCCCAACTACTCGAGAGGCTGAGGCAGAATTGCCTGAGCCCAGGAGGCAGTGAGCCACTTCCCTCCAGCATAGGTGAAAGAGTGAAACTCTGTCAAAAAAAAAGAAAAAGAAAAGAAAAGAAAGGAAGGAAGGGTTCGCAGAGGTTGCAGTGAGCCACTTCACTCCAGCCTGGGTGAAAGAGTGAAACTCTGTCAAAAAGAAAGGAAAGAGGAGGGGAAGGGAGAAGGAGGAAGGAAGAGAGAAAGAAAAAAAGAGCCAGAGCTTGAGCTAAGCCTTCAGATGGGCTGTGGCAGGAAGGAAGGAAGGAGGGAGAAAGAAAAAAAGAGCCAGAGCTTGGGCTAAGCCTTCAGATGGGCTGTGGCTGGAAGGAAGGAAGGAAGGAAAGGAGAAAGAAAAAAAGAGACGGGAGGGAGGGAGGGAGGAAGGAAGGAAGGAAGGAAGGAAGGAAGGAAGGAAGGAAGAAAGAAAGAGAAAAAAAGAGCCAGAGCTTGCGTTAAGCCTTCAGATGGGCTGTGGCTCAGCTGAGACCCGGTCAATGCTGGAGGCAGCCCTGAACCTTCCCGGTTTCAGCCCCCAAACCCTTGGGGCCTGTGTGTGGTCCCAGGGCCCCGGATACGCGAGCCTGGATGTGTGGCGCCGAGTTGTTTACAGAAAACTCTCCGTGAGGGAACGAGGCCTATTTTCAATGATAAATGCCCCAAATCACAAGTAGTTCAACCCCCAAGTCTGAATTCTCCCAAACTGGAGAAATCGGCTTATTTCCAATAACAAGCTCCAGGCTCAGGGGAGGCCAGCCCAGCCGCGCAGGTGAAGCTGCAATTAGTGCAGGGCAATTAGGGACGCTCCCCGTTCGGGTGGGGCCTGGCCCACGGCGGCGCTTCGGGAGGGAAAGGCAGAGAGGGTGTGCGCCAGCCCCAGCCGCCCACGAACCGCTGGGAGCAGACCCCTCTCTCTGGCCTGGAGGGGACACGGTGCCACTGACTTGAGCCTGGAACCAAAGGGCGGGGTACCCATGCACCCCTGTGCTGAGAGATTCGCTGAGAGCCGCGCAGAGGGCCCCAGAGTCCAAACAGGACACCCAGGATTGAGGCGAGGTTAGGAAACGCACAGTACCTGAGGTCCTCACTTTCAGGGCTCCCTGAGTGATGAAAGGGGGGCTGGGAGAAGGCAGAGGCTGCCCGGGAGAGAAGAGCAGCTTTGGGGGGTTCTGGGTCCCCGCACCCCACCCCGCACTAACCAACTCCCCCAGCCCCAGATAGAAGGGGAGCTGGGCAGGTTCTGGGGGGTCAGCCCCAGGCAGGACCGCTCCCCAACACCCTTCCCTTGGTTACCCTCAGGTATGGAGTCCAGAGTGGAGTCAGCCATGCTCAGACCTTGACCCCCTTTTTTTAAATTTAATTTTTAGTAGAGATAGGGGGTCTCACTATGTTGCCCAGGCTAGCCTCAAACTCCCAATCTCAAGCGATCCTCCCCCCTTGGCTTCCAAAGTGCTGAGATTACGGATCTGAGCCTCCACGCCTGCCCTGAGCCTCGCCCTGCGGCTGCCTGGGCTCCTCCCCGCCTCCGCCCCGGACCACCAGGGGGCGCTGTGAAGCCTGAGACTGGCCGGGCTTCACCTTGGACCCGCCAGGAGTCCCTGCAGGAGTTGGGAGCCCCGCCAGCCACAGCTACTTCCCCGACCCTCCCGGCTTCCCACCGCTGATTGGACCAGGCATGGGCATCTGACTGAGGGGAGCCTATCCATAGGCTGGCCAGTGATCTATCAGGGCTGGCCTAGTGAGAACACGGCCAATCAGATGCTTTCCTGGAACCCGGGGCCAAAGCTGCCCCAGGGGAGTGTGGTAGCCGCAGGCAGAAGGGCTAGCCCGGAGACAGGAGGGGGAGGTCCGAGGAGGGGATCCCGGCGAGGGAGACGCGGGGCGAGTGGCCTGGGCTCCTCCTTGGCTTGACCCAGCTTAGACTTTCTCAAACCGAAGTCATTCTCGCTGGCTCCTGGCGACTCTCATCCTGTCCGCTGTCACCCTTTCGTGATTGACCTGAAATCACTTCGTCACTGCAGCCGCACCCTAAGCATTCATCTCATATCTGTGATGTTTGCTGTGCTCCTTATGTTTGCTCTAATATGGGTTAAACCAAATTCAACACCATCAAAATAATGTTCTTCCATTTGCACACCCACTTTCACAGTAGCAGCGTTCCCAACAGCCAAAAGGTGGGAGCAGCCCACGGGTCCACGGACGGGTGAAGGGGTGAGCAAACAGTCTATACGGACAGTGGAGAGCTCTTTAACCGCAGAAAGAAGGAAATTCTGCATATGCTGCAACATGGATGAAAGGTGAACCCTGACATTATGCGGAGTGCAATAAGCTAGTCACAAAAAGACAAATACTGTAGGATTCCACTTACATTCTGTGTCCAGAGTAGTCAAATTCAGAGAGACAGGAAGTAGAATAGTGGTTGCCAGGGGCTGGGAGGAGCCGTGAATGGGGAGGTATTGTTTAATGGGTATGGAGTTTCGGCTTAGATTGAACTGTACGCTTTTTTTTTCCTTCCTTCCTTCCTTCCTTCCTTCCTTCCTTCCTTCCTTCCTTCCTTCCTCCCTCCCTGCCTCCTTTCTTCTTTCCTTCCTTCTTTCTTTTCCTTCCTTCCTTCCTCTTTTTCTCTTTCCCTCTTTCCCTCCTTTTTCTCTTTCTCTTTCCTTCCTTTCTTTCTTTTTCTTTCTTTCTTCCTTTCTTTCTCTTTCTTTTTCTTTCTCTTTCATTCGTTTGTTCCCTCCCTTTCCTTCCTTCCTTTCTTTCTCTTTCTTTATTTTTCTTTTCTTTCTTTCCATTCCTCCCTTCCTCCTTCTTTCCCCTGACCATGGCAAAGACGTGAACTGTACACTTAAGCATGGTTTAAACGGTAAGTGTTATGTGATGTGCGTTTTACCACCATGTTTGAAAAAGGTTCTTCTGTGCACCCCAGAACCCATCCTGCGTGGGGATCCACAGAGCGCCCAGCCCAGCCTCTGCATGGCATGACCAAGAGCATTTGCTCACCGGGGGGCTCACCGTGGCCTGAGCTAGGGCAAAAGTACCAAGCCAGGATGGCCCTACCCAGCCAGAGCCGGAGACTGAGGGGTCAAACTGGGGTACTTTCCTCGTCTGCAAGGAGAACTCATAGCAGTCCTCTTTAAGGTTCTTTTTTTTTTTTTTTTTGAGACCATGACTCACTCTGTCACCCAGCCTGGAGTGTAGTAGCGCCATCTCAGCTCACTGCAACCTCTGCCTCCCGGGTTCAAGCGATTCTCCTGCCTCTGCCTCAGCCTCTTGAGTAGCTGGGACTATAGGCATGCACCACCATGCCCAGCTAATTTTAGTATTTTTGGTAGATACTGGGATTCACCATGTTGGTCAGGCTGGTCTTGAACTCCTGACCTCAGGTGATCTGCCCGCCTTGGCTTCCCAAAGTGCTGGGATTACAGGCATGAGCCAACGCGCCCGGCCCCTCTTTAAGGCTCTCAAGGGCCCTGTCTGCCAAGGAAGAAAATGCCATCCCAACCCCCAGCCCCACCCCCACTTCCATACACACGTTGGCCTTAGTGGGGACTAAAAGCAGAGAGGAAATGGAGGCTTAGAGAGGTCGAGTGACATGCCCAAGGTCACACAGCCACAACCGGAAGCCAGCAATTCCAATGGCAAAATCCATACTCTCTCTAAAACTTTGCTTCTGAACTACAAGAATGAGAGCCTGGCGAGTGCAGGCTAGGTTGAGGAGAAGCCACCGGACAGACACAGAACACCTTCCGGCGCACCAGCCTTCCGTGGCCATTTGGAGTGGGAGGTGCAAAATTGAGCAAATGCATAAAACCTAACTTTTGCATCACACAAGGATTCCCATGTTGCAGGGGTACCGCGTAACACTCGCATGGAGTTTTTTGGTTTGGGTTTTTTGTTTTGTTTTGTTTTTTTGTTTTGTTTTGTTTTGTTGAGACAGAGTTTTGCTCTTTTTTTTTTCTTTTTTTTTTTTTTGAGACGGAGTTTCGCTCTTGTTGCTCAGGCTGGAGTGCAGTGGCGTGATCTCAGCTCACTACAACCTCTGCCTCCCGAGTTCAAGCGATTCTCCTGCCTCAGCCTCCCAAGTAGCTGGGATTACAGGCCTGCACCACCAGACCCAGCTAATTTTGTATTTTTAGTAGAGACGGGGTTTCACCATGTTGGCCAGGCTTGTCTTGAACTCCCGACCTCAAGTGATCTCCCTGTTTTGGCCTCCCAAAGTGCTAGGATTACAGGCGTGAGCCACCACACCCAGCCTCACGTGGATTTTTGATAAAGCAAGGTTCTTCTGTGATAGCAGCAGGCCTCCATTATCCTGGTCAATTGGCCTGCACAACTAGGGAAACAATGGTGGAAAACTTCGAGAAGCTTGTGTTCCACCTGCCACCAATGGAGAAAGCACCACTCCACTGTGACATGCTTCCTGATGACTCGCTGAACAGAAGGATGCACCCTCAGCCACCAAGGGTGTAGTTTGTGGGTGCCTCCTGGGAACATCAGGTTGGCAACACAAATGCCAGCCCCTCACCCTAGAGTGATTTCAGAGTGTCTCATCTCTTAACTCTGAGTCACAGAGCGGTGGGGAGGAAGACATGGGGCAGGGCAGGGCAGGGCAGGGCTGGGCGTGGCGTGGCCACTCATGGAGCAGAGGGAAGGGTGGAGAGGTGCACTCTGAGTTTGTTGCCTTCATTTGCTTTGTTGATGAAGGAGGAGCCTGAGGGGCCTGGCAGTGGGACTGAGGCTCTGGGCCTTCCTGCTCCCCTGGGTTTGACCCAGACTCCAGCTACCCAGGCATTGCCAGGCAGTATCCTGGGGAAAGGTGGGACCTGCTGCTTCCCACGCCTGCCCTGTGGGATGGGGAGGGCTTGGGGAAGGTGCTGCTATGCCCTGAGTCCCCGGAGCCAAAGACTCCCGAGGGTGACAAGCAGCCCTGCCCGACCTCAGGCCCAGGGGTGATGGCTGTTGGTGGCTCCCAGGCTGAGTCACTGTAGCCTTCCCGTCACTCTCTCTGACACCCAGAGACTGGGTCCTGCCATCCTGGGGTAAGGCAGGGGGCAGGAAGGTGCTTTCGAGAATGTAGCCCTGGCCGGGCACAGTGGCTCACGCCTGTAATCCCAGCACTTTGGGAGGCAGAGGTGGGCAGATCACCTGAGGTCAGGAGTTTGAGACCAACCTGGCCAACATGGTGAAACCACTAAAAATACAACATATACTAAATTACTAAATAAAAAAAATACTAAATACAAAAAGTACTAAAAATACAAAAAAGTAGCTGAGCGTGGTGGTGCACACCTGTAATCCCAGCTGCTTCAGAGGCTCAGGCAGGAGAATCGCTTGAACCTGGGAGGTAGAGGATGCAGTGAGCTGAAATCGTGCCACTGTACTCCAGTCTGGGAGACAGAGCGAGACTCTGTCTCATAAATAAATAAATAATAAATAAATAAATAAATACGTAGCTGTGCCAGAGGCTTAGGGAACTGGGAGTGTCTTAGGGAACTGGGGACCTAGGAGGGGAGGCCACGTGGGTAGGGCTCCCACCCCACTCACTTCAACTGGACATTCTCAGTTCAGGAAGTGATTTTGTTATTGTTGTTGTTGAGCTTCTGAGTAAAATTTCCTGTGAAAAGGGGTTTAGCAGGCGGGCGCAGTGGCTCAAGCCTGTAATCCTACCACTTTGAGAGGTCAAGGCAGGAGGATCGCTTGAACCCAGGAGTTCAAGACCAGTCAGGGCAGCATGGTGAAACCTTCTCTACAAAAAAAAAAAAAAAAAAAAAAAAAAAAAAAAAATTAGCTGGGGGTTGTGGCGTGCACCTGTAGTCTCAGCTACTCGGGAGGCTGAGGTGGGAGGATCACTTGAGCCCACGAGGTTGAGGCTGCAGTGAATGGCAATCACACCATTGGACTACAACCTGGGTGAGAGAGTGAGACACTGTCTCAAAAAAACAAAAATTAAAAAAAGAAAGAAAAAGGAGTTAACTACTAAAAATCATTTCTGGGCCAGGTGCAATGGCAGAGTCCCAGCTACTCTGGAGGCTGAGGTGGGAGGATCATTTGAGTTCTGTAGGTGAAGTCTGCAGTGAGCTGTGAGCACGCCACTGCACTCCAGCCTGGACAACGGAGCAACACCCTGTCTGAAAAAAATATAATAAATTAAAAATAAAGCCTGGGTGCAGTGGATCATGCCTGTAATCCCAGCACTTTGGGAGGCCTAGGTGGTCGGATCACCTGAAGTCAGGAGTTCGAGACCAGCCTGACCAACATGGAGAAACCCGGTCTCTACTAAAAATACAAAATTAGCCAGGCGTGGTGGCATATGCCTGTAATTCCAGCTACTCAGGAAGCTGAAGCAGGAGAATCACTTGAAGCTGGGAGGCAGAGGCTGTGGTGAGCCAAGATCGTGCCACTGCACTCTAGCCTGGGCAAGAAAAGCGAAACTCCATCTCAAAAATAAAATAAAATTAAAAAATAGCCGGGCGCTGTGGCTCACACCTGTAATCCCAGCACCTTGGGAGGCCAAGGCAGGCAGATCACAAGGTCAAGAGTTCGAGACCAGCCTGACCAACATGGTGAAACCTCATCTCTACTAAAAATACGAAAATTAGTCGGGCGTGATTGCACGCCCCTATAGTCCCAGCTACTCAGGAGGCTGAGGCAGGAGAATCGCTTGAACCCGGGAGGCGGAGATTGCAGTGAGTCAAGATGGCGCCACTACACTCCAGTCTGGGTGACAGAGCGAAACTGATCCCAAAAAATAAATAAATAGAATAATGAAGATAGAAATCATTTGGGGTCCCTGCACCCTACATAAAATGTCAAATCATAAACCCCAGGGCCTACTCTGAACCAAGACCTCTCTGTTCCTCACTGTACCTCCTCAGAGAAGAAACTCTGGAAGAGCAAGAAAAGTGTTAGACTCAGAGTCAAGCGGACCCAGTAGAAAACCCCAGAAAAGGACAGCTCAGACTCAATGGAAGCTTATTTTTCTCTCATTGTGAAGATGTCGGCCGGGCGCGGTGGCTCACACCTGTAATCTCAGTACTTTGGGAGGCCAAGGGGAGTGAATCGCTTGAGGTCAGGAGTTCGAGACCAGCCTGGCCAACATGGTGAAACCCCGTCTCTACTAAAAATACAAAAAAATTAGCTGGGCGTGGTGGCAGGCGCCTGTAATCCCAGCTACTTGGGAGGCTGAGGCAGGAGAATCACTTGAACCCGGGAGGTGGAGGTTGCAGTGAGCTGAATTGTGCCACTGCACTCCAGCCTGGGCAACAGAGCAAAATGCTGTCTCAAAAACAAAAACAAAAACAAAATCTGTTTAGAGGGGCCCAGGGCTTATATGGCAAGGAGTGTCACAGTGTCAGGAACCTGGGCTGCCTTTATTCCTTTCATCCTGTGGCTCTGCCGTACCTGGTTTTATTTTTTTTCTTTTTGTTTGCTGTTGTTTTTTGAGATGGAGTTTTGCCCTGTAGCCCAGGCTGGAGTGCAATGGCGCAATCTTGGCTCACTGCAACCTCCGCCTCCTGGGTTCAAGTGATTTTCCTGCCTCAGCCTCCAGAGTAGCTGGGACTATAGGCTCACGCCACCACGCCTGGCTGATTTTTTGTACTTTTAGTAGAGACGGGGTTTCACCATGTTGGCCAGGCTGGTCTCCAACTCCTGACCTCAGGTGATCCACCTGCCTCAGCCTCCCAAAGTACTGGGATTACAGGTGTGAGCCACTGTGCCTGGCCTCTTTTTTTCTTTTTTTTAGACACAGAGTCTGGCTCTGGGGCCCAGGCTTGAGTGCAGTGGTGAGACGGGAGAATAAGTCCTAGAGGAAGGGAACCTGAGGACTTCCCAGAACTAAATCAGATGGAGAGGAGAGAGGAGGCATTTCAGCTACGACAGGAAATATCCTCTTCATTTGCATAGGGCGTTCACCAAGTAAGTGACTTTGTAACTTCATCCTCTTCATTTACATAGGGTGTACACCCAGTAAATAGCTTTGTAACTTCACTTCAGTAACTCACTTTAAGCCTCTTCATTTACATAGGGTGCACACCAAATAACCAATGGAAACCTCTAGAGAGTATTTAAACTCCAGAAAATTCTGTGACGGGCTCTTGAGCCAACGTGCTCCGGCCGCTCCCACTCTGTGCAGTCGACTGTACTTTTGTTTTCAATAAAACTCTGCTTTTGTTTCTTCATTCTTTCCTTGATTTGTTTATACGTTTTGTCCAATTCTTTGTTCAAGACACCAAGATCCTGGAAACCCTCCAACGCTAACAGTGGCACGATCACAACTCACTGCAGCCTCTCCTGGGCTCAGGTGATCCTCCCACCTCAGCCTCTCAAGTAGCTGGGACTACAGGCCCACACCGCCATGCCCGGCTAATTTTCGTGCTTTTTGTAGAGATGGAGGTCTCCCTCGGTTTCCCAGGCTGGTCTCGAACGCCTGACCTTGTGATCCGCCCGCCTCAGCCTCCCAAAGTGTTGGGATTACAGGTGTGAACCACCGCGCCCGGCCTGGACCCTCCATTTCTTTTTTTTTTTTGAGACAGAGTCTCGCTCTGTTGCCAAGGCTGGAGGGCAGTGGCTCTATGTTGGCCCACTGCAAGCTCCGCCTCCCCGGTTCACGCCATTGTCCTGCCTCAGCCTCCCGAGTAGCTGGGACTACAGGCGCCTGCCACTACGCCTGGCTAATTTTTTTGTATTTTTAGTAGAGACTGGATTTCACCATGTTAGCCAGGATGGTCTCCATCTCCTGACCTCATGATCCACCCGCCTCGGCCTCCCAAAGTGCTGGGATTACAGGCGTGAGCCACCGCGCCCGGCCTAGTTTTCTTTTTTAAGACGGAGTCTCACTCTGTCGCCGAGGCTTCACTGCAACCTCCGTCTCCCAGGTTCAAAGGTTTCTCCTGCCTCAGCCTCCCAAGTAGCTGGGATTATAGGCGCCCACCACCATGCCTGGCTAATTTTTGTATTTTTAGTAGAGACGGGGTTTTGCCATGTTGGCCAGGCTGGTCTTGAACTCCTGACCTCAGGTGATCCACCCGCCTCAGCCTCCCAAAGTGCTGGGATTACAGGCATGAGCCACTGCACTGGGCCACATGAATAGTTTTCATTTCTGAGATCACTTCGTGTTCAAAATGGTTGCTGAAACTCCTGCCATTTTATCTGCATTCCCAGAAGTGAGAAGGGAGTAGAGTGTGCCTTTCCCTTTAAGAACTCTTTATGAAGTCAAACACACTCCTTACATTGAGGCCAAAAATTAGTCACATGGCCACACCTATGTGTAAGGGAGGCTGGGAAATGTCTTAATTCCAGGCAGCAAATGCCCTGATAAAATATCAGCTTCTAATCCCTTGGATCTCTGTGGGAGGTGGAGGTGGGGAGTGGAAGTGGAGGACCGTGAGCAATAGCTGATGTAATCACTGAGAAGCTGTGTGTCCTTGGGCAAATCCCTTCACCTCTCTGAGCTCCTGCCTGTCTTTGAAATGAGGATGTAGAAAGATCATCTCCAAGGACACTCCCTGCCTTGACATTTTGAGACTCTGGCGCAGGGAGCCCAGGGTGGTCAAAGACAAGAACAGAAGCTGCTTGGGTTTAAAAGTTGCCTGGCCAGGCACGGTGGCTAACGCCTGTAATCCCAGCACTTTAGGAGGCCGAGGCGAGTGAATCTCCAGGTCAGGAGTTCGAGAGCAGCCTGGCCAACACGGTGAAACCCCGTCTCTACTAAAAATACAAAAAAATTACCTGGGCATAATGACAGGCACATGTAATCCCAGCAACTTGGGAGGCTGAGGCAGGAGAATCGCTTGAACCCAGGAGGCGGAGGTTGCAGTGAGCCAAGATCGCGCCACTGCACTCCAGCCCTGGCGACAGAGTGAGACTCCGTCTCAAAAAAAAAAAAAAAAAAATGTTGCCTGTTCTGGGCTGGGCGCGGTGGCTCATGCCTATAATCCCAACAATTTGGGAGGCTGAGGCAGGCAGATCACAAGGTCAGGAGTTCAAGACGAGCCTGGCCAACATGGAGAAATCATGCCTCTGCTAAAAATACAAAAAATTAGCCGGGCATGGTGGCAGGCACCTGTAATCCCAGCTACTCGGGAGGCTGAGGCAGGAGAATCTCTTGAACCCAAGAGACAGAGGTTGCAGTGAGCCCAGACTGTGCCACTGCACTCCAGACTGGGCAACAGAGCAAGACTCCATCTCAAAAAAAAAAAGAATGGCTAAGGCAGAGCAGGTCCGAAGGCAGCTAGTTGCCCTTTTGTTTGTTTGTTTCTAAGATGGAGTCTCCCTCTGTTTCCCAGGCTGGAGTGCAGTGGCATGATCTTGGCTCCCTGCAACCTCTGCCTGCTGTATTCAAGCGATTCTCCTGCCTCAGCCTCCAGAGCAGTTGGGATTACAGGCATGAGCCACCACGCCTGGCTAACTTTTTGTATTTTTAGTAGAGACGGGGTTTCCCCATGTTGGCCTGTCTGGTCTAGAACTCCTGACCTCAGATGATCTCCCTGCCTTGGCCTCCCAAAGTGCTGGGATTACAGGCCTAAGCCACCATGCCTGGCCAAGCTTGCCCATTTTTATGGTTATTTCTTGATTACATGCTAAATAGAGGGTGTATTATTCATGCCTCCCCATTTTAGACCATATAGGGTAACTTCCTGACGTTGCCATGGCATTTGTAAACTTTCATGGTGCTGGTGGGAGTGTAGCAGTGAGGACGCCCTGAGGTCACTCTTAATCGCCATCTTGGTTTTGGTGGGTGTTGGCCAGCTTCTTTACTGCAGCCTGTTTCATCAGCAAAGTCTTTGTGACCTGTATCTTGTGCCGACCTCCTATCTCATCCTGTGACTTAGAATGTCTTAACCTCCTGGGATTGCAGCCCAGTAGGTCTCAGCTTCATTTTACTCAGCCCCTGCTCAAGATGGAGTTGCTCTGGTTCACACAACTCAACACTTTGGGAGACTGAGATGGGAGGATCCCTTCAGCACAGGAGTTCAAGACCAGCCTGGGCAACATGGCGATACTCCCTCTCTGCAAAAAATATATGTAAATTGCCGGGCACGGTGGCCTGTAATCCCAGCACTTTGGGAGGCCACGGCGGGAGGATCACGAGGTCAGGAGATCGAGACCACCTTGGCTAACACGGTGAAACCCCGTCTCTACTAAAAATACAAAAACTCAGCCCGGCGTGGTGGCGGGCACCTGTAGTCCCAGCTACTCGGGAGGCTGAGGCAGGAGAATAGCGTGAACCCAGGAGGCAGAGCTTGTGGTGAGCTGAGATCGCGCCACTGCACTCCAGCCTGGGTGACAGAGCGAGACTCTGTCTCAAAAAAAAAAAAAAAAAAGATGTATATTTACTTATTTACAAAAACCGGGCCAGGCTGGGCGCGGTGGCTCACACCTGTAATCCCAGCACTTTGGGAGGCCAAGACGGGTAGATCACAAGGTCAGCAGATCGAGACCATCCTGGCTAACACAGTGAAACCCCGTCTCTACTAATAATACAAAAAAAAAATTCGCCAGATGTGGTGGCGGACACCTGTAGTCCCAGCTACTCGGGAGACTGAGGCAAGAGAATGGCATGAACCCAGGAGGCAGATCTCGCAGTGAGCCAAGATCGCGCCACTGCGCTCCAGCCTGGGCGACAGAGTGAGACTCAGTCTCAAAAACAAAAGCAAACAAACAAAAAAACTGGGCCAGACGCGGTGGCTTAGCCTGTAATCCCAGCACTTTGTGAGGCTGAGGTGGGCCCACCTGAGGTCGGGAGTTCGAGACCAGCCTGCCCAACATGGTGAAACCCCATATCTACTAAAAATACAAAAATTAGCTGGGCATGGTGGCAGGTGCCTGTAATCCCAGCTATTATTGAGGCTGAGGCAGGAGAATCACTTGAACCGGGAGGTGGAGGTTGCAGTGAGCCGAGATGGCACCACTGCACTCCATCCTGGGCAACAGAGACTGTATCTCAGAGAAAAAAAAAAGGGGGGGGGCAGGTGTTTTGTCTCACGCCTGTAATCCCAGCACTTCGGGAAGCCGAGGCGGGCAGATCACAAGGTCAGGAGTTCGAGACCAGCCTGGGCGACATGGTGAAACCCCCGTGTCTACTAAAAATACAAAAATTAGCCAGGCGTGGTGGCGCATGCCTGTAATCCCAGCTACTCGGGAGGCTGAGGCAGGAGAATCATTTGAACCCAGGAGGCAGAGGTTGCGGTGAGCTGAGATTGCGCCACTGCACTCCAGCCTGGGTGACAGAACAAGACTCTGTCTCAAACAAACAAACAAAAAACGATCTGTCCTCTGGTGACACGGGAGCCTGGATGCCTTGCTGGAGTGGATAGTCTGTGGCTCGGGGGAGACTCTCTAGGAGCCCCCAGGCCACCCTGTTCCTTCCTGCAAGGCTACTTGCTGCCCTGACCCCTCTGAGGGGCAGGCAGGGAGGGGAGAGGCACTGGGGAAACTGCAGGGGGATGTGGTTGTGATCCAGGCCTGTGGAGGGAGTGCTGGGGAAGGGGAGACTTCAGCAAGGGCAGATGAAGCCTTGTTTTTTCCTTTTTTCTTTCTTTCTTTTTTTTTTTTTTTTTTTTTGCGATGGAGTCTCGCCCTGTTGCCCAGGCTGGAGTGCAGTGGCGTGATCTCAGTTCACTGCAAGCTCTGCCTCCCGGGTTCATGCCCTTCTCCTGCCTCAGCTTCCCAAGTAGCTGGGACTACAGGCGCCCACCATCACGCCCGGCTAATTTTTTGTATTTTTAGTAGAGACGGGGTTTCACCCTGTTAGCCAGGATGGTCTCGATCTCCTGACCTCGTGATCCACCTGCCTCGGCCTCCCAAAGTGCTGGGATTACAGGCGTGAGCCACTGCTCCCAGCCAGATGAAGCATTGTGACTCTAGGGCATGTAAATTCCCTGGCAGCCAGGCCCTGGGAGCACCCCTCCCCTCCTGTGCCCTTGACACCTACCTCAGTGAGGCAGCCCCAGCAGCCGGGCAGTGGGCGGCAGAGAAGGGTGTCCTGGGACAGAGGTTTTCCTAGTCTTTCTTCAGAATGGAGGAAGCCCCTGGGGTGCCTGGACTTCCTGTAGGACCCAGGGAAGAAAGATGGCCATTCTCCCTGTCGCGTGATGGGGGCTCCAGCTGTTTTACACAAGAAGACATATAACTTTCATGGTTAAGAGCAGGGGTTCTGGGCCTGATGGCTTGGGTTCGAATCCCGGCTCCTATGCATGCCAGCTGTGTTACATACTTCTAGACAAATTACATAACTTCTCTGTGCCTCACTTTCCTCCACTGCAAAACGAGGAGTCCTGAGCAGGTGAGATCCCCTGACAGCTCTCGGGACAGCTGGAGTGCTCAGTGAAAGCTCTTCGTGCAATCACTGCGGAGGGTGACCAGGGACATCGATAGGACGCTGGAGGGATTACCCTATGTCCCCCGACCCGCCCGACTACAACAGCCTTGCAGATAAGCCACGAGCCTGCCTGCTCCTCCTCGTGAGTTGGAGACAGGAGAGGGAGCAGAGTTCAGGGGCTTGTTTCTTTCTTTCTTTTTTTTTTGAGATGGAGTTTCGATTCTGTTGCCCAGGCTGGAGTGCAGTGGCGCAATCTCGGCTCACTGCAACCTCTGCCTCCCAGGTTCAAGTGATTCTCCTGCCTCAGCCTCCTGAGTAGCTGGGATTACAGGCCTGCGCCACCATGCCTGGCTAATTTTTGTATTTTTAGTAGAGACAGGGGTTTCACCATGTCGCCCAGGCTGGTCTCGAACTCCTGACCTTGTGATCTGCCCGCCTTGGCCTCCCAAAGTGCTGGGATTACAGGCGTGAGCCACGGTGCCTGGCCAGGACCCTCCATTTCTTTTTTTTTTTTTTTTTTTTTTTTTTGAGATGGAGTCTCGCTCTGTCACCCAGGCTGGAGTGCAGTGGTGCGATCTCAGCTCACTGCAAGCTCCGCCTCCCGGGTTCATGCCATTCTCCTGCCTCAGCCTCTCGAGTAGCTAGGACTACAGTCGCCTGCCACCACACCTGGCTAATTTTCTGTATTTTTAGTAGAGACTGGGTTTCACCGTATTAGCCAGGATGTTCTTGATTTCCTGATCGCGTGATCCTCCCGCCTCGGCCTCCCAAAGTGCTGGGATTACAGGTGTGAGCCACTGCGCCCGGCTGGACCCTCCATTTCTAATAAGCTCCTGGGAGAGTCCTCCCTGGTGCTCTGAGGGTGACTGACCGGCAAGGCACTTCTGGGGCCCCTAAGCCCTCCAACCTCAGCTGCTGTGGAGAGCTGACCCCCAGGGGAGTACGTCAGGGTGCTGGGTGGGGCACCAGTTTCAAGGATGCCCAACACAGCCCTCCCCTTGGGGCTGCAAGGCCCTGGGACCAGCGGCCCAGCCCTGTCCCCAGGCAGGTCCTCAGACCTAGGACCACAGGGGGGTCTGGGGCCCAGGCCAAGGGCAAACCTGCTGGGATCTGAGCCCCTCTTGGTGGCTTCCTGGTGTGTGCACATCCTTCCCCAGGCAGGAGAGGAAGCAGGGCCAGCTCCTTCTCCTCCCAGGGCAAGACCTGAAGTCTCTGTTTGTGTGTCTGTCAGACTTGCTGTGAGGGCCACAGTGTCTCCACTGAGGCCTTATCCAGCCTCCAGGAGGTCCCATTTTTCAGGGAAAGGGCCTGCTGCTGAAGGCTGTCACTCATCTGACTTCAAATCCCAGCTCTGCCACTTCCAGGCTGTGTGACTCCAGGCAAGTTGCTTAACCTCTCTGTGCCCACTACTTCTGTAAATGGGGATATCATGGGATTCTCGTGAGCTGTGAATAGCATCTGTTGATGTGTTTGTTTCTGTGCATTCAGACTTTCCCTCTTTCCTCAGGCACTTGCCGGGCAGCCTTCTGTGCCACATCCCTGACCCTGCCCCAGGGCACACCAGCTTCAGTGACAGGGATGGCTGGTGAACAGGAGGCCCAGGCCTGCTGCTCTGGCCGATGTAAATCCAAGGAGCTGTGATGACGCGGGAGAGGGGCGGTTTGGGAAAAAATGTGTGAAGGATGCCCCCGTGGGAGCAGGAGCCCCACTGGCAGGGGCAGGCCGGGGGTAACTCAGCCACAGGGAAGGGGCCCAGCCGGGGCTGGAGGGAGGGCCACCTGCAGAAATGAGCTGTGGGGGGGCGAGAAGGGCAGGCAGCTGGGGCTGAGGAAGACCAGCCCCCAAGACACCCATGGAGAAACTGAGGCAGAATCTGTACTTGGAGCCAGCCACCGCTCTCCACTGGCCCACACTGCTGTGATCCTTCCCACGCTGCGCGGCTGGCTGGAACCCAAACCCCCCACAGCGGGCCTGGCCTTCAGAGCTGGTTCCAGATGTTTAAATACCCAGCCTTCACCTCCCGTCACAGACACTTCCACTGGAAGGTGTTGGTGCCACATCCCCAGTGCTGCCAGGCTAATATGGGGTGGGGGCCTTGCAGCCCCAAGGGGAGGGCTGTGTTGAGCGTTCTGGACACTGGTGCCCCACCCAGCACCCAGCAGGGGCACTCTGCGCTGTGCTGCCCCTCCCCAGCTGCCTGGGCCACCAGTTCAGGAGAGCTCACCCCTTTGCAACCTTTCCCAACTCAATGCCACGCCAGGAAGTCAGGAGGGGGATGACCCTGCCACACTCTGCCCCCCAGCTCCCTTCCCACCATGCCCCGGGACCAAGACAGGAGGGCCAGCTGGGCCCAGGGCACTTCGCCAGTATCATCGGGTCCTCACCACAGCCCTCAAGGGGGTGTTCCTGTTCCACACACAGAAGACTGAGGCCCAGGGATGGGACTGGGTCGTGTGAAACGCCAGGCCATGCCCGGCCCCGCAGAGTCCTGCGTAGCTGCCCGGCCGGCCCAGGGCTCAGATCCCCTCCTCCAGGCCTGGCCCCAGCTGCTATTGGGGCCCACTGAGGCCTACTGGATCCTAACTGGATGCAATTAGGACATCACCTGATGCCCCTGTCAGGGTGGCTCCTCCCAACCGCTAGAGGACTCAGGCCAAAGGCATTTGGGGTGCAGCCCCCACCCTGGCCCTGGTGGGCCGGAGTCATGCTCTATGTGCCCCCCAGCTGTCCAAGCAGGGGTGTACAGAGACTCTGGGGTGGGGTGAGGGTGAGAGCCTGAGAAGGCTGTTGCGGAGGACACACCGGAAACTGTCACCAGGCCCTGCCCTCAGCCGACCCGGGCCAGGGCCAGGAGGGCCTCCTGGGGGCCGCCATCTTTCTGTTCTGGGAAGGCCAGGCTGGGGGTGAGCTCCATGGGGCTCCTGTGTCCTCATCCATTGGTGGGATGCGGCTCCCTCCCGGGGACCTCTCAGGGCACTGATAAGAGCCACCAGGACTAGGTTCAGCCCACAGCAGGTGGGATGCACCCGCCCCTTGGCGGGCCGGGGGTGGAGACCGGGAGTTTCTGGAGAAGGCCTTTCAGATTCTGAAGGCAGGCACTCCATGCCCCATCCCTGGAGCGCGAGTGACAAGTGTCTTTGTCACAGAAGGACAGAAAGGCCCTACGTGGCCCCTGAGCAGCTCTGGGGAACATTCTTGGTCCGGGTTCCTGTCTGGGGGTTCTGGAGTCTAGGATTCCAGGATCTGGGTTTTGAGGTCTTGGGTTGTAGGGTCTGCGGTTTGAAGCCCCTCTTGTAACCCAGGACAGAGGTGAAAGCAGTGGGGTGGACTGGGCAGCCCCCAAAGTTCAATGGACCTAAAGTGCTGGTGCTCAGCCCTGCCCAGGCAGCTGGCAGGTGGTCCAGAAACCCCTCGTTCTATGGAGACTGAGGCCCAAGTCTTTGGAGGTGGTCAGGGGTCTGTCCCAGAGCACCTTTGGGCGAAAGGTAGGGGGAAGACCACCCAAGACGACCCTCCCCAACACCAGCAAGGGAGCCCAGCATCTCCTCTGAGGCCACTGCCCTGTGGGTCCAGCCTCTCTGGGCTGGGTGTGTGGAGGCCGCTCCTATGGCGGTGTGGGCGGTGCAGCTCATTCCCCCGGGGCTCCCAGCCTCCCACCCCCATCCGGCCTCCTCCTCCAGAGCCTGGGGACTGGTGGATGCCTGCCAAGAACGCCCACAGCCTGCCAGGATGCGCAGGAAGCACACACACGCCTAATCCCACCCCCATTGTCATAGATCCCTCTTGATTCTGGGCCTGTCTTTCTGGGGGAAACTGAGGCCCAGAGGGATTGAGGGCCCCCAAGGTCCCCGAGTCTCCAGGTGTACCTTGGAGGCTGTGCTTTAGTGGGGCCTCCCCCGGCCTTCTTTGCAGTCCTGAGTGTGTGAAGGGGAGGAATCGGGGGCTGCCAGGCCAGGAGCCAAGGCCGGGGGTGGGGAGCAGCTGGCAGGTGTCCCGGCAGGAGGCCCGGCTAGGGGAGACCAGAACTCCTCTGCTCCTCCCTCCCAACGGCTTCCCACCCCACTCTACAGCAGGCCGCTGGCAGGCCCGGAAGGGCTTGGGAGCCGGAGGGTGCTTGCCGGGGCTCCTGAAGGCCTGAGGAGCTCCTGAGGGACTGGAGGCTTCGGGCCTGGAAGGCTGGAAGGCACTGGCCCTGCAGCTTGGTTCCCGGGGCTCCACGTGTCTGAATGCAAAACAAAGGCGGCTCACAATGAGAAGGCGGGTGCTGGGGATCTGCCCCCGTCGTGCATGTGTCACCACACGGTGTCGAAGCGGACACCTGCCTCCGGGATGAGCGCATTGGGCAACACTGCATGCTTTGCATTGGGAACATGTTTGTGTGTGTGCGTTGGGGGTGTGTGTGCGGTGGGGGGCTATGGGCTGGGATGTCCCTTGAGGTGATCAGCTCTCTACGTTCCGCACACACAAACACACAGTGTGACTGAGACACACATGTGAGTATTGAGATCTCCAGGGCTGACTTCCTGCCGGAAGCATGCCCTGGCCCCCGTCACCTTGTGTGAAATTCCTCCACCTGAGCACCTTCCCGGTAGAGCCACGCGTTGCCTGTGATGGAGGGGCCATGACTAACCCAGGCACTAGGCCTGGAGGCTGGGCTGGCTGCGCTGTACAGTTGCAAGGACCTGCCAGACAGCTCTGTGGACAGAGCCTCCGTCGGGGTTTCACCACGTTGGCCAGGCTGGTCTTGAACTCCTGACCTCAGGTGGTCTGCCTGCCTCGGCCTCCCAAGGTGCTGGGATTATACGCATGAGCCACAGTCTCGCTCTGTCACCCAGGCTGGAGTGTAGTGGCACAATCACAGCTCACTGTAGCCTCGACCTCCTCAGCTCAAGCGATCCTCCCACCTCAGCCTCCCAAGTAGCTGAGACTACTACAGGTGTGCACCACCACACCCGGCTAATTTTTTAAGTTTTTGTAGAGATGGGGTTTCGCCATGTTATCCAGGCTGGTCTTTTTTTTTTTGTTTTGTTTTGAGACGGAGTCTAGCACTGTCACCCAGGCTGGAGTGCAGTGGCGTGATCTCAAGTTGCTGCAACCTCCACCTCCTGGGTTCCAGCGATTCTCCTGCCTCAGCCTCCCGAGTAGCTGGGAGTCCAGGCACCTGCCACCACGACCAGCTAATTTTTTTATTTTTAGTAGAGACGGGGTTTCACTGTGTTAGCCAGGATGGTCTCGAACTCCTGACCTTGTGATCCGCCCACCTCGGCCTCCCATTTACAGTAGACTGTTTTCTACTGTAAAAGGCTTTTTCAATCAACTTTGGTATTAGGTGTCTATTTACTACTGCATAGTCAATTACCTCAAAGCTTAGCAACTGAAAACCAAACGCCATCTCGCAGCATAGGTGGGTTAGAAATTCAGAAGTGGCCCAGCCCATGGCTCTGGCCCAGGGTCTCCAGCAGGCTGCAGAGGGGACAGCAGTGACTTGGAGGGATTTCTTCCAAGCTCACCCACAGGGGGAAGCCTTCAGCTCCTGGCCACCTTCGCCTCTCCGGCCTGGGACAGCTGACTCTCCCCAGGGCAAGAGAGCAAGAAGGGGGGGCCACCACTACCCAAAACAAAAGTTGGTCTTTTTTTGGCCAGGTGCGGTGACTCACGCCTATAATCCCAGCGATTCTCCTGCCTCAGCCCCCCGAGTAGCTGGGAGTCCAGGCGCCTGCCACCACGCCCAGGCTGATTTTTGTATTTTTAGTAGAGACATGGTTTCACCATGTTGGCCAGGCTGGTCTCAATCTCCTGACCTTGTGATCTGCCCATCTGAGCCTCCCAAAGTTCTGGGATTACAGGCGTGAGCCACTGTGCTGGGCCATGTGGGTCGTATTCTATTCCTAAGTCACCCAGTCCTACCCACACTCAGGGAGTACACAAGGGAACAGACAGCAGGAGGCAGGGATTGCTGGGGGCCTTCCTGGAGGCTGAGTATGATGAGCGCCCGGTGAGGAGTCCTACAAAGTTGGTAAGGGGTCCGCTCTTGGAATGGATCGTAGTCATACTCGAACACTTACTCTGTCCAGGCACTGCTCCAAGAACTTTATGTTGAGCCCTCACTACCACCTTGGGCTCGGCATGTGAGCCTCACTTTACGGAATAATAAAGAGAAGAGAAGTGGCCAGGCACAGTGGTTCACGCCTGTAATCCCAGCACTTTGGGAGGCCGAGGTGGGTGGATCGTGAGGTCGGAGTTCGAGACTAGCCTGGCCAACAAGGTGAATCCCCGTCTCTACTAAAAATGCAAAAATTAGTGGGGCGTGGTGGCGGGCGCCTATAATCCCAGCTACTCAGGAGGCAGAGGCAGAAAACTGCCTGAATCCAAGAGATGGAGGGTGCAGTGAGCCAAGATCGTGCCACTGCACTCCAGCCTGGGTGACAGAGCGAGACTCTATCTCAAAAATAAATAAATAAATAAAATAAAAAAAAGAGAGAGAGAGGAAAAGTGTCTTGTTCTCAAATCCCTCAGCCCATAAGAGCTCTGGAGCTGGCTGGGATTCCAGTCTACATGGGTTTGTACCCAAGGAGGAAGCTGGGCTGGGCAGGCTGTGCCTCAGAGCCTGCAAGATATGGCACTATGTCCCCCATGGGAGCTGATATTGGATCAGTTCAGGAAAAGGTGACATCAGAAGAGGCTCTGTGGGTGCCCTAAGCCAGGGGTGGAGGGCAGAGGGTTGGGGAGAGGAGCTCACCCCCAGGAGAGGGTTTGGAGGTTAGACAGAAGAGGGCTAAGGTCAGGGACCAAGGGCTCTGTGTCTAAAGATGGCCCAGGGAAGAGGGAGTCAGCTAGAATGTGGGGGAGGCCAGGAAGGGAGGCTGCAGTGGTGTGGACTCCTCTGCAGGAGCAGCCTGGCCATGTGATGGCACAGGAGCAGGGCAGCGTGGGGTCAAGGCCCACAGGGGGCAAGCTTTCCGTTCCGGTGGCTGGGTGGGAGCATGGCCACATTCTTTACCCTCTCATTGGGCCAGTGCTGCCCCAGACCCTGTCTGGGCTGATGCCCCAGATGTGGCCTGCCAGCTCACCAGCCCTGAGGCCACGTGTCCCAGGTGCCCCACCCGGGGCGGTGCCCCCCCATCCATTGCCCCAGCTAGTCCAGCCTATGTGCCCAGCACCCTGCCCTCTAGCCTCTGCCCTCAGCCCCTGGGAGCCATCACTCTTCATGAAGCAACCTGACCCTTAGGCCAGGCTGTCACACTGCTGGGCACCTCCCTCTCCAGGGAGCCCAACAGACGTCCTAACCTTTCCCAGACCTTTTTATTTTATTTTTTTAAATATATATATGCACGTATTAGAGATGGGGTCTTGCTATGTTGGCCAGGTTGGTCTTGAACTCCTGTCCTCTCACATCGGCCTCCCAAAGTGCTGGGATTACAGGCATGAGCCACGGCATTTGGCCTCTCATACCTTTGAGAGTGCAGATGAGGAATTTTTGCAGAGGGCCACAAGAATCCTGCCTACTCCGCCCTCCCCCGCCCCCACCACCACCCAACAAATGCAGATATTTGGTGTCTCCCCAGAATCAATGTCCAGCACTCACCAGGGGCCACAAGCCCTGGCCAAGGCCTGTCTGCCTGTCCCAGTGTCTGTCTCTGTCCCTCCCGACCAGCCTCGGAATCTCTCCAGCAAACACTGGACCACTCTGCCCGGCTCCTCCCAGCTGCATGTATCCACCCAGCCCCCAGATGCCAGCAAAGGCTCCACTGACCACCCCCCAGAGGGGCGGGTGTGCCGTCCCCACCACCTAGTCCAGCCTAGCTGGCCACAGGCCTCCACCCGCATTTCCAGCCTTTGTCCGAGTCATTCTCCTGCCTAACCTGTCCCTCTCCCTTCTCCAAACGTCCAGATCTTTCCCATCCTTTAGGGCTCTGCTCAAAGCCGGATAGCTGAGTCTGAGAAAGTGACCCAACCTCTTTGAGCCTTAGTTTCCCCCCTCCCTTGCCAGGGAACTGGGAGGAGGGAAGAGGGTGCGGCCGTGGGGAGCCTGGCTCCCCGCATCCGCCCAGCCCGCGGGGCTCCCCATCCCGGCCAGTGGCTCCCTAAGCCTTGCCAGGTGGTGACGGCTCCTTGGGCGGCCCATTCCCGCCCCGCAAAACCAGCTAAGGGCCCCTGAAACGCTGCCCGGAACGCCCCGCGGGAGAACATCTGCGCCAGGGGCCGGGGGCCGGGGGCCGCGGCGGGCGAAATCCGAGAGGCCCGGGCTCCTCCTGCTGCGCGGCCGGGGAGGGGGGCGCCTGCCGGGTCGGGGCTGGAGGACCTGCGCGCGGCCCCGGGAGGCCCCGCCTCGCCTTCCAGTCTGTGAAATGGGGCGACGGCCTGGGCGTGGCGGCGAGTTCTTGTCCGCTGCCGGCGGGCGCGGTCGTCGAGGACACAGCTAGGGGAGGCGCAGAAACACCCGGAGGCGGCACCGCCGTCTCCTCCCCGGGATCCCACACCCCGCAGGTTCAGGAGGAAGGCGCGGCCCGAGGCCTCCGGGGCGGGGTGTCCCCGAGACGGGAACCCGAACCCGACGGCCTCCGTTCCGCCTGCGCCCCTTCAAGGCTCCCGGACGGGCCTCAGTGGCTTCCCCGCCCCTCCCCACCGCGTCCCGGCTCCCCGGGCGGGGGGTGGGGGGGGTCGCGTGCGGACGGTTCCCCACCCCGCGCGTGCGCACCTCTCCTCCCCCAGGAGATTAAGTGGGGACTCTGAACCCTGTCTCCAGCCCTGATGGGGAGGAGTAATCCGATTGCTTTCCAAACCCGGCCTCGCCTTGCAAACTTGTCCACCCCCAACCCACCCGGACGGCCGGGCCGCCGCCTCCTCTGGGCCTCGTCTCCCCTTCAAGCCCCCGGCCTTGTGGGGAAGGGGGAATCCTTGACGCATTTTACAGACGGCACATAGGGTCGGGGCAGTGCTTTAACCGGAGACCAGGAGCCTGACTCTTCCAGGGCTCTGTGAGACAGCCTGGTGCCTGGCGGGGGTGACACAGCCCCACTGTCTGCCCCGCGTTTACAGCCAGGAACCACACCTGAGCCATTTCCAAGGGTGACATGTGTCACAGAACTGTGGGGAAGGGGCTATCCAGAGATTCCCAGTAGGAGACACGGGGAGACCTGCAGGGTGAGTTTGGACGGGACTAGAGAGGGGGCAGGGCTGGGGGAAGAAAGTGCCCCCAGCGGTTGGCCCTGAGAGAGGATTCCAGGGCTCCCTTGAAAGAACAGCGGGGTGGGGGTGGGGAGCAGAAAGGAGGCCTGCGGGCCACATGCAGCCTCTGGATCTCAGCCCAGCAGCCCGAGGAGCCACAGCTGGGTGCAGAGTGGCTCATTCGTATTTTACTAGATCCCTCGGGCCTCTGTGCCTTCCCAGGGCTCTGCAAGCCGGGGAAGAAAAGAATCGTTGCTTCATCCTGCAACTCCCAGACGGTGCTTCCCGACCCTGGTGCGGGTGGTGAGGAGGGGGAGGGAGGTGGTTGTGAGGCCTGCTTTGCAGTTGTTTGTGGAATACAGTAAGATTCTTGGCTGGGATGAGCCGAACAGGACGAAGAACCGAATTCTGCCGGGGCCGCTTAAGGAAGACTGCCTAGGCGAGGTGGCCCAGGCTGGGGATGAGCCAGTGGAGGAGGAAGTCTCGAGAGAGGGGACAGCAGTGAGCCCAGCACCCTCTCCATGGGAGTCTGAGTGTAAGGCATCCCGACCTGTCTGCCAGCGTCTCTCTCTGCTGGGGGCTGCTAAGGTGCAGATAGGAAGCGGTCGGGGGCCTCTGTGTATGGGTGGAGGAGGCGGATGGTGGGGGGCAGGCAGGCGACGGGGCAGGGAAGACCCTATGAAAACTAGGACCTGTCCTATGGACAGGCTTCACCGGCGGACAGTGGGGGAATCTGGTTAAACTCTGAGTCTAAACCTCACGCTGGCCGGGCACGGTGGCTCATGCCTGTAAATCCCAGCACTTTGGGAGGCCGAGGCAGGCAGATCACAAGGTCAGGAGTTTGAGACCAGCCTGGCCAATATGGTGAAACCCCGTCTCTACTAAAAACACAAAAATTAGCCGGGCGTGGTGGCAGGCGCCTGTAGTCCCAGCTACTTGGGAGGCTGAGGCAGCAGAATTGCTTGAACCTGAGAGGCAGAGGTTGCAGTGAGCTGAGATCGTGCACTCCAGCCTGGGTGACAGAGTGAGACTCTGTCTCAAAAAAAAAAAAAAAAAGAAAGAAATTACCAGGGTAGGGCATGGTGGCTCACGCCTGTAATCCCAGCACTTTGGGAGACGGAGGCAGGTGGATCGCTTGAGTCCAGGAGTTCAAGAGCAGCCTGGGCAATGTGGTGAAACCTCATCTTTATTAAAAATACAAAAATTAGCCAGGTGTGGTGGTGGGCGCCTGTAATCCCAGGTACTTGGGAGGCTGAGGCAGGAGAATCGCTGGAACCTGGGGTGCGGAGGTTTGCAGTGAGCTGAAATTCCACTACTGCACTCCAGCCTGGGCGACAGAGCAGGACTCCATCTTGAAAAAAAAAATCTCTACAAAAAAATACAAAAACTAGCCGGGCATGGTGGTGTGCACCTGTAGTCCCAGCTGGCTCGGGAGGTTGAGGTGGGAGGATTGCTTGAGCCTGGGAGGCGGAGGTGCCAGTGAGCCGAGATCACACCACTGCACTCCAGCCTGGGCAAGAGAGCAAGACTGGAAAGAAAAAAAGAGAGAAAGAAAGAAAGAGAGAGACAGAGAGAGAGAGAAAGGAAGGAAGAAAGGGAGGGACGGAGGGACGGAGGGAGGGAGGGAGAGAATGAAGGAAGGAAGGAAGGAAAAAGGAAGGAAAGAAAGAGGAAGGAAGGGAGGGAGGAAGGAAGGAGAAAAATAAATAACTGAACACATATTTATCTTACAGTTTCTCCACATCAGGAGTCTGTGCATGATTAAGCTGGTCATTTGCTTAGGGTCTCACAAAGCTGCAATCAAGGGTCCCACTGGGATTTCAGTTGAATTTGGCTGGGGAAGGATACGCTTCTGAGCCACCGAAGTTGCTGGTGGAGTTCAGTTATTTGCTGCTGTAGGACTGAGGGCTTCAGTTTTGTTTTGTTTGTTTGTTTTTTGCCAACTATTGGATTTAGAGGCTGTCCTTAGATCCTAGAGGCAAGCTGTTATCTCCACATGGCAGTTCCTTGCCATGGGGGCCTTTCAGTGTAACAGCATGGCAGCTTCCTTCTTTTTCTTTTTTTGAGACAGAGTCTCACTCTGTCACCCAGGCTGGAGTGCAGTGGAGAGATCTCGGCTCACCGAAACCTCTGCCTTCTGGGTTCAAGTGATTCTCCTGCCTCAGCCTCCCAAGTAGCTGGGATTACAGGCATGTGCCACCATGCCTGGCTAGTTTTGTATCTTTAGTAGAGACGGGGTTTCTCCATGATGGTCAGGCTGGTCTCGAACTCCCGACCTCCGGCGACCCACCCACCTTGGCCTCCCAAAGTGCTGGGATTACAGGTGTGAGCCACCATGCCCAGCAGCAGCTTCCTTCTTCTAAGCCAGTGAGAGGGGAAGAGACTCAAGCGAGATAGGCACAACAGTCTTATGTGATGTAATCCCATATATTCCATCACCTTTGTCCTGTTGGTTCCAGCGAGTCACAGGTCATTCCCACACTCAACAGGAGGGACTACAAAACGGTGCAAACACCGAGGGCAGGGATCTTTGGGAGCTACTTTTTTTTTTTTTTTTTTTTTTGAGACAGAGTCTCGCTCTGTCGCCCAGGCTGGAGTGCAGTGGTGTGATCTTGGCTCACTGCAACCTCTGCCTCCCGGGTTCAAGCGATTCTCCTGCCTCAGTCTCTCGCATAGCTGAGACTACAGGCACATGCCACCACGCCCAGCTAAATTTTTTTTGTATTTTAATAGAGACAGATTTCACCGTGTTGCCCAGGCTGACCTCGAACTCCTGAGCTCAGGCAATCCACCCTTCTCAGCCTCCGAAAGTGCTAAGATGATAGGCGTAAGCCACTGCCTCCAGCCTGGGAGTTATTTTGGAAGGACCCTAACTACACTAAGCAACTAAAAAGAAAGGCAATTATTAACTTCATGAAAAACTGAAAGTTAAACCAGAAAGGAAACTTAACCACAGTGCATTAGTTGGCTCAGTAGCAAACAATGTTTATATAATCATTATAATGAAACTGAATATTGATTTGATCCGAAATTGCTCTATATTGATAATGAGAGGTGACACAGGGAGAGTATGGGGAGGGGGGTGTTGCACGGAAGAGTGTAAAAAATGTGAAACTCATCTTCTGTAAGGGAAAGCCAGTAGATAATGGCTGGGTTGTTAAATCAAGTAACAACAGCACAAGAATGTTATTTATAAACATGGAGATAAAATCCAGAAAAAGAAGCCAAAAAAGTTGAATGTGGCTGTCTCTGGGGAGGATTAAGAGTGGGATAGGTGGGGAGGGGCTGCTGCTTTTCACTATGTCTATTTGCCTTTTAAAATTCTATGCATATCATGTGCCTATACTTTATTGCATTACTTGGATAAAAATATACAGTAATTAATAGAGAAAGGGGTAGGGGAGGAGAAGCATCCTTGAAGAGTGAACAGTGAAGTTCCCTGGGGGACAGGCTCCCATTTAGAGGCAGAGATGGGGGAGGAACAATATCCCCTGGGAACCCTCAGGGGCTCATACACCAGAAATTACAGTAACCAGAGCTTGCACCAGGAGAATATAGTAACTGCCTGGGGCCTGGGGGAGGTGGGCGTTCCTGGGGCTGGGGGGATTTGAGAGGATAGTGGTGGGGGTGAGCTTGGATCCTCCTTGGGGTGGAGAAGGAGCCTCGGGCCCCGAGTGGGTTTCCCCCACCCTAGGAGTCTCCCATCTCCATAGACATTTCTTGGGGAGACTCTGAAGGCTCTGACCAGGTTTTCTTTTGTTGTTAGAAAGGGGGTCTCGCTATGTTGCCCAGGCTGGAGTACAATGGCTATTCACAGGCATGATCATAGCTCACTGCAGCCACGAAATCCTGGGCTCATGATCCTCCCACTTCAGTCTCTCAAGTAGCTGGAACTACAGGCATGCACCACTGCAGCACCTGGCTTTTTTTTTTTTTTTTTTTTTTTTGGCAGACGGAGTCTCACTCTGTCGCCCAGGCTGGAGTGCAATGGCACGATCTCAGCTCACTGCAACCTCCACCTCCCGGGTTCAAGCGATTCTTCTGCCTCAACCTCCCGAGTAGCTGGGACTGTAGGTGCCCGCCACCATGCCCGGCTATTTTGTTTTATTTATTTTTTTTAACAGTCTCACTCTGTCACCCAGGCTGGAGTGCAGTGGCAGGATCTCGGCTCACTGCAACCTCCACCTCCTGGGTTCAAGTGATTCTCCTGCCTCAGCCTCCTGAGTAGCTGGGATTACAGGTGCCTGCCACCATGCCCAGCTAATTTTTTTTGTATTTTTAGTAGAAGCGGGGTTTCACCATGTTGGCCAGGCTGGTCTCAAACTCCTGACCTCAGGTGATCCACCCGCCTCAGCCTCCCAGAGTGCTGGGATTACAGGTGTGAGCCACCGTGCCTGGCCTTTTTTTTTTTTTTTTTTTGAGACAGGATCTCACTCGTTCACTCAGATTGGAGTGCAGTGGTGTGATCTCAGCTCACTGCAACCTCTGCCTCCCAGGCTCAGGTGATTCTCCCGCCTCAGCCTCCCAAGTAGCTGGGACCACAGGCATGCACCACCATGCCTGGCTAACTTTTTGTATTCTTAGCAGAGATGGCGTTTTGCCCTGTTGGCCAGGCTGGTTTCAAACTCTTGAGCTCAGACAATCCACCCTCTTTGGCTTCCCAAAGGGCTGGTATTACAGGCATCAGCCACTGCGCCCCAGCCTATCTCTGTCACTTTCTCCCTGCCTTCCTCTCTCCTCCACAGAATGATCTCTCGCAGCACCCAAGTCTGCACCCTGCTTCACTCACTCAGCAATCTGTCCAGGAGCTCCTTCAATGTCAAGACATCCAGAAAGATCTGTCTTCCTCCTTTTCCAGGCCCCTGTGCAGGAACCCCCTGCACCTGGTCCCCCGTGATGGGTGCTCAGGTTGGTGCAGAACTTTGCTTTTATTAATTATGCGACAGATGGAACCCCTCAGCACATCCTACGAGGCTTTCTTTTGCCCTGGGATGCCCTACGAACCTGCCCTGGGATGCCAGGTCCATCTAGGTACACTCGTCATAGGCCAGGTGTCCCAGGCCCCAGCAGCTGTGTGGACAGCTGTGAGGAAAGGAGAGTAAGGAGGAAGAATGCTGGTGACTTTGGGTCAGGAAGGGATTTCTGGGCTGGGTGCAGTGACCCACACCTGTAATCCCAGCACTTTGGAAGGCTGAGGCGGGGAATCACTTGAGCCTAGGAGTTCAAGACCAGCCTGGGGAACATAGCGAGACCCTGTCTCAAAAAAAGAAGAAGAAGAAAGGGACTTCTGGGGGTTCCTTGGTTGCTGGCACTCCCCAAGGGCACAGGGCTATCTCTGGGGCTGCCACTGTGGGCCTGGGCACTGGTGATGGGGGGTGGGGAGATGGCTGAGAGTCCCTGTCTGGAGCACAGTCCCTGGCTGGAAGGTGATTCTGGCTGTCAGAGGCATTTGAACCAGAGCAACTCCATTTTGAATAGGGGCTGTGTAAAGTGAGGCTGAGACCTAGATGGGCTGCACTCCCAGAGGGTTAAGGCATTCTAAGACAGGATGAGATAGGAGGTCGGCACAAGATACAGGTCATAAAGACCTTGCTGATAAAACAACTTGGAGTAAACAAGCCGGCCAACACCCACCAAAACCAAGATGGTGACAAGAGTGACCTCTGGTCATCCTCACTGCTACACTCCCACCAGCACCATAACAATTTACAAATGCCATGGCAACGTTAGGAAGTTACCCTATATGGTCTGAAAAGGGGAGGCATGAATAATCCACCCCTTGTTTTGCATATAATCAAGAAATAACCTTTGGGTGTGGTGGCTCATGCCTATAATCCCAGCATTTTGGGAGGCTGAGGTGGGTGGATCACTTGAGGCCAGGAGTTAGAGACCAGCCTGGCCAACATGGTGAAACCCCGTCTCTACTAAAAATATAAAAATTAGCCGGGTTTGATCCCAGCTACTTGGGAGGCTGAGTCAGGAGAATCGCTTGAACCCAGGAGGTGGAGGTTGTGGTGAGCCGAGACCGTGCCATTGCACTCCAGCCTGGGCAACAAGAGTGAAACTCTGTCTCAAAGAAAAAAAAAAAGGGCAACCAGCAGCCCTCAGGGCTGCTCTGTATGTGAACTAGCAATTCTTTTTTCCTAATCAACTTGCTTTCAGTTTACTCTATGGACTCGCCTGGAATTCTTTCTTGTGTGAGATCCAAGAATCCTCCCTCTCTTGGGGTCTGGATGAGGACCCCTTTCTGGTAATATGGCCTCTTACCCCCTTGGTATACCTTAAGGTGGCCTTGGGCAACTTACATTACATCTCTGGGCCTCAGTTTCCTCCTCTAAAAAATGGGGATAACAAAAGCCCCTCTCCTAGGAGAAGAGGCAGGGAACAGCTGGACAGGGCAGAGAGCCTATCTTGGGATCCCGGGGAGGGGCTATGAAGGAAAGGCTTCAGGAATTGAGTGGGACAGGGTATGGGTCAGAATTCTGGTCTGAGCTGCCTGCCCCATGACTCCAGGCCCTCCCGTGGCAGGGCCCAGGCACCTGGCCTCCAAGCCTCAGTTTCCTCGACTCAGCAATGGGCATGGCAGCCCCAACCTTGGAGTGACATATTGTCTAATAACCCTGACTCACTCCCCACCTCCCACGCCCAGGGGCCCCTGCAGTCCTGAGATGGGCCAAGTCAAGCCACACCTCTCTTCCGGCTGGAGCAGCCTGACCAAGTCCCACTTGCTGTTCTGCCAGGGAGCCTGATTTTGGCACTGGTGTATTTCCAGAACCAAGGTGGGTGCCCGGTCTGAGGCCCTAGCGGGTGTCTGGGTCCCTTCCTGGAGGCCCCTTGCCTCCCTCAGCCCTGGCTTTTGGGACTTAGCAGGGGAGGAAGTTTTTTGTTTTGTTTTGTTTTGAGACGAAGTCTCACTGTCACCAAGGCTGGAGTGCAGTGGCACAATCTCGGCTCACTGCAACCTCCCTCTCCTGGGTTCAAGCGATTCTCCCGCCTCAGCGTTGCGAGTTGCTGGGACTACAGGTACGTGTCACTACACAGGCTAATTTTTGTATTTTTTAGTAGAGATGAGGTTTCACTGTGTTAGCCAGGCTGAACTCCTGACCTCATGATCCGCCCGCCTCGGCCTCCCAAAGTGCTGGGATTACCGGCATGAGCCACCGCGCCCGGCCTATGGGAGGAAGTTCTGACATGGATGGCAGGGGTGGGGAGGGCAGCTGAGGACTCTGGAGCAGAGGCTGGGGCCCCACTCTGGCTTTCCCTGGCCCTAAAGGAAGGGTGGGGTCTGAGAGTGTGGAGGCCTGAGAGCAGGGGCAGCACAGACACCCACTCTGAGACCACTTGGTTGTCCCAGCCACCGGGTTCCAGGTGTCTGGGGCCAGGTGGGGTTTTCTCTCCAAGCCCAGAGTGACCTCCCCACTCCCAGCCTTGCCCAGAGCAAGTCTTGCTGAGTTCTAAGGTGAACTCCCACTTGTTCCAGACCAGGGACACAGGGTCCTGCAGGCCTCCCGGAGCAAGCACTCTTGAGAGGGCTTCTCCACGTGGCCACAGGACAGACTGTGCTTCATCCAGCACTGTACGCTCAAACACACACACCTGAAACAAAGGCTCCACGAACAGGCCTGCCCTTACAGCACACCATGCTCTTGTTTAGTCTTCCTTATGTTTTTTGTTTTCGTTTTGAGACGGAGTCTTGCCCTATTGCCCAGGCTGGAGTGCAGTGGTGCAATCTTGGCTCACTGCAACCTCTGCCTTCCAGGTTCAAGCGATTCTCCTGCCTCAGCCTCCTGAGTAGCTGGGATTACAGGCACACAGCACCATGCCCGGCTAGTTTTTCTATTTTTAGTAGAGAAAGGGTTTCACCATGTTGGTCAGGCTAGTCTCGAACTCCTGACCTCGTGATCTGCCCGCTTCGGCCTCCCAAAGTGTTGGGATTACAGGCATGAGCCACCACACCCGGCTGTCTTCCTTATTTTTTTAAATGCCAGCTGTTTTATGCACAATTGTCCCAAACTAGAAACAACCCAATTATCCATCAACTGGTAAAGGAATAAACTAATGTGTTATCTTTGTTTGTTTATTTAATTTTGATACAGGGTCCCACTCTGTCGCCCAGGCTGGAGTACAGTGGAGAGATCACAGGTAACTACAGCCTAAACCTCTTGGGCTCAAGTGATCTTCCCACCTCGGGCACACCTGGCTAATTTTTTTTTTTAATTGAATGTGGTATATTATTTAAAAGGAATGCTGGCCAGGTGTGGTGGCTCATGCCTGTCTGTAATCCCAACACTTTGGGAGGCCAAGGTGGGTGGATCACCTGAGGTCAGGAGTTCAATATCAGCCTGGCCAACATGGTGAAACCCTGTCTCTACTAAAAATACAAAAGTTAGCCATGCGTGGTGGCGCACGCCTGTAATCTCAGCTACTTGGGAGGCTGAAACACGAGAATTGCTTGAAACTGGGAGGCAGAGGTTGCAAAGTAAACCAAGTTTATGCCACTGTGTTCCAGCCTGGGCGACAGAGCGAGACTGTCTCAAAAAAAAAAAGAAAAAAAAAACTATAATGGTAAATTTTGCTATGTATATTTTTATCAGTGTTTAAAAAAAAACATAACAAACTCTCCCTTGGCTCTGCCATGCTCCTTATAGGGCAGGCTACTGTAAAATGAAACTACGGGCCAGGCACGGTGGCTCATGCCTGTAATCCCAGCACTTTGGGAGGCCAAGATGGGTGGATCACCTGAGGTCGGGAGTTCGAGACCAGCCTGACCAATATGGAGAAACCCCCGTCTCTACTAAAAATACAAATTTAGTCGGGTGTGGTGGCACATGCCTGTAATCCCAGCTACTTGGGAGGCTGAGGCAGGAGAATCACTTGAACCCAGGAGTCGGAGGTTGCAGTTGAGCCGAGATCATAGCATGCCATTGCACTCCAGCCTGGGGGACAAGAGCGAAACTCTGTCTCACAAAAAAAAAAAAAAAAAAAAAAAAAGGAAGAAAGGAAGGAAGGAAAGAGAGAGAAAGAAACTACAGGGACTCTTGTTAAAAAATTATTAAGAATTTCAAGATGGCAACAGCAGCATATTAAAACCAAGTGTGGTCTCTTCTAGGCTCAGGACCCTATGGGATTGCACAGGTCGCAGCCCAAGCGCAGTACTTGCGCACAGGTCCCAGCCCCTTCCCTCTCTGGGACTTGTCTTCTGGCCCCTCACTCCTGCGATGAGCTTTTCTTTCAGCTGGTGAAAGGCCGCAGACTTCGAACCTCTGGGCCTTTGTCCAGGACGTTCCCTCAGCGCTCAGTGCCCTTCCTGGTGGCCTCCTACATCTTCAGATCCCGGCTGAGCTCTGCTTAAATCCGGGACCGGGTAGTCACTGGGGCAGCCACTTGGCTGGGGCGAGGCCACCTCGCTTTGGGTCTTGTCGCGCCCAGGCCAGCGCCAGCCCAGGCTTGCCATGGACTGGCTCCTGGGCGTTAGATGAATGAATCGACTCAACCCGGGCCGCCACGTTGTGTTCAGAACACCGACAGTCGCTCCCAGGCAACCAGCACCTGCTGCGCCCCGTTTCCAGCGACCTCCCCAACCGCGTGGACTCGCATCCACGTGCCCGGCGGGGCCGCAGCAGAAAGGCTCGGACCCCCCAGGACGATCGGCCGGTGGGGGCCGGTGGGGCCGCAGACTCGGGGGGCGGGGGGCGCCAGGCTTCCGGGTCCTGCCCCCGCCCCGTGGGGAACAGCAGGACGGCGCCGAGGCCGTTTCGCTTTCCTCCGCGCCCATTTGCCGGGAGGGGACCCCGTGCTCCGACCTGAAGGTGACGGCAGAGCCTGCGGGAGGCCTAGGCCGGTCCCGCCCTACGGGTCCCGGGGGCGACCCTCGCGCTGACATTGGCGTCCAGGCCGCGGCCCCTGCCTCCGCGCCCACCCACGCCGGGCCTGGCCCTCGCTCCCCCGGGAAAAGCCCCGCCGGCGGCCGCGAGAGCGCGGAAGCGCAGCCGTAGTGACCGCGAGACAAAGACCCGGCGGCGGGGGAGGCGGCGGAGAGACCCCGCCAGCGCGGAGACCCCAGGGAAGCTTCTCTGGAAGACCTGGTGCTGGTCCGCTCTCCCGGGACCTCATTTTCCTTATGTGGACAACGGGGGCGGGGTCACAGCAGCCCCTCGGGCTTATAGCCGGGTTGTTCTTTCCTTAAATCTCCTCCCTCTGCCAAAATAAAAAACCCCACAGGGCAAGGCGCGGTGGCTCACGCCTGTAATCCCAGCACTTTGGGAGGCCGAGGCAGGTGGATCACCTGAGGTCAGGAGTTCGAGACCAGCCTTACCAATTTGGTGAAACCCCGTCTCTACTAAAAATACAAAAATTAGCTGGACGTGGTGGCCGGCGCCTGTAATCCCAGCTACTCGGTAGGCTGAGATAGGAGAATTGCTTGGACCCGGGAGGCTAAGGTCAGTGAGCCGAGATCGTGCCACTGCACTCCAGCCTGGGCGACAGAGGGAGACTCCGTCTCAAAAAAAAGAAAAAAAAAAAAAAACCCACAGCGTCCCGGAGGGGCCTGAGGAGTTGTGAGGGGCCGCCTCCGCCTCCAGCATCTGGCATCTGGAGGAGGAGGCTGAGGCTGAGGTGAGGGTGAGGGTGGGTGACCCGCACCTGTCCAGGCCCAGGTTGCCTGCTCCCAGCTTGGGCTGGGCAGTGGGGCAGGGCCATGATCCCGCCAGTGCTGTGGTTAGCCCTACACCTGGCCTGGCTGAGGACAGCGAACCTGGCAGGTCCAACCTGGGCCCTCCCAGCCTAGGATCTCCAAGGCCTCGTCTCAGTCACCATCAGCTGCTCTAGGGTGCAGTGGGGCCCAAGGAGGATTGGGCCTGATCTCTGCCCCCCAGAGCCCATGGACCCAGGACTGGGCCCACCAGGCGTGTCGCAGGCATAGGGTCAGTGGCTTCTCAACAGCTGCTGGCCCCGGCGCCCCTCACCACCCCACCTCCACTGGTCAGAACCACCACACTGCCAGAGACTGGGTTTCCCTGCAGTTCTGACCAGTGGGGATGGGGTGAGGTGGAAGGGACATTGCTTGGCCGGGCACGGTGGCTCACACCTGTAATCCCAGCACTTTGGGAGGCCAAGGCAGGTGGATCACTTGAGGTCAGGGGCTCAAGATCAGCCTGGCCAACATGGTAAAACCCCATCTCTACTAAAAATGCAAAAATTAGCCAGGCATGGTGGTTTGCACCTGTAATCCCAGCTACTCGGGAGGCTGAGGCAGGAGAATTGCTCAAACCCAGGAGGCGGAGGTTGCAATGAGCCAAGATTATGCCATTGCACTCTAGCCTGGGTGACAGAGCGAGACTGTCTCCAAAACAACAACAAAAAAGGCAGAGGAGTGGGGAGTCTGGATGGCTCCGCTGGTCCAGCCCACCCCTCAGGGGACAGACTGGTTGACTTGACGGGTTCACTGAGAGTGCTAGGACCGGCCCCAGGTGTAGTGCCCTCCCTGCGGTGTCCTGAGGTAAAGCCTGCCACTCTGAGCCTGCTTTCTCTTGCCAGGAGACAGGACCTTGTCCGCTGCAGCTGGGACATGGTGTGGATAAAACCTGTCAGACAGTGGGCGTCCTCCTGCCCTGAAGCCTCCCCTCTCCCTGGTAGCCTTCAGGCCCCCCAGATTCTGGTCTCTCGGCCTGCTGTCTCCTTTTTCCTTGGTACCTTGGCACCTGAACTCGCTTGGAGTGTCTAAGGAGCTGCCTGTGACACCATGGGGACCTCTATTGGTCCCAGCATCCCCTGCCCAGCCGTGGGGGGCATCGGTGTCAGCCCTGCCAAGGATCAGTCAGCCAATCAACAAACCGCAGGGATCACCCAGCTCATGGATGTGGGTGCCGGGAGGCAGGGAGGGCCACACAATGAAGAGATGTGTGTGGTCCTCCATGCTCAGAGATCCTCATGCCCCTCTCCCAGGGATGGGAGTTCCCCTCCCCATCAGGGGTAGCCCTAGGGCCCCCAGCCCCACTCTCACTAGGGCCAGCCTCTCTGTGAACCCCTGGACTCACATCACGTGTGCGGGGCCCAGCTTTGAGGTGGAAGACCAAACCTTGGCATTGCTTCTGTGGAAGCTCAGGAAATGCCCACGATATGGCCTGACCACCCCATTCACACGAGGATGGAGGGAGCACCCTGGTCACCTGGGGGTTGTGGTTAGAGTGCCCTCCAGCCGAGCCTGCAGCCCAGACCGAGCTAGACTGGAAGGGGTAGAAGGGCATTCAGGTAGGGACACAGCCTGGGCAAAGGGGCCCTGACCTTTGGCAGCTGCGGGAAGATGAGCCCACCTGAAAGGGAGGCTGCATTGAGTGCAGTCAGGACCTGGGCTGTAGGGCTCAGCCTCTAGACAGCAGGAGCACAGAAGGGCGTGGCGGGGTCTCCTGCCCGGCCATAATAAACAGGCCCAAGACTTGTTCACACAGGTCCCAGGAATATGCTGGGTTTGCCTTACGTATAATTTGTGATTCATACCTCTCAGTCTTCCAGAAAGATGCAGTCTACAGAAATTCAGAAACAATCAATTTGTAAGAATAGACATAGATAATTTTGAACAACCAAGATTAGTGGGAGATAGGCATTTACCCAATTCTAGGACATTAATGATTAGTAATCAGGCATCAGACATAGCTGTGGTCAGCCATGGTGGCTCACACCTGAAATACCAGCACTTTGGGAGGCCAAGACAGAAGGCTCCCTTGAGTTCAGGAGTTCTAGACCAGCCTGGGCAACAGAGTGAAACCCTGTGTCTACAAAAAATAAAAATAAAATAAAATAAACAAATTAGCCTGTGGTCCCAGCTACCTACCAGGGAGCCTGAGGTGGAAGGATCGCTTACGCCCGAGGTCGAGGCTGCAGTGAGCAGTGATTGCACCACTGCACTCCAGCCTGAGTGACAGAGTGAGGCCCCGTATTAAAAAAAAACCCCAAAAACTTAGCTATGAGTTTCCTGGCAGTCGAGGCATGAAGGGAATGAGAATGGACTATGGAACTTCACTGTGTGATCACAGCGGAGTATATCAGGCAGCCAGGAGGCCCTCACTTATATACCCAAGCCTCAGGCAGCAGGCATGTTCTGTGGCGGCCTCTGGAAACAGGCCATCAGGGCCGGGAGGACAGAGATGGCTGTGAGCTGGGCCTGCACCCTCAGGGCCCTGCCTGTTGAGTGGCTCCAGGGTGTCTTGCCCTCTCTGGGCCTCTGGGCCAAGGCTAACCCAACTCTCTGGGTCACAGGGGCTCAAGACCTCAGTGGCAGGTCATGAGGAAGGCTGCCCTGCCAGCCTCACCCTGGCTCCCCACCCACTGCCTGCTTCTTTTTTTTTTTTTTTTTTTTTGAGATGGAGTCTCGCTCTGTCACCCAGTCTGGAGTGCAGTGGCGCGATCTCGGCTCACTGCAAGCTCCGCCTCCTGGGTTCACGCCATTCTCCTGCCTCAGCCTCCTGAGTAGCTGGGACTACAGGCGCCCGCCACCACGCTGGGCTAGTTTTTTTTTTTTTGTATTTTTAGTAGAGACGGGGTTTCAGCATGTTAGCCAGGATAGTCTCGATCTCCTGACCTCGTGATCCGCCCGCCTCGGCCTCCCAAAGTGCTGGGATTACAGGCGTGAGCCACCGTACCCAGCCCTGCCTGCTTCTTAAGTGGCCCAGGAGGACAGGGAGTGAGCTTGTCTCTCCCCACTGCAGGGTCCTGAGGGCTGGGGACTGTGCTGACACTGGTCTCTCCCCTGCCTAGGCATATCCTGTTCCTAGTGCTTGGAACACCCTTCCCACCCTCACATGCCTGGCAAATTGTTCTTCACCTCTAGGTTCACATGTCGCCTCCTTCAGCTTTAAATTCCTACACGAGGCCAGGCGCAGTGGCTCACGCCTGTAATCCCAGCACTTTGGGAGGCTGAGACGAGCAGATCACGAGGTCAAGAGATCGAGACCATCCTGGCCAACATGGTGAAACCCCCTCTCTACTAAAAACACAAAAAGTTAGCTGAGCATGGTGTCATGTGCCTGTAATCCAGCTACTCAGGAGGCTGAGGCAGGAGAATCGCTTGAACCCGGGAGGTGGAGGTTGCAGTGAGCCAAGATTGAGCCACTGCACTTCAGCCTGAGAGACAGAGTGAGACTCCGTCTCAAAAATAAAATAAAATAAATTCCTACACGAAGGCTGGGGCTGGCTCCGAGTGAGCGGGCCTGGGGTATTTGTGGGATAATGTAACTTGGGAGTGTCTAAGTAGGAAAAAACTTTAGGTTCTTCAGTCCCATTGTGCATGGGGAAACAGAGGCCCTGTGCTGGTAAGTAATGGGGCAGAAGCCAGGGTGGCTGCCTCAGTTGGAGGGAAAGCGGCACCAAGATTCACAGGACAGCTCTGGGGTCCTGGTCGCAGTCCCTGCCGTGCCGCCTTCTCACTCAGTGACCCTGAGCAAGCTGCTTGCCACGAGATGTCGGCTCCGTGGCAGTGGATAGCTTCAGCCGTGGGAAGTCCTTGGCAATCCCCTGGCTCGCGGCTGGTGCTCAGCTGGGTTCGCTCTGACTAGCACTGCACCTTGGTCACCACCTCGACTGCCACACACCCTCCCCCAGTGGAGACAGAGCCAGGGGTCTCTCAGCTTCCCCAACCCTGGCTCCCCATTGTCCAGCCTCAGGGATTTGGAGACTGGGACAAACTAGCCATGCGGGGGAAAGGTGTTCCAGAGGAGGGAACACAGTGAGCCAACAAGAGGATGGGATGGGGCAGGGCCTGTTCCAGGAACAGGCTGGGGTCACTCTCCCTTCTCCAGAGTCCAAGGCACATGGGTGGTGGGAGAAGAGATAGGAGAGGCTGGCGAAAACCAGCCCGCAAGGCCCTAAATGCCTGACTAAGAAGCTTCAGTCTTTCACTGAAGTTTTGGAGCTAGGTTGGGTGCAGTCAGATAGCTTGGGGGCTGGGCCGGAGCATCTGGTGGAGAGTGAGACACCGGTGTGAGCTGCAGCCCTCGCTGTGGGTCCCAGCACCCAGGACTGCACCCAGCCCAGGACTGCAGCAAGCAGGCACAGGATGCGTGGCTGACTGAGGCCTGTACTCCGACTGGAGTCACCTAGGAGATTGGCTGAGATGACCTCCAGAAGGGCCTTGCCCCAGGCCGGACCCCAAGGGGAAGCTGGCTCTATGTCTTTGGACGAGTTAGGAACTCATTGGGGGTGGCTGCGGTTTTATTTGGGGATTCAGCTGTGCCCTGCACACCAGCTGCTGAGCAATGTCTCCAGGAAGCCACAGCTGCCCTCTGGGAGGCAGGGGGCCAGGTGCAGTAGAGGAGATGCCCCAGCGGCTCATGCAGGAGCTCACTCAGACGCCAGAACCCCAGCCAAGGAGGCACCCCAGACCCAGGCCCACCAGGGCCAGTGTCCCCACTCCACGACAGGGGCACTGCAGCCGGGGTGGACACCCAGCCTTGCTGCTCACTAGTCACGTGGTCTGGGCAAGTCTCTTCCTCTTCCCTGAGTGAGGTGAGGCAGGATGGGCTAGGATATGTGGTGGTAACAAACAACTCCAGTCTCTTTTTTTATAATTTCCTACAGACTTTTTTTTGTTCTTGTTGAGGCAGAGTATCGCTCAATTGCTAAGGCTGGAGCACAGTGGTGCTATCTCAGCTCACTGCAACCCCCACTCCCCAGGTTCAAGTTATTCTCTTGCCTCAGCCTCCCAAGTAGCTGGGATTACAGGCGTGCACCACCAAACCTGGCTAATTTTTGTACTTTTAGTAGAGATGGGGTTTCATCATATTGGCCAGGCTGGTCTCGAACTCCTGACCTCAAGTGATCCACCCGCCTCGGCCTCCCAAAGTGTTGGGATTACAGGCATGAGCCACCGCACCCGGCCAACCTGTAGATTTTTTGAGATAAAACAGCTTTATTGAGATCTAATTCACATATCACACAATTCATTTTAAAGCGTGCAGCTCTCTGTGGTGGATGGTATATTCGCAGAGTTGTGCAACCATCACCACAATCAATTTTAGAACATTTTCGAGGCCGGGCGCGGTGGCTCACGCCTGTAATCCTAGCACTTTGGGAGGCCAAGGCGGGCAGATCACCTGAAGTCAGGAGTTTGAGACCAGCCTGGGCAACATGGTGAAACCCCCCTCTACTAAAAATACAAAAATTAGCTGGGCATGGTGGAGGGCGCCTGTAATCCCAGCTACTCTGGAGGCTGAGGCAGGAGAATCGCTTGAACCCAGGAGGCAGAGGTTGCAGTGAGCCGAGATTGCACCACGGCACTCCAGCCTGGGCGACAGAGTGAGACTCTGTCTCAGAAAAAAAAAAAAAAAAAAAAGAACATTTTAATCACCCTCCAAACACACCATGTACCCATTAGTAACCACTCTCCATTTACCTGCTCTGCCCAGCCCCTGGCAACCACTCACACACTTTCCATCTCTATGGGTTTGCGTGTTCTGGACATTTCATATAAATGAAACCATATGACGTCGCCTTTTGTGACTGACTTCTTTCACTTAGCAAAACTTTTTAAAAATAGCTTTTATTGGCTGGGTGCAGTTGTTTGTGCCTGTAATCCCAGCACTTTGGGAGGCCGAGGCGGGCCGATCACGAGGTCAGGAGATCCAGAACATCCTGGCCAACATGATGAAACCCCGTCTCTACTAAAAGTACAAAAATTATCCGGGCGTGGTGGTGCATGCCTGTAATCCCAGCTACTCAGGAGGCTGAGGAAGGAGAATTGCTTGAACCAGGGAGTTGGAGGTTGCAGTGAGCCAAGAGCCCACCACTGCACTCCAGCCTAGAGACAGAGCGAGACTCCGTCTCAAAGAAAAAGAAAGCTGGCTGGGCGCGGTGGTTCACGCCTGTAATCCCAGCACTTTGGTAGGCCGAGGCGGGTGGATCACAAGGTCAGGAGATCAAGACCATCCTGGCTAACATGGTGAAACCCCGTCTCTACCAAAATACAAAAAATTATCCAGGCGTGGTGGCGGGTGCCTGTAGTCCCAGCTATTTGGGAGGCTGAGGCGGGAGAATAGTGTGAACCCGGGAGGCGGAGTTTGTAGTGAGCCCAGATTGCACCAGCCTGGGGACAGAGTGAGACTCCGTCTCAAAAAAAAAAGAAAGCTTTTTTTTTCAGAGCTGCCTGAGGTTCACGGCCAAATTAAGCAGAAGGTACAGAGAGTTCCCATGTACCTCTGCCCCCACACATGCACAGCCTCCCTCACAATCAACATCCCCCGCTGGAGCCGCACATTTGTTACAACTGAGGAACCTACAGGGCCACATCATCACCGGAAGTCCAGGGTTTCCATGAGGGTTCCCTCTTCCTGCCGGATGCTTCACGCGTTCGGGCGAATGTATAATGACTTGTCTCCACCATTAGGGTTTTATGCAGAATAGTTTTTGTTTTGTTTTGTTTTGTTTTTGAGACGGAGTCTCGCTCTGTCGCCCAGGCTGGAGTGCAGTGGCACAATCATGGCTCACTGCAACCTCCGCCTCCTGGGTTCAAGCGATCCTCCTGCCTCAGCCTCCTGAGTAGCTGGGACTACAGGGGTGCGCCCCCACATCTGGCTAATTTTTGTATTTTTAGCAGAGATGGGGTTTCGCCATGTTGGCCAGGCTGGTCTCAAACTCCTGAGCTCAAGTGATCCACCCGCCTCGGCCTCCCAAAGTGCTGGGATTACAGGCATAAGCCACCGCACCTGGCCTAGAGTTATTTCTCTATTTGACTACTAAAGGACATCTTGGTTGCTTCCAGGTTTTGGCAGTTATGAATAGACGTGCTTTGGTTGTGTGAACATAAATATTTCACTCCTTTGGGTGAATACCAAGGAGCACCGTTGCTAGACTACATGGTAAGAGTATGTTTAGTTTTTTGTTTGTTTGTTTGTTTGTTTATTTTGAGACGGAGTCTTGCTCTGTCACCCTGGCTGGAGGGCGGTGGTGTGATCTTGGCTCCCTGCAACCTCCGCCTCCCAGGTTCAAGCAATTCTCCTGCCTCAGCCTCATGAGTAGCTGGGATTACAGGTGCCGGCCACTAGACCTGGCTAATTTTTGTATTTTTAGTAGAGACACGGTTTCACCATGTTGGTCAGGCTGGTCTCAAACTCCTGAGCTCGTGATCTGCCTGCCTTGGCCTCCCAAAGTGCTGGGATTACAGGCGTGAGCCACCGTGCCCAGTGAGAGTATGTTTAGTTCTGTAAGAAACTGCCAAACTGTCTTCAAGAGTGGCTGGACCATTTTGCATTCCCACCAGCAGGGAATGAGAGTTCCTGTTGCTCCACTTCCTTGTCAGCATTTGGTGTTGTCAATGTTCTGAATTTTGGCCACTCTAATAGGTGTGTGGTGTTACAGTTGTTTTAATTTGCATTTCCCTGATGACATATAATGTGGAACGTCTTTTTGTTTGCTTGTATGCCCACCTGTGTATCTTTTCTTGAGAAATCTGTTAAGGTTTTTGGTCCATTTCTCAATCAAGTTATTTGTTTTCTTTTTTTCTTTTTTCAAGATGGAGTCTCACTTTATCTCACCCAGGCTGGAGTGCACTGGTATCATCTTGGCTCACTGCAGCCTCTGCCTCCCAGGTTCAAGCGATTTTCCTCTCAGCCTCCCAAATAGCTGAGACTACAGGCATGTGCTACCACGCACAGCTAATTTTGTATTTTTAGTAGAGAGAGTTTCACCATGTTGACCAGGATGGTCTGGATCTCCTGACCTTGTAATCCGCTTGCCTTGGCCTCCCAAAGTGCTGGGATTACACACATGAGCCACCGCACCCCGCCTATGTTGTTGTTTATTATTTTACTTTATTTCTTATAGAGATAGGGTCTTGCCTCATTGCCCAGGCCAGTCTCAAACTCCTGGCCTCAAGTGATCCTCCCCTCTCAGCCTCCCAAAGTGTTGAGATTACAGGCATGAGCCACCATGTCTGGGTGTGTTTTTATTTTCATTTGTCTCTAAACATTTTCTAATGTCCCTTGTTATTTCTTCTTTGATGTATGTTGTTTAATTTCCAGAGTTTTGTAAGTTTTCCAGTTTTCCTTCTGATAATGATTTCCTTCCTTCCTTCCTTCCTTCCATCCTTTTTTTAACAGTCTTGCTCTTTCGCCCAGGCTGGAATGCAGTGGTGTGATCTCAGCTCACTGCAACTTCTGCCTCCCAGGCTCAAGCAATTCTCCTGCTTCAGCCTCCCAAGTAGCTGGGACCACAGGTGCGTGCCACCATGCCTGGCTAATTTTTTTTTTTTTTTTTGAGATGGAGTCTCGCTCTGTTGCCCAGGCTGGAGTGGAGTGGCACAATCTCAGCTCACTGCAACTTCTGCCTCCCGGGTTCAAGTGATTCTCCTGCCTCAGACTCCCAAGTAGCTGGGATTACAGGTGCCCACCACCACACCCAGCTAATGTTTTGTGCTTTTAGTAGAGATGGGGTTTTACCATGTTGGCCAGGCTCGTCTCCAACTCCTGACCTCGTGATCTGCCCACCTCGGCCTCCCAAAGGGCTGGGATTACAGGCGTGAGCCTAATTTTTGTATTTTTATTAGAGATGGGGTTTGCCATGTTGGCCGGGCTCAAACTCCTAGCCCCAGATGATTGGGCACAGTGGCTCACACCTGTAATCCCAGCACTTTGGGAGGCCGAGGTGGGTGGATCTCCTGAGGTCAGGAGTTTGAGATCAGTCTAGCCAACATGGCAAAACCCCATCTCTACTAAAAATAGGAAAGTTAGCCAAGCTTGGTGGTGGGTGCCTGTAATCCCAGCTACTTGGTAGGCTGAGGCAGGAGAATAGCTTGAACACGGGGGAGGGCGGAGGTTGCAGTGAGCCGAGATTGCACCACTTCACTCCAGCCTGGGCAAAAGAGCAAGCCTCCGTCTCAAAAAAAAAAAAAAAGATAGTGAGTGAGTTCTAATGAGAGGTGACGGTTTCACAAGGGGCTCTTCCCCCTTTGCTCCTCACTCCTCTCTCTCTTGCCGCCATGTGAGAAGGTCCAAGCTTCCTTCCCCTTTGCCTTCCACTATGACTGTAAGTTTCCTGTGGCTTCCCAGCCAGGCGGAACTGTGAATCAATTACACTTCTTTCCTTTATAAATTACCCAGTCTCAGGTATTTCTTTATAGCAGTGAGAATGGACTAATACACCCGTCATCCATCTCTGGTCCCATCTGGCCTTCAGACAATTGGATGGTGCCCTCTCCCGACCCTGTATCGAAGGTAGATAGATCTTCCCCACTCAGTCCACTGACTCACTACCAACCTCCTCTAGTTTCTGGGGAAATACTATCACAGACAGACCCAGAAATGATACTTTATCAGCTATTTAGAAATCCCTTAATCCAGTCAAATTGACACCTAAAAATAGTCATCACAGTCCATAAATGTATAGAATTGTTATATTTTCTTGCGGTGTTAAACCTTTTGTTACTATATAATGTCCTATGTCTCTTGTGACTTTTTAAAAATTTTTTGTTTTGTTTTGTTTTTGAGATACAGTTTCCCGCTCTGTTGCCTACGCTGGAGTGCAGAGGTGTGACCACAGCTCACTGTAGCCTTGACCTCCCAGGCTCAAATGATCATCCACCTAGGCCCCTCAAGTAGGTGGGGCCTGTGCCACCAAGCCTGGCTAATTTTTTTTTTGAGATGGAGTCTCACCCTGTTGCCCAGGCTGGAGTGCAGTGTTGAGATCTCAGCTCACTGCAAACTCCGCCTCCCAGGTTCAAGCGATTCTCCTGCCGCAGCCTCTTGAGTAGCTGGGATTATAGGCGCCCATCACCACGCCCAGCTAATTTTTATATTTGTAATAGAGACGGGGTTTCACCATGTTAACCAGGCTGGTCTCAAATTCCTGGCCTCAAGTGATCCACCCGCCTTGGCCTCCCAAAGTTCTGGGATTACAGGCATGAGCCACTATGCCCAGCCCCACTGTCCTTTCTTCAAGTTCACTGATTCTTCTGCCTCCTCGAATCTACCTTCGAATCCTTTTAGCGAAATTTTCTTTTTTTGTTGTTTTTTTTCTTTTCTTTTTTGAGACAGAGTCTCGCTCTGTTGCCCAGGCTGGAGTGCAGTGGGTGATCTCGGCTCACTGCAAGCTCCACCTCCAGGGTTCATGCCATTCTCCTGTCTCAGCCTCCCAAGTAGCTGGGACTACAGGCGCCTGCCACCACGCCAGGCTAATTTTCTTTTTTTTTGTATTTTTAATAGAGACAGGGTTTCACTGTGTTAGCCAAGATGGTCTCAATTTCCTGACCTCGTGATCCGCCTGCCTCGGCCTCCCAAAGTGCTGGGATTACAGGCGTGAGCCACTGTGCCCAGCCTGTTTGTTTTTTTTTTTTCTTATGAGACAGGGTTCCCTCTGTCACCCAGGCTAGGGTGCAGTGACGTGATCATAGCTCACTGCTGCCTCAAATTCCTGGACTCCAGTGATTTTCCTACCTCAGCCTTCTGAGAAGCTGGGATTACAGCTGTGTACCACCATGTACAGCTAATTTGTAAATTTATTTATTTTTTTCTTTTTTGGGACAGGGTTTGGTGGGTTTGGCTCTATTGCCCAGGCTGGAGTGCAGTGGCGCAATCTCAGCTCACTGCAACCCCTGTTTTCTGGGCTCAAGCCACCATCTCACCTCAGTCTCTCAAGTAGCTCGAACTCCTGACCTCGTGATCTGCCTGCCTCGGCCTCCCAAAGTGCTGGGATTACAGGCATGAGCCACTTCGCCCGGCCGATTCTTGTCTTTCTCCATGGTTTTTTGTTTTTGTTTTTGTTTTTTTGTTTTTTGTTTTTTTGAGATGGAGTTTCACTCTTGTTGCCCAGGCTGGAGTGCAGTGGCATGATCTCAGCTCACCACAGCCTCCGCCTCCCGGGTTCAAGCCATTCTCCTGCCTCAGCCTCCCAAGTAGCTGGGATTACAGGCATGCGCCACCACATCTGGCTAATTTTGTATTTTTAGTAGAGATGGGGTTTCTCCACGTTGGCCAGGCTGGTCTCAAACTCCCGACCTCAGGTGATCCTGCAGATCCGCCCACCTCAGCCTCCCACAGTGCTGAGATTACAGGCGTGAGCCACCCGACGGGCTCCATGGAGTTTTTTGTTATTGTTTTTGTTTGTTTGCATTTGTGTTTATTGTTTTTGTAAGCTGTCTCTGTGCCAAAGATCAGCCTGAAATACCATCTTAATGAACCCTCTAGCTTTTCTGAGTCTGTGCCTTTCTCTGGCCATGCACTGCGCAGTCACTTTCTAATTTTCCTTGTATGTGCAGTTTTTTTTTGAGTTTCTAATCTTTTTTTTTTGTTGTTTTGGAGACAAGGTCTCGCTTTGTGTCCCAGGCTGGAGTGCAGTGGCGCAATCTCGGTTCACTGCAACCTCCACCTCCCAGGTTGCAGCAATTCTCCTGCCTCACCCTCTCTAGTAACTGGGATTACAGGCGCCTACCACCACTCCTGGCTAATTTTTGTATTTTTAGTAGAGACGGGGGTTTCACCATGTTAGCCAGGAGGCTGTTGAACTCCTGGTCTCAGGTGATCCATCTCCCTTGGCCTCCCAAAGTGCTGGTATTATAGGTGTGAGTCATAGTGCCTGGCCGAATGTTCTGATCTTTAATGTCTGGCTCCCAAAAAGGAAAAAAAAGTAGTGGGGGCAGGGCACTGGCCCTTTAAATCACCTGGTGGTGGCTTGAGTTGGAAGGGGAGGAGCCTACCCCAGTTGGGGAGGAGCACAACCTCCGTGGCTTCTTGCCTCTTCCTCTGCACCTCCAGGATCTGAAGCAGTGTTTCCGGAAAGTCTCTCAAACCCTGTTTGTCCTCTCCTCTCATACCACCACCACAATCATCAACACAGAAGAAAGCTTCTGTGGCCAAATTTGTGGAGTTTTCCCCATACACCAAGCAGAAGAGCCAGTTGAGCGTCCCCTAGTCCAGTTCTGAGGCTAACTGGAGATAGCATCAGATCCCATGGAGTGAGGGCGCACTCCCCAAGCCTCCCCCGTCACAGCCCCACACACCAGTCCCACGTTGGGGCCCCTGGAACTTGTGACCTACAAGCTTCAAGTTGGGGTTCCCACATCCCCCTCTTTGGGTTCTGTTAATTTACTGGGGCAGCTCACAGAACACGAAGACACACTTCCTTACATTTACTGGTTCATTGTAATGGATACAGATGGAGACATCTGTGGTGTTATATATATATTTTGGGTTTCATCCTTGGTTCCTGGCTCTTAGTTCCCATAGCCCTTGTTACAGTCTTTGGATAGAATGTTGGGTGTGGCCAGGCGCAGTGGCTCATGCCTGTAATTCCAGCACTTTGGGAAGCCTAGGCTGGTGGATTGCTTGACCTCAGGAGTTCGAGACAGCCTGGGCAACTTGGAAAAACACGGTCTCTACAAAAAATACAAAAACTGGCACGGCGTGGTGGTGCACTCCTCTAATCCCAGCTACTCGGGAGGCCGAGGCTGGAGGATCACTTGAGTCTGGGAGGTGGAGGCTTCAGTGAGCTGAGATCGAGCCACTACACTCCAGCCCGGGCGATACAGCCAGACCCTGTCTCAAAAATAAAAGAATGGGCCAGGCGTGGTGGCTCATGCCTGTAATCCCAGCACTTTGGGAGGCCGAGGCAGGCGGATCATTATCTAAGGTCAGGAGTTCAAGAGCAGCCTGGCCAACACGGTGAAACCCCATCTCTACTAAAAACACAAAATTAGTCAGGCATGGTGGCGTGTGCCTGTACTCCCAGCTACTGGGGAGGCTGAGGCAGAAGAATCACTTGAACCCAGGAGGCAGAGGTTGCAGTGAGCCGAGATCGGGCCATGCCATTGGACTCCAGCCTGGGCAGCAGAGTGAGACTCTGTCTCAAAAAAAAAAAAAAAAGACTGTTGAGTGTGTTAGGTCTCAGAGTCAAGCCTCATACATATTACAAAGGAGGATACAGATAAAGAGAGCTATAGCTATAGAACTATAAATACAGCTATAGGGAACACGTATGGCACTTCCATGCCCTACCCCAGGGGTTGAAGTTCTGTGAATCTTGTCCTTAGGGTTTTTTTAATTTTAATTTTTATTTTTTTTTGAGACGGAGTCTCACTCTGTCGCCCAGGCTGGAGTGCAATGGTGCGATCTTGGCTCACTGCAACCTCTGCCTCCCTGTTTCAAGCGATTCTCCTGCCTCAGCCTCCTGAGTAGCTGGCACTATAGGCGCACACCACTATGCCCAGCTAATTTTTTTTGTATTTTTAGTAGAGACGGGGTTTCACCATGTTGGCCAGGCTGGTCTCGAACTCCTGACCTGGTGATCCGCCCACCTCTGCCTCCCAAAGTGCTGGGATTACAGGCATGAGCCACCGCGCCTGGCCGTTTGTTTTTGAGACACGGTCTGGCTCTGTCACCCATAGTGGATAACAGTGGCCCGATCTCGGCTTACTGCAACCTCAGCCTCCCAGGCTCAAGCGATTCTCCTGCCTCAGCCACCTGAGTAGCTGGGATTATAGGTGCACACCACCACGCCCCTCTTATTTTTTTTTTTTTTTTTGAGACGGAGTCTCGCTCTGTCACCCAGGCTGGAGCGCAATGGCGCGATCTCGGCTCACTGCAACCTCCACCTCCTGGGTTCAAGAGATTCTCCGGCCTCAGCCTCCCGAGTAGCTGGGACTACAGGTGTGCACCACCATGCCCAGCTAATTTTTGTATTTTTAGTAGAGACGGGGTTTCACCATTTTGGCCAGGATGGTTTCGATCTCTTGACCTCGTGACGTGCCCACCTTGGCCTCCCAAAGTGCTGGGATTACAAGCGTGAGCCATCATGCCCCGCCTTATTTTTGTATTTTTAGTAGAGACAAGGTTTTGGTATGTTAGCCAGGCTCCTGGCCTCAAGTGATCTGCCCCACCTGGCCTCCCAAAGTGTTAGCATATGGAAGCTTCAGAGTTCAGCATTCCTTCCCCCAGGGTATAGGGCCTCTCTGGGGAGGGTCCAAAGCCTCACAATGAGAAAGGTGGGGAGGATTAAAGTCCTGCCTTGGGGCAGATGAAAGGAGGGAAGGAGAAGGTCAGAGGTCTGTCCTTGAGGCTGAACACTCCCAGCGTTGTATGAAAAGACTGGACTTTGCAGTGTCTCATGCTTGTAACCCTAGCACTGAGGGAGAATCCCTCAGCCCAGCAGTTCGAGACCAGCCTAGGCAAGATAGGGAGATCTCATCTCAAATTTAAAATAAATAAATAAATAAATAAATAAATAAATAAATAAATAAAAGGCCAGTCTCAGTAGCTCACGGCCTGTAATCCCAACGCTTTGAGACAACGAGTCAGGTGGATCACTTGAATCCCGGAATCCCGGAATTCAAGACCAGCCTGGGCAATAAAGTGAGACCCTGTAGCTACAAAAAATACAAACAGTAGCCAGGTGTGGTGGCATGTACCTGTAGTTTCAGCTACTCAGGAGGCTGAGGTGGGAGGATCAATCGCTTGAGCCTGGGAGGCAGAGATTGCAGTGACCCATTCTGCGACTGCACTCCAGCCTGTTGGACAGAGCCAGACTCTGTCTCAAAAAAATTTGAAAAGAGACTATAACAAGGTCTTTAGGAGTTATCAACCAGGATCTGTGCACAAATATATATCCTAACCCCACAGGCAGCAGTCAGTTATCACAGCACAGATGCCTGTTATCTGGAGGACAGGCTGCATTTGCCCACTCTGGCTCCTGCAAGCTGTGTGCAAGCCGGTCCAGGACCACCTGCATCTACTGCCTGCTTTGCAGGCTGGGCTGGGAAATGGGTAGCTGCCAAACTGCTAAGAGCTGAAATTGAGCAAAATTAACTGCACTTTACCATCCAAGCCTTCCCCTGGAAGTTACAAGCCTTCAGTAGACTCCAGAGTTTCAAAATAGTCACATCAGGCAGATTCTGCCAGTGTAATTGTTTAGGCAGGAAGACCATTTCCTGATGTTTCCTTCTCTGCCATCTTGATATTATCTTTTGCAGAGCAGTTTTTATTGATTGATTGATTGATTTGCGGGGGTTATTTTTAATGGAGGCCAGCTTAGCAATTATATTTTTTAGCATAATGTTTTCAAGATTTATCCATATTGCCCTTCATTACTTTTCATAGCTGAATAGTGTTCCAATTGTATCCATATACCACATTTTGTTTAATCATTCATCAGCTGATGGATCATAAGTTGTTTCTACTTTTTGGCTGTTATGAATGCAGCTATGAACATTTGTGTATATATTTTTGTGTGAATTGTGGGCATGTGTTTTCTTGTTTTATTTATTTATTTATTTATTTATTTATTTATTTATTTTTGAGACGGGGTCTCACTCTGCCGCCCAGGCTGGAGTACAGTGGCGTCATCTCAGCTCACTGCAACCTCCACCTCCCGGGTTCAAGTGATTCCCCCTCCTCAGCCTCCCGAGTAGCTGGGCGGGCGCGTGCCACCATGCCCGGCTAATGTTTTTTGTATTTTTTTTTTTGAGAGAGTTTCGCTTTTGCTCCTAGGTTACAGTGCAGTGGCGTGATCTCAGCTCGCTGCAACCTCTACCTTCTGGTTTCAAGTGATTCTCCTGCCTCAGCCTCCTGAGTAGCTGGGATTATAGGCACCCACCACCATGCCCAGATAATTTTTGTATTTTTTAGTAGAGACGGGGTTTCACCGCATTGGCCAGGCTGGTCTCGAACTCCTGACCTCGTGATCTGCCCGCCTCAGCCTCCCAAAGTGCTGGGATTACAGGCGTGAGCCACTGTGCTCGGCCTTGTTTTTTGTATTTTTAGTAGAGACGGGGCTTCACCATGTTAGCCAGGATGGTCTCGATCTCCTGACCTTGTGATCCACCCCTCGGTCTCCCAAAGTGCTGGGATTACAGGCGTGAGCCACTGTGCCTGGCCAGTTTGTTTTTGTCTGTTTGTTTTGAGACAAGGTCTCACTGTTACCGAGGCTGGAGTGCAGTGGTGTGATCATGGCAAGCTACAGCCTCAGCTTCCTTGATTCAGACAATCCTCCCACCTCAGCCTCCTGCTGGTCTGGAACTCCTGGGCTCAAGTGATCTCACCTCAACCTCCCAAAGTGCTAGGATTACAGGAGAGGAGTGAACCACTGTGCCCAGACTTTTTTTTTTTTTTTTTTTTTGAGACACAGTCTCACTCTGTCACCCAGGCTGTAGTGCGGGGACACGGTCACAGCTCACTGCAGCCCTGCCTCCCAGGCTCAAGCATTCCTCCCACCTCAGCCATCTGAGTAGCTGGACTACAGGCACAGCAACCATGCCCAGGGAATTTTTGTGTTTTTTGTAGAGATGGGGGTCTTGCCATGTCACCCAGGCTGGTCTTGAACTCCTGAGCTCAAGATAACCTCCCATCTTGGCCTCCCAAAGTGCTAGGATTACAGGTGTCAGCCACCACAGCTGGCTGGGCATATGTTTTATTATTTATTTATTTATTTATTTATTTATGAGACGGAGTCTCGCTCTGTTAGCCCAGGCTGGAGTGCAGTGGCCCGATCTTGGCTCACTGCAAGCTCCGCCTCCCGGGTTCACGCCATTCTCCTGCCTCAGCCTCCCCAGTAGCTGGGACTACAGGCGCCCGCCATCACGTCCGGCTAATTTTTTTGTATTTTTAGTAGAGACAGGGTTTCACCGTGTTAGCCAGGATGGTTTCGATCTCCTGACCTCATGATCCGCCTGCCTCGGACTCCCAAAGTGCTGGGATTACAGGCATGAGCCACTGCGCCCGGCTGACCCAATATTTCTTATCGTCTGTCTTTTTGCTAATAGCCATCCTAGTGGGTGTGAAGTGGTATCTCATTGTGGTTTTATTTGCATTTCTGTGATGACTAATAATGGTGAATATCTTTTGATGTGTTTATTAGCCATTTGTATATCTTCTTTGGAGAATGTCAATTTGGATCCTCTGCTCTTTTTTTTTTTTCAATTGACTTTATTTTTAGAGCAGTTTTAGGTTCACAGCAAAATTAAGTGGAGGGTACAGAGAGCTCCCGTCCACCCTCCTGTGCTCATTTTGTAATGGTGCAACAGCACAAAAGTCTGGTCATGGATGCTAGCTTCATGCCCATCACAGGTGGCAGTGAGTGCTCCTGCTCCAAACGTCCTCACTCCGGGACACACGCTGATGAAGTTTCTCTTCTATGGCATGGGGAAGAGAAAGAGGAAGTGGCAGGTTCCCCACTGACTATTTAAGCCTTCAGCCAGAGATAACAGGTCACCTCTACTCACATTTTAGTCGCAAAGCAAGTCATTCAGCAATTCCTAACTTTAAGGGGGTGTGAAATTCTCCCGTGATCCTGGAGGAGAGGGTCTGAATATATGTGGCCACCCCTAAAGACTCACGGGAGTTAAATAAGGTTCTTTTGTGCAGGACTTGTCACTGCATTTCCTGGGCCACCTGGCAGGTGGCAGGTGGAGTAGCGCCGACATACTTGACTGGGGAACCCTTCTCTTTTTTTTCTTTCTTTTTTTTTTTGAGATGGAGTATCGCTCTGTCACCTAGGCTGGAGTGCAGTGGCGCGATCTCGGCTCACTGCACCTCTGCCTTCTGGGTTCAAGCGATTCTCCTGCCTCGGCCTCCTGAGTAGCTGGGATTACAGGCGCGCGCCACCATGCCCGGCTAATTTTTTGTATTTTTAGTAGAGATGGGGTTTCACCGTGTTAGCCCAGATGGTCTTCATTGCCTGACCTCATGATCCGCTTGCCTCGGTTTCCCAAAGTGCTGGGATTACCGGCGTGAGCCACCGCGCCCAGCCTGGGGGACCCTTTTCTCCTAGAGCATCTCATGGGACATGTGTTCTCTGGAATCCCATTTGGGAACCACTGTCTTGGCTGGTGGCTACTTCCTAAAGGAGGGGTTGACAAACTTTCTGGAACGGCCCAGTAAGTAAATATTCTAGGTTTTTCAGACCATATGGACCAATTACTCGATTCTGCTGTTGTAGTGCAAGAGCCGCCGTATGTAATATGTAAATGAATGGGTGTGCCTGTGTTCCAATAACGTTTTATTTATAGACACTAAAATGTGAATTTCATACAATTTTTCTGTGTCACAAAATATTATTTTTCTTTTGATTTTTTTCCAACCATTTATAAATGTGAAAAACCATTCTTAGCTCATGGACTGTACAGAAACAAGTGGTGGGCGAGATTTGACCCACAAGCTGTGGGTTGCTCACCTTGTCCTAGAGGACAGAGTCCCAGCACCTTTGCCTGGCATTCAAGCCCCGTCACCTTCCCCAGTTCCATCATCTACCACGTCTCCGCACAGAGCTCAAGCATGGCCATGGCAGATGTTTTTCTAGGATCAAATCACACTCTTTCACTCTCGGGGCCTTTTCCCAGTCTGTTCTCCCTTCTGGAATGTCCTTCCAGCTCTTCTGTCCCCAGCTTTGCTTGGGAACAGTGGGGCCTCCCTTGATCTGGGAGGAATCTGGAGCTTCTGACGCTGGTGGCTCCCTCACTTCCTGGCGCTGCAGAGTCAGCCGCCCCCCGCCCCGCCCCCGTGCTGTGTTCTGGAGCTCTGTAGGTGTGTTTGCTTCCCCAGCCACACCATGAGCTTCTGGAGGGTGGGGACTTTGGCCTCCTGAGTTCTGATCCCCCAGGCCTGCTATCGTTGGAATGTTTCCCCAAAAAAGCACAAGTTGGAAACTGAATTTCCAGTGGAACAGTGTTGGGTCGTGGGGCCTGATGAGAGGTGGTTAGGCCGTGAGGGCTCTGCCCTCATGAAAAAAAATTAGCTGGGCCTGGTGGCGGGTGCCTGTAATCCCAGTTACTCTGGAGGCTGAGGCAGGAGAATGGCTTGAAACCGGGAGGCGGAGGTTGCAGTGAGCCAAGATCGCGCCACTGCACTCCAACCTGGGTAACAAGAGCGAAACTCCATCTCGAAAAAAATGAAAAAATTAAATAAAATAAATTTATTTCTGTTCTTTATTAATTGCCCATCTCAGGTATTCTGTTACAGCAACACACCATTGACTCAGACAGAAAATTGGTATGGAGAACTGGGGCTGCTGCTGTCACAAACACCTGAATATGTGGAAAGGCTTTGGAACTGGGTGATGGGTTAAGCCTGGAAGAATTCGGAGGAGCAGGCTAGAAACCGCCGACATTGCCATAAAGGGAGCATTCGGAGGATTCTGGTGAGGGCTCAGAAGAGAACAGCTACAGGGAGAGTGGAAAACTTCTTAGAGATTGCTTAAGTGATAATGACCAGAATGCTGGCGGGAATGTGGACAGTGGAGTCTTCTGACAGGTCTCAGATGAAAATGAGAAACAAGGTATTAGATATTAGAGGAGGGGTCATCCTTGTTATTACATAAAGTGGCAACAAACTTGGCCATATTTTGTCTATGCCTGATGATTTTATGAAAGGCAGAATTATTTTTCCTTTTTTTTTTTTTTTTTGAGATAGGGTCTCGCTCCATTGCCCAGGCTGGAGTGCAGTGGTGCGATCATGGCTCACTGCATTCTTGACCTCCCTGGTTCAGGTGATCCTCCCACCTCAGCCTCCCGAGTAGCTGGGACTACAGGTACACACCACCATGCCCAGCTAATTTTTGTATCGCTTTAGAGACTGGGTTCTCCCTATGTTGCCCAGGCTGGTCTCAAACGCCTGGGCTCAAACAATCCTCCCACCTAAGCCTCCCAAAGTGCTGGGATTATAAGCATGAGTCACCAGGCCCACCCAGAAGGCAGAATTGAAGAGCCTTGAACTGAAATCTCTAAGCAGCAAAGCACTGAAAGAGACACTTGGCTTCTTTTAACTGTGGACAGCAAAATTAGAGAAAAGAGAAAGGATTTTTTTTTTTTTTTTTTTTTGAGACAGAGTTTCGCTTTTGTTGCCCAGGCTGGAGTGCGATGGCGAGATCTCAGCTCACGGCAACCTCTGCCTCCCGGGTTCAAGCAATTCCCAGCCTCAGCCTCCCGAGTAGCTGGGATTACAGGCGCGTGCCACCACGCCCGGCTAATTTTGTATTTTTAGTAGAGATGGGGTTTCTCCACGTTGGTCAGGCTGGTCTTGAACTCCCGACCTCAGGTGATCCACCTGCCTCGGCCTCCCAAAGTGCTGGGATTACAGGCGTGAGCCACTGCGCCCAGCCCGATTTTTTTTTTTTTTGACAGGGTTTTGTTCTTGTCGCCCACATTGGAGTGCAGTGGCATGATCTTGGCACACTGCAACATCTGCCTCTTGGGTTCAAGCGATTCTCCTGCCTCAGCCTCCTGAGTAGCTGGGATTACAGGCATGTGCCACCACGTCAGGCTAATTTTTTGTATTTTTAGTATAGATGGTGTTTCTCCATGTTGGTCAGGCTGGTCTCGAACTCCCGACCTCAGGTGATCCACCTGCATCGGCCTCCCAAAGTGTTGGGATTACAGGCGTGAGCCACCCTGCCCAGCTGAAAAATGATTTAAAGATGAAATTATAATGAACAGGGAAGCCAAATGGGGAGATTTGGAAAATTTGCAGCCTGGCCATATAAAGCATGAAAGGCATGTTTAGGAGAGCAAATCAAGGCTGTGGCCAAGCCGCCACTTTCGGGTTTTTTTTTTGAGATGGAGTCTCACTCTGTCGCCCAGGCTGGAGTACAGTGGCATATTCTCGGGCCCTGCAACCTCCACCTCTTGGGTTCAAGCAATTCTCCTGCCTCAGCCTCCCGAGTAGCTGGGACTATAGGACCATGCCACCATGCCTGGCTAACTTTTTGTATTTTTAGTAGAGATGGGGTTTCACTATGTTAGCCAGGATGGTCTCCATCTCTTGACCTCGTGATCTGGTTGTCTCGGCCTCCCAGGCTGGCCCGGGTGCCGCTCGACTCACTGCTCTGGAAAGTACAACCTGTAAACCTTAGTGGCAACCATGTGCTGCTAATTCTGCAGGTGCAGATTGCAAGAGCTGCGGGGCCATGGTCTCCTCCACCGAGATTTCAAAGGATGTTACCTACAGCCTGGGGGCCCAGGCAGAGACTTTTTGTTGAGGTGGAGCCACTGCAGAGAACCCCTACCAGGGCAGTGCCTTGTGGAGATGGAGGACAGTGAGGCTGTCCCCAAGACAAGAACTGTAGGCTGGGCCCGGTGGCTCATGCCTGTAATCCCAACACTTTGGGCAGAAGAGGCGGGCCGATGGTGTGAGCTCACGAGTTTGAGACCAGCCTGGGCAGCATGGCAAAAGCTAGTCTCTACAAAAAAAATACAAAAAATTAGCTGGGCATGGTGGCAGGCACCTGTAATCCCAACTACTGAGGAGGCTGAGGTGGGAGAGGATTCCTTGAGCCTGGGAGGCAGAGGCTGCAGTGAGCCGTGATCATGCCATTGCACTCTAGCCTAGGCAACAGGAGTGAAACCCTGCCTAAAAAAAAAAAAAAAAAAAAAAGATTTAATGCTGTCTGCCTACTCGGCTTTGGATTTACTTAGGACCAGTTACTTCTTCTTTCTTTCCTGTTTCTCCCTTTTGGAATGGGAATGTTTAGCCTATGCCTGTATTTTGAAAGTAGATAACTTCTTTGATTTCACATGCTTGTGGCTGGAGAGAATTGACCTCAGGATGAACGGTGCCTGCGTCTCACCCATCTCTGATTTAGGTGAGACTCTGAAGTCTCAACTTTTGAATTGGTGCTGGACCAAGCTATGACTTTGGGGCTATTGGGATGGAATGTATTTTGAATGTGAGAAAGACATGAATTTGGAGCATGAATTCCAGGGATGAAATGCTAGGGTTTGAATACATTCCCCAAAACACATGTGTAGAAACTTGATCCCCAGTGCAGCAGTGTTAGGACATGGGGCCTAATGGGAAGCGTTCAGATCAACAGGCATTGCTCTTGGGAATAGTTTAATGCCATTTTTGAGTGAGTGGGTTTTTTATTGTGGGAGAGGGTTCATGATATAAGGGCGCATTCAGTCCCCTTCTTTCTCTCTCTTTTTCTCTTCTTTGTACCTTTCATGAAGTGCAAAGTCTTACCAGATGCAGGCCCCTCTATTTTGGACTTTCAGCCTCCAGAGCAGTGAGAAATAAATTTCTGTTCTTTGTAAGTTACCCATATCAGGTATTCAGTTACATCAGCATATAACACACTAGTTCCCGTGGGGTGTTGCAAAAGTCACTTCTGGCTGGGTGTGGTGGCTCGTGCCTGTGATAGCATTTTGGGAGGCCAAGGCTGGGAGGATCACTTGAGTCCAAGAGTTTGAGACCATCCTGGGTAACATAGTGAGACAAGATCTTTACTAAAAATCAAAAAATTAGCTGGGAGTGATGATGTGCACCTGTAGTCTCAGCTACTCGGGAAGCTGAGGAGGGAGGATTGCTTGAGCCTGGGAGGTCGAGGTTGCCAGGAGCCATGATCACGCCACTGCACTCCAGCCTGGATGACAAAATGAGACCCCTTCTCAAAAATAAAAATAAAAAATAAAATGAAAAAGTTACTTCCTCTCTCGGGACCTCAGTCTCCACGTCTGTCAGATGGGAGCAATGTCTCCTGCCCTGGATGCCTCCTGAGGTTGTTCTGAGGGTCGAATAAGGCTGGCCCCAAAGGAACCATGACCAGCAGAGAGCTGACCTTGGAGGATAATGGCTGACACCACTGGAATTTCGTTTTGGGGCACTGATCCTGTGCTAGGCACCTTCAGAAGTGACCAAGAGCAGAAAGCCCAGGCCCTGCTGAGAGGGGGATGCAGCGTGGTGACATAAAATCCTGTTGCTGTGTCCCCAGCACCTGGGACAAAATGAGACTTGGGGGTATTGGAGATGACTCGAGGAACCTAGATGAACCTCAGGTGTCTGGGAGCTCCCAGACTGTCAGGAAGAATGACATCAACACCAAACCCTGCCCTGAGTTACCGCATTGTCCTCTAGGGACTGGGCACTGAAGCTTCCTGCAGCAGACAAAATTTGGGTCTGGATCTGAGCCAAAAGCCCCCTCATTTATAAATGGGGAAACATGACTTCACATTGATCCAAAAATAAAAAATAAAAATAAAAAATAAAAACAGGCCGGGCGCAGTGGCTCGTGCCTGTAATCCCAGCACTTTGGGAGGCTGAGGCGGGTGGATCACCTGAGGTTGGGAGTTTGAGACCAGCCTAACCAACACGGAGAAACCCTGTCTCTACTAAAAATACAAAATCAGCCAGGCATGGTGGCGCATGCCTGTAATCCCAGCTACTCAGAGGCTGAGGCAGGAAAATCGCTTGAACCTGGGAGGCGGAGGTTGTGGTGAGCCGGGATTGCGTCATTGCACTCCAGCCTGGGCAACAAGAGTGAAACTCTTGTCTCCAAAAAAAAAAAAAAAAAAAAAGGAAACTGAGGCCCTGAGAGGTCCAGGGGCTCTCAGGCAGCCAGAGGCAGCACCTGACCTGGCCCAGGCCCCCTTCCCCGGGAGCACAGATGCCAGGATGTGTGGATTGGCGCCCTTCTTGGGCTGCTGGGCCCCGTGGTCTGCTAATTAGTCACATCATTTTTGGCATCGCACACAGCCTCGGGAACTGGAGAATGTCATTGTCAAAGTATTTTTGAATATTTGCCTTCTCAGCAAGAAGATGAGAAAGCTGTGAGGACACTCAGTCTTCCACGGGGTGGATACTAACCAAAATCACAAGCAGCTTGAGCTGGAAGGACCTGGGAGCCGGGAGAGATGCCGGAGGAGTCCCGCGCGCTGCCTGTCACAGCTGTGTGACTTCGAGACAGGGCTCTGGCCCCCTGGGCCTCAGTGTCCTCCCCTGGAAAATGGCTCATTCATTTCTCAGGTGGGCATGAAGTTGCTATGTGCCACGCACTGCTGTAGGCTCTGGGGAGCAAAACAGGCAAAAATCTCTGCTCTCACAGGCTGCCATCCCCAGGGGGGCCATACCATAGAAATCAAATCAGATACACCAGGGGTGACACATAGAAGGGAGAGCCCAGGGGTGGGGCTGTCAGGGATGGCCTTGCTGAGAAGGTGACATGCGAGTGAGAATTTGAAGGGGGCAGGAGGGAGCCCAAGGGGTGTCAGGGGAAGAGCCCTCCAGCACAGGGAGCGGCAGGCACAAAGGCCCTGCACTCGGGCAGGACTGGGTTGTTCCAGGAGCATCAGGGAGGCCAGGCGGGCTAGAGCAGGTGGTGACTCAGGGAGGCAACATGACAAGACTGGGTCACAAAAGGCCACTGGAGGCCTGCTTGCTGCTTGTGGAGGGCCTTGTAAACTGCTGGAAAGCCTTTCTTTTCTTTCTATTTTTGTTGTTGTTGTTGTTGACAGGGTCTCCCTCTGTCTCCCAGGCTGGAGTGCAGTGGCTAGAGCTCGCTGTTACTTCAAACTCCTGGGCTCAAGTGTGTGCCACCATGCTCTGCACCCAGGCTGGAGTGCAATGGCGCCATCTCTGCTCACTGCAACCTCCGCCTCCTGGGTTCAAGCGATTCTCCTGCCTCAGCCTCCTGAGTAGCTGGGATTAAAGCTGCCTGCCACCTGCACAGGTAATTTTTTTTGTATTTTTAGTAAAGACAGGATTGCGCTATGTTGGCCAGGCTCGTCTTGAGCCCCTGACCTCAGGTGATCTGCCCGCCTCCCAAAGTGCTGAGATTACAGGCGTGAGCTGCACCTGGCCTTAATTTTTAAATTTAATTTAAAATTTTTGTTTTTGTTGTTGTTGCAGAAATGGAGTCTCCCTATGTTGTGCAGACAGGTCTTGAACTCATAGCCTCAAGTGATTTGTCCGCCTCAGCCTCCCAAAGTACTGGACTTACAGGTGTGAGCCATGACACCCAGCCAAACCTATGGTTTTTTTTTTTGGTGTTGTTGTTTTGTTTTTTTTTTTTTTGAGATGGAGTCTTGCTCTGTCGCCTGGACTGGAATTCAGTGGCGCAATATCTCGGCTCACTGCAACCTCCGCCTTTCAGGATCAAGCGATTCTCCTGTCTCTGCCTCCCGAGTAGCTGGGATTACAGGTGCATGCTGCCATGCCTGGCTAATTTTTTGTATCTTAGTAGAGACGGGGTTTTACCGTTGTTGCCCAGGCTGGTCTTCAACTCCTGAGCTCAGGCAATCCACCCGCCTCAGCCTCCCAAAGTGAGCCACTGTGCCCGACCAAGCCTATGTTTTTGTTCTGGGTGACGGTCTAGAGCAGGACCAGACGTGATATGGTTTCTGTATTAGCCGTATTCTTCTGTGCCCCATGCTTCAAAGATAGAAGCAAGGAGGCCAGGTGAGATGTGAGGAGGCCTGCCCCATGGTGGGGACAGTGGGGGAACGAGAGAGGACTGGACTCCAGATGTGTCTGGAGGCAGAGTTGACATTGGGTGTGGAATTGTAAAAAATAATTTGTTGGCCGGGTGTGGTGGCTCACGCCTGTAATCCCACCACTTTGGGAGGCTGAGGCGGATGGATCATGGGGTCAGGAGATCGAGACCATCCTGGCTAACATGGTGAAACCCTGTCTCTACTAAAAATACAAAAAACAAGATTAGCCGGGTGTGGTGGCAGGCGCCTGTAGTCCCAGCTACTAGGGAGGCTGAGGCAGGAGAAATGCGTGAACCTGGGAGGCAGAACTTGCAGTGAGCCGAGATTGCACCACTGCACTCCAGCCTGGGCGACAGAGCGAGACTTCATCTCAACAACAACAACAAAAATAATAATAATAATAAATTTTTCTTTTTTTTTGTCCTCCCTGCCTCATCCCTGTAATTTATTTTATTTTACTTTATTATTTTTTTTGAGACAGAGTTTCACTCTTGTTGCCCAGGCTGGAGTGCAATGGCGTGATCTCGGCTCACTGCAACCTCTGCCTCCCGGGTTCTAGCAATTCTCCTGCCTCAGCCTCCTGAGTAGCTGGGATTACAGGCATGCGCCACCACGCCCGGCTAATTTTGTATTTTTAGTAGAGACAGGGTTTCTCCATGTTGAGGCTGGTCTCGAACTCCTGACCTCAGGTGATCCGCCCGCCTCGGCCTCCCAAAGTGCTGGGATTACGGGCTTGAGCCACTGCGCCCGGCCTATAATTTTTTTTTTTTTTTTTTTTTTAAGAGACAGGGTTGTCAGGCACGGTGGCTCACGCCTGTAATCCCAGCACTTTGGGAGGCCGAGGCAGGTGGATCACAAGGTCAGGAGTTCAAGACCAGCCTGGTCAAGATGGTGAAACCCCAACTCTACTAAAAATACAATAATTAGTATTGTATTTTTACATACATTTTAGGGGTGAGGTGGCAGACCCCTGTAATCCCAACTACTCGGGAGGCTGAGGCAGGAGAATTGCTTGAACCCAGGGGGCGGAGGTTGCAGTGAGCCGAGATTGCACCACTGCATTCCAGCCTGGGTGACAGTGAGACTCCGTCTCAAAAAAAAAAAAAAAGAAAAGAAAAAAGAGAGACAGGGTCTTGCTGTATTGCCCAGGCTGGAGTGCAGTGGCTATTCACAGGCACAATTCCGCTACTGATCAGCCTGGGAGTTTTGACCTGCTCCATTTCCGACCTGGGGTGGTGGTTCACCCCTCCTTAAGCAACATGGTGGTCCCCTGCTCCTCGGAAGTCACCATATTAATGCCAAAGTTAGTGCGGACACCCTCTCGGCATAGCGCACTACAGCCCAGAACTCCTGGGCTCAAGCGATCCTCTTGCCTCAGCCTCCCAAAGCTGTGTGAGCCACCACGCCTGGCCATTTAAATCATTTTCAAATGTACAATTCAGGGACATACAGTACATTCACGATGTTGCACAACCATCTCCACAGTGAAGTTCCAGCAGGAAACCCATGTCCATGAAGCAGGCACTCCCTTCTCCCCTCCGTGTGCTAGGCCAGTGCAGGGAGAGACATGATATGGGGCTGCCAGCAAGGCAGATGCTAGGGGAAATTGAGGGAGATGGCTGGAGGAGAAGAGGGTCTTCGGCTATCCCCTGCGTCACTCCCAGGAGCCCCAAGATGTGTGCGCAGCAGAGGAGACTCTGAGACACATTCTCCTCTAGACCAGGCACTGCTGAACACTGGAGCAGTGCAAGCAGGACGGCAACACCAAGAGGTCCTGGGCGGGGTGGGGTCTGGGGAGGGAGAGAGATACAAGAACCAAGAGTCCCAGGGCTGCAGCTGAGACAGGGCTGGTAATGAGGCACAGCCCCGGAGTGGGCAGGGGTGGGGACCTCCCATGGATGGGATGGTCAGAAGGCTCCTGGAGGAGGTGACATGTAGGTGGGGTAAGGCAGAGGAAGCCTGGGAAGATTGGGGGAAAGGTGTTCCCGGCCTAGAAACAGCCGAATGCCAGCAGGCCTCTCCGTGTCACACCCCTGCCTCCTAGGGCCATCCATCTCTCTGTCTGTCTGTTCCAGGGAGGGTTCCCCGGTTTGTCTTTTACTGAAAGATCCTGGAGGAGGGGAGGGCTAGTTGTTGCTCTTATGCAAAGGCCCTGAGGCAGGTGCAGGGTGTGAAGGGGAGGGGAGACATGAGGCCAGGAGTCGAAGTGGAGCTGGAGGCAGGGCCATGCCTCATGTGCCTGGGGCCAGCTGTGGAGTGTTTGGAATTTCATCCTTGGCCCACAGGAAATCCCCGTAGGGACCGGGGGTGGGGGTGGGGGGTGGTGGGGGTTGTAAGCCAGGAAGGAAGTGATCCAGCCCTTGTTTCAAAGATGATCTCTGGCTGTCATGTCATTAGGGGATGGCAGTTGGAAGGGTGTCGTGGTATCTAAGCTGGTAGAGGAAAGAGTACGGCCCAGGTATCCCACCTCCCAGGGCACCCTCGTGTCACTCTTGACAGGCCCAGTACTTGCAGTGTCCTGGGGAAAAGCCCCATGTGTCTCTCATCTGTGAACGAGAGGTGAATGGAGGCCCATCTAGCTGGGCCAGGCCTGACCATCCGCAGGACTGAATGCCAGCAAGCCTTTCCACGTCCCACCCCTGCCCACTAGGGCCATCCGTATCTGTCTGTCTGTCCCAGGGAGAGTTCCCTGGTTTGTCTTTTACTGAAAGATCCTGGGGGACGGGAGGGCTAGTTGTCACTCTTGTGGACAAGGGGTAGGTCCTCAGCCAGGAAACCTTTCTTTTTTTTTTTTTGAGATGGAGTCTTGCTCTGTCCGCCAGGCTGGAGTACAGTGGCACGATCTAGGCTCATTGCAACCTCCCCCTCTCGGGTTCAAGCGATTCTCCTGCCTCAGCCTCCTGAGTAGCTGGGAAGACAGGCGCCCACCATCACGCCTGGCTAATTTTTGTATTTTTAGTAGAGACGGGGCTTTACCATGTTGGCCAGGCTGACCCCGAACTCCTGACCTCAACTGATCCGCCCGACTCGGCCTCCCAAAATGCTAGGATTACAGGTGTAAGCCACTGTGCCCAGCCCAGGAAACCACTCTTGGAAGGCAGTTTCTAGACAGAGAAAAGAACACCCTTTTCTCTGAGGGTCTAAATGTTGGTGTAGCCGGTATCTGTCTGCTGCGAGGCTGCTGGGAAGCCAGTGCTCTGCTCATTATCTATATCCCTGCCAATATATCTACACTCTTACTGGGGTCTGGTTTAAATGTCCCAGCCTGACCCCAAGACAAAGTCAGCAGTGGTGACTGAAGCAGCCCTTGCTGCGTGGCAGGCTCTGTGCTGGGCACGGGATTCCAGACACACAAGAGTGAGACCCTATCTTGCAGAGCTTACAATTCGGGGTGGGGGCAGGGGGGAGGGAAACACAAGTAGCCCTAAGCATGGCTCATGACAACTGTCATCAGTGCCAGGAGTGGGGACACCAGGGCCTGGGACAGGGGGCTGAGGCGGTCAGGAGGTTCAGAAGGGCTCCTGGAGAAGGGGGCCTGCGAGCTGAGCTGTGAAGGCCAAGGGGCATGATCTGGGTCGCGTGGCCTGGTGGGAGCCTCACCCCTGGGCAATCCTGGGAAGAGAGGTCCCAAAAGTGGGGAATCTTGAGGCCAGCTTAGGCAGGAGGCCCTCTCCTCTCCTGGGCAGAGACCTGCTTCAGCCTAGGTCTGAGCTCTGCCCGAGCTGGTCTTCCCACATGCCTGCGGCCCCTTGAGGGAGGCCTCACACTGGTCCCAGGCCTGCTGCTGCCGTCCGCCCATGCCTCACGGGAAGCTTCTTAGACAGAGTGAAAAGCATTCCTAAGGGAATGTAAAGAAAGGGCGGGGCGGCTGGGCAGGAAAGGGCCTGGCTCACACTTCCCCTCGATAATCTTATCGCGATGACAAGCTCCCAGCCTGGCCTCCATTTGTTCATCTGGACCGGGAGGGTGCCCTGGCTGCAAGGCTGGAGTTAGGATTGACATAACCGTAAAGTGTGGACGTGACCCACCAGGAGCATGGGGATGAGGACTCCTCGGGGTGGCCTTGTGGGAACGGGGTGGGGCACCCACACTGGCCTTGGCACCCTAGCAAAGGTGTGGGTGTGGAAAGCCAGGCCTGAAGTCTCAAGTCCTGGCAGGGAGGCCATCTCCTCCAACACCCTGGCAAATGAAGGATGCAAAGGAAACGAAATCTACAGAAACGCGGAGACCCTGAATGATGTGTTCTTCTGTGTCTTCTTCCTCCTCATTCTTTCTGTTATTTAATTATCTCTATTTTCCAAACAGCTTCCTTGAGATATAATTCATAGTACATGCCATACAATTCACCCATGAGAAGTGTCCGATACAGCAGTTTTAGTATATCCAGAGTCATGCAACCATCACCACAATCAATGTTAGAACATCTCGCCGGGTGAAGTGGCTCACGGTTGTAATCCCATCACTTTGGGAAGCTGAGGGAGGTGAATCACGAGGTCAAGAGATCGAGACCATCCTGGCCAACATGGTGAAACCCTGTCTCTACAAAAAATTAGCTGGGCATGGTGGTGCGCACCTGTATTCCCAGCTACTTGAGAGACTGAGGCAGGAGGATCGCTTGAACCCAGGAAGTGGAGGTTGCAGTGAGTCGAGATTGCACCCTGAGATCGCGCCACTATACCCCAGCCTGGCGACAGGGACTCCGTCTCATACAAACAAAAAAACAAAAAACAACAACAAAAAGAACATCTCATTACCTCAGAAAGAAACCCTGTACCCATTTGCAGTCACTCCACATTCCTCTCTCCCTCAGCAACCAATAATCTGCTTTCTGCCTGTTGTGGACATTTCATAGAAATGGAATCATACACTATGTGGTCTTTTGTGACTAGCTTCTTCATTTAACCTGTTCAGGATTCATCCATGTTGTAGCATCCTTTTTATGGCTGACCCATATTCCAGTGTGGATAGACCACACTTTGTTTAAACATTCATCAGATGAGGGACATTAAGTATGAATAATACTGCTATGAACATTTGCCCACAAGTTTTTGTGTGGACATATGTTTTCAGTTGTTTTGGGTATATATCTCTGAGTGGGATTTCTGGGTCAAATGGCAACTCTATGTTTAACTTCTTGAGAAACTGCCAGACTATTTTCCAAAGCAGCTGCACCATTTTACATTCCCACCAGCAGTGGCTTCCAGCACTTGTTACTGCATCTTTTTGATGAGTGCTATCCTGGTGGGCAAGAAGTGGCATCTCTTTGTGGTTTTTTCATTTCCCTGACGGCTAACATTGAGCATCTTTGCATGAGTTTCTTGGCCTTTTTTTTTTTTGAGACAGGAGTCTCGCTCTGTTACCCAGGCTGCAATGGGGGGCGATATTGGCTCACTGCAACCTCTGCCTCCCAGGTTCAAGTGATGCTCCTGCCTCAGCCTCCAGGTAGCTGAGATTACAGGCACCCACCACCGCGCCTGGCTAATCTTTTTTTTTTTTTTTTTTTTTGAGACGGAGTCTCACTCTGTTGCCAGGCTAGAGTGCTGTGGCGTGATCTCCGCTCACTGCAACTTCCGACTACCTGGTTCAAGAGATTATCCTGCCTCAGCCACCCCATAGCTGGGATTACAGGAATGCACCACCATACCCAGCTAATTTTTGTATTGTTAGTAGAGATGGGGTTCACCATGTTGGCCAGGATGGCCTTGATCTTCTGACCTCGTGATCTGCCCGCTTTGGCCTCCCAAAGTGCTGGGATTACAGGCGTAAGCCACCGCATCCAGCCACAGCTAATCTTTTTTTTGTTTGTTTTTTTGAGACGGAGTTTTTGCTCGTTGCCCAGGCTGGAGTGCAATGGCGCAATCTCTGCTCACTGCAACCTCCGCCTCCTGTATTCATGTGATTCTCCTGCCTCAGCCTCCCGAGTAGCTGGGATTACAGGAGCCTGCCACCATCTGCAGCAAAATTTTTATCTGTAGGAGAGACGCGGTTTCTCCATGTTGGTTAGGCTGGTCTCGAACTCCCGACCTCAGGTGATCCATCCGCTTCAGCCTCCCAAAGTGCTGGGATTACAGGCGTAAGCCACCATGCTCACCCACACAAGTTTTAATTTTTATGAATTCCAATTTTTCTCTTTTGTTCCTTATCCTTTTGGCATCGTAATCAAGAAGACTTTGCCTACCTCATGGTCACAGAGATTTAGGTTTTCATCTGACAGTTTTATAGTTTTACAATTAGGTCTTACAATTAGGTCTACGATTTACTTGCTTAGTTATTAACATATTAAGTAACAAGTTCTAGCAGTGGGTCTAATAACTTCTGTGATTTTGGAGACGAGTATACGTGCTATTTTGAGGCTGGGCGCGGTGGCTCATGCCTGTAATCCCAGCACTTTGGGAGGCCAAGGTGGGCGGATCACGACGTCAGGAGTTCGACACCAGTCTGGCCAACATGGTGAAACCCCATCTCTACTAAAAACACAAAAATTAGCTGGGCGTGGTGGTGGGTGCCTGTGATCCCAGCTACTCAGAGCCTGAGGGAGGAAAATAGTTGGAACCCGGGAGGTTGCACTGAGCTGAGATCATGCCACTGCACTCCAGCCTGGGCGACAGAACAAGACTCTGTCTCAAAAAATAAAATAAAAATAAAATAAATAAATAAATGCTATTTTGAGATATTTCCAGTGACTGCAATGTGTTGAGATGGAATATCACCTACATTCATAAGTGAAGAAAATGCTGGATTTTGGTTAAAGGTTGATTTTTTTTTTGAGACAGGGGTCTTGCTGGAGGCCTCAAAGTACCTGGGATTATAAGTGAGTGCCACCGCACTTGGTGTTAAAGGTTAATTTAAATAAAGATGTATTTACCAGCTCTGGTTCATGGTCTCCAGAATTCTATCCATGGATTCCAGGTTCAGAACTCTTAGGATGGCTAAAATTCCAGCCTGAAGTCTCAGTTTTCCAATAGTCCTTTGGGGGCTTGAAACCTCCCAGGAATGGCTTTAGGGTGTTTTCCTGACACTTCCCAGCCCTGGCCCATACCCTGCCCTCTGCCTGGCTCCATTCTTGGGAAAGGAATTCCTTGCCAAACAGAATTTTCTAACAAGCCCAAATATAGTAATAATAATAATTAGCAGCAGGAAGAACTATAAACACTGGGGTAGGAAAGCCTGTACCCGTCTCTCCTTTTCCTGATCCCTTCCCTTCATTCCTGAACTGAAGGAGACGGAGCCCCTTTGGGCTTTGATGACTCCATCACTGGGGTATGTTCATTTGATGGTTGATTTTGCTGTACCAGGTACTTCCTTTCCCATTTTCTAATCATTTTATAACACATGCTGACTCTTTTCCCTTCCCTTTTTCTGGGAAAATACAATGAATACAAAATTATAAACACTGTATGTTTAGCATCAGACCAAGCATGTTGCAGACACCCTTGCCCCTGGCCGTCCCAGAATCCCTGGGGCAACTCTGGCCTTGGTTAAGAGGCTCCATAGCTCCTGGCTTAGCTGTGCCCCGGCTCCTCCCCTCATATCATGCCTGATCCTAGGAAGATATTTCACTTCTGGGTGCCTCAGCTTTCTCATCTATAAGGGTGGGGTATGAGATGGTCATGGTCATAGTTTTTGTTTTTTTTTAGGGTGGGGGGACGAGATGGTCATAGGGTCACAGTTTTTTTTTTTGTTTTTGTTTTATACAGACGGGATCTCGCTATGTCACCGGGCGCCATGGCTCAAGCCTGTAATCCCAGCACTTTGGAAGTCCGAGGCGGGCGGATCACGAGGCCAGGAGTTCAAGACCAGCCTGGCCAATATGGTGAAACCCCGTCTCTACTAAAAATACAAAAATTAGCCGGGTGTAGTGGCGGGTGCCTGTAATCTTAGCTACTCGGGAGGCTGAGGCAGAGGTTGCAGTGAGCCCAGATCGTGCCACTGGACTCCAGCCTGGGCGACAGAGTGAGACTCTGGATAAAAAAAAAATTAATGAAAGGAAAAAGGCAAGGAGGAATCCCAACGATGACAGGTTGAAAGCTGCAGAGGAGACTGATGGGGAGTGACCTGTGAGGTAGCAGGACCAGGTGAACTGGAATCCCCAGGTCCAGATAAGTGAGGGTTTCCAGGAGGAGGAGTGGTCGACTCAGCTGCTGCTGAGAAGCTCAGCGAGACCAAGAAGTGACCCCCGGATTGGGCAGCGGAGAGGTTGTAGGTTACCTTAGCAGCAGTTAAGGGGTGGGGACACAGCCCTGCTGGATGGGGTGATGAGAGGCTGGGACGGGAAGGGGTGGAGGAGGTGAGTGTAGGGAAGTCTACAGAAATGTCTGAAGGGAGGGAGAAATGGCCAGAGGCAGGAGAGGGTTTGGGGGCAGGAGTCGGTCCAGAGTGAGGCTGATGGCACAGAAAAGCCTCGAGGGGAGGGCAGCGGGATGGGGTCCTAGGCCTGAGGAGGACGTGAGTACCCGACAGGGAAGTTTGTCTGTTTGGGTACTGGGAGAGGAGAAAGATCCTGAAGGCTTTCGTTTTTCTCTGAAGAATGAGGTAAGGCCACGGGCTAGGAGCCCAGGCAGAAGGGGCTGTGGGAGGTGTAAGGAGAGGGGAGCAGGCATGAGGTCTCACTTTCAGAGTGGGAGTCTCACCGAAAAACATGATAGGGCTGCCGGCTTTGTGGATGCGTTAGAAGTGTGGGATCACAAATTCCCAATCCCAGGGCTGTGTGTGGAGCCCTCTCCCCAAGCGATGGGAAGGCGAGTGTCCTTAACGTTGGGGTTCCCTATGCTGGAAGGATGGACTCTATTACAGTCCATCAGGCCAGGAGGTAGGTACTGTTTCCTGTATTTTACGGTTGGTAAATCTGAGAGCTTCAGGCCAATACAGTATCGGTGTAGCATTAGGGTCAGACAAAATAGAACAGGGCCCGGCACATATTAAGTGTTAATATTCGTTGGAAAAAAAAAAAAAAGAATGCTTGTCAAGTCCACTGCTGCGCCCCTACTGGTAGCCCAGCCTGGCCTCAGCCTTGGGGGCTGGTGGGTGGAGAGGGCGGCCTTGTGTGCTCTGCTATCCCTATTGCCTTAATGACCCAGTATCACCTTTGTGCCCTTGTAGGTTGATCCTTCTAGTCTCGTGGCAGAACTTTGTAGACACCAAGCGAGCGGGGCAGCGTGTTCTGGACCTCATTCCTCACACAGGGCTCACCTCCGGATGAGTCAGAGGCCTTAGCCGGTGGCCCAGCCCCGGGAATGCCACCCCGGTTCTGTACCCTGCCCAGGCCAGCTGACAGGGTGTATTGGGGCACACACCTGCAGCATCCAGGGCACTCCAAGGAGAGGGACGTACTTTTGAGGAGAGTCTAAAAGTCTAAGTCCCCCACCTGAACTTGGTGGGGGAAGGGCTTCTATACCAGGAGGGCTCCCAGCCCTGTTTCTTAAAGGCCATTTAGGCAGAAGTGAACGTGGTCTCTTCAATAAAGTTAATAATGGTTCATGCTGCAGAAAATGTTCAAGACAAAACCCTGCTTATTTACTCAGGCTTTAAAACCATAAAACTCCCAAATTCTCCCTGTAGCTATTTATATCCAGAGCTAGTCCCCAAATTAAGCTCAGGTTTGAAGTAACTTAAAAGAAAAATAGCCTTCCCTGCTTTAAAAAGATTTTCCGTATAGACCTCCACTGGTCTAATTACGAAGGGCGCGTAGTTTCAGGGTTGGCTGGGGGTAGGGCACCGGGACCTCCAAGGCAGTTACACTCCTCAGCCTCCTAACAGCTGTACGGCTGCCCGGTGGTCCCTCTCCAAGGCAGCGGCTCTCAGGCTAGCCTCAGCCTACCCCACCCGCCCGCACCCCGTGTTCTCCCTCGTGGGGGTGCCGGGGGGAGTAGGGAGGCGGGGCGGGCGGCAGGTCCGGAAAAGTGGCTGCCCTCGCCCCGAAAGAAGTTGACCCTCCTCCCGTGCCGAGAGCTTGGGATGAAAATAGCTTCTTCCTCTTTACCCTTCCTGGACCCCCGCCCCAGGACGACTGGGCCCCTTCATTCATCTTTCAGCGGCCACCCAGGCGGCTTGGGCGTCCCCACGCCGGGACTCTGTGCCCCGGGGACCCACGGGGACCCTCCCTTGGGCCTCTGAAGCCGCGGCGCACCCCGCACCCAAGCCACCCCGGGGGCCCCGGCCTCCCCCACCCAATTAGCGGGCAGCACCGCAGACCCGAGTCCCCACGCAGCTCGCGCCAGGGGAGGCGGCCGCCTGGGAAGCCCGTCCCCCGCGCCGCGGCCCCCGCCCCCGCCAGCCCCGCGTCCCCTGGGAAAGGCGGGGGCGCAGCGAGTTTCCCCCAATTAGTTTCCTCTTTGTATGGAGTCTTAGCGCGCCCGTACTCCTCCGCGCAGCGGAAAGTAGTCCCGGCCGGGCGCTCCGCGGCTTCCCAGCGCCAGACACATTTTACTTTGAGAAGTCGACGGGACTCTCAGCGGGGTCCTTCAGATGGGGGGCCAGAGGCTGCGGGAGGCGTGCGCGGGCAGCAAGGGCAGGGGCCGCGGCCAAGGGTAGGGGGCGGGGAGGGCCGCGAACTCCTCGCCGCTGCCTGGAGAGATGGATCATGGGGCGTAGGGAGATGGCAAACCTCAAACCACGTACGGCGGGCGATACGCGTCAACCGAACCTCGCCAACGGAAGCCCGGAGCCGCCCCTCCCCGCTCCCCCGCCCCGCCGCCCCGGACGGACGGGCGCGCGGAGCCAACCCCGCTGCCGCTGGCTGTCCAAATCCCACCAGAGCCAATGGGAGCGCGAGGGGGGGCGGAGCCATCTCGCGTCAGTTGGGCTGCGCGCCCCCCTCCCCCGGCGCCCCTGCAGGCCCCGCCCCTGCCTCCTCCCCTCTCCGCTCGCTGCTCCCGGAGTAGTTGGTGCCAGTGAAGTGAGGGCGGCGATGAGAGCGAAAGTTGCGCTCGGCTCGTCGCTGGGGGCTTGAAGCGGCTCCGCGCTCTGCCCGTTTGGGCCTCCCCCGACTCGGACTCGCGCCCGTGGGCTCCCGCCGCGCCCGCCCGGCCCCGCGCCGGCCCCGCGCCCCCTCCCCCGTCTCGGCGCCCCCTCCTCAGGAGCCGCGGGTCCCCGCCACTTTCGCACGGCCCCGGCCCCCGCCGATGCCGGCCATGGTGGAGAAGGGCCCCGAGGTCTCAGGGAAGCGGAGAGGGAGGAACAACGCGGCCGCCTCCGCCTCCGCCGCCGCCGCCTCCGCCGCCGCCTCGGCCGCCTGCGCCTCGCCAGCCGCCACTGCCGCCTCGGGCGCCGCCGCCTCCTCAGCCTCGGCCGCCGCCGCCTCAGCCGCCGCCGCCCCCAATAATGGCCAGAATAAAAGTTTGGCGGCGGCGGCGCCCAATGGCAACAGCAGCAGCAACTCCTGGGAGGAAGGCAGCTCGGGCTCGTCCAGCGACGAGGAGCACGGTAGGTGGCAGCCGCCCCCGCGGCCCCGGGCCCCGCGCCCCGCGCCGCGCTGACCGCCGTATTCTGCTTCCCCCGCAGGTGGCGGTGGCATGAGGGTCGGACCCCAGTACCAGGCGGTGGTGCCCGACTTCGACCCCGGTGAGTAGCGGCCCCGGCCGGCCGGCGGCGGGGATGAGCGGGAGCCCCGGGTCCCCGGCGAGCCCGAGGGGGCGGGAGCCCGCCGACAACTTTCTTTTTGTGCGTTCGCCCTGCCGTCCGTGGGGAGAACAGCAGGGCGAGGACGAGGAGGCGCACACGCACACGAGTGTTCTGCAAACGTGCCTCTGCACCCGGGGGAGGCCAGGTCGCCCCCAGCAGGGCCGGCGCCGCTGCCCCCTTGCGCCTCCGAGGACTGCGGGTGGCGTCGGAGGTGGCCACACCTGGCCTGGGGGCGCTGGGGGTCCCTGCGTCCAGGTGAGCTGCGCCTCGGCCAGGGGTAAGGGTGGCAGTGCCGGAGAGTTAGTGTCCTGCGAGCGCCCCGGACTTAGGAGGTCCCCAGAGACCCCTTTCTCGGAACCCTTCCCAAAGGCTGCTCCCCACGCCTTTGCTCCTCCTCTCAGCCTCTGGGCTCTTGCTGGCTCCTGACTGCCCTCCCATCCAGAAGGCGAGTAGAAGAACGACCCCCCAAAACCAGTCAATAAAAGAAGTGTGTTTTCCAGAGGGCGCCTGCCTGGGGAAGAGAGTCTCGCGTGTGGCAGTTGGATTTTAGGACCTATTTGTAAATGTGTGTATTTCCTTTTTTTTGGAGGAAGAGATTGTGAAATTGAGAAGCATCAGAAGCTTTAGCCTAACAAATGCTTTTCACCTACAAGAAAGCCCTACACCCTAGAATGGAACACTTAGTTCCCTGGCTGCTATTCTGTGTAGAAGCAAATTTAAAGTGGTACAAGAAAAAAAATCCGATCAGACAAAGGAATTCGTCAGATTTTAATGCATGAGATTCTAGCCAGTGTCTGTATGAGACTGTCTTTAAAGGTTGTTGGTATGGAAAATGTTTGAAAGAACGTAGGATTTATTTCAGAAATAAAATTCAAAAGAGCATCTTGTAAAGCTGGAGTTAACAATCCTCCATGGTTGGAGGGCTTTAGAGCTGGGGTTCTGTATGTGGGTTATACCACTAGTTTATTTGAAAAGATAAACGCATACATGTTTTTTCCTTGGAAACAAGACTGCAGAAAATTGCAATGATCTAGTCCTTGAAAAAGGCGATTGCTCTCAAGCTGTTATTAAGGTACTAAACTGCACTTTGAAGTGAAAATACATAGAGGTCCTAGGTGAGCTCTTGGACACTCTGGAAATAAATGACTTCCTAAATTGGCCTTCTAAATTTTGATTTGTTGACGTAAATCTGTTAAATTTATTTGTCTAATACTCGCGTTTGTGTTTCTTTTAAGTCCATGTTAGTGTTTTTGATAGTTTCCTCTTCTCCCCAATTCTTTTTTTTTTTTTTGGTAGTCACTTCTCGTTTATGAGTGACAGGATAGAACTAGGTGGCCAGGCTATATCTCTTGTATGCTTGGCTCCTCCGTTCCTTGGTTGGCCACCAGGGGAAGCATACTGTTTTTTGGTTACAGTTGACCCTGTCTTCATTTTGTAGGTCAAGTCTATCTTTGCTTTAAAACACAGAACATAAAGCTTGTTACCAAATTTTCCTAATGTATTATTTTTAAAAATCGACTTCCACAAATCTTTGAGTAAGTTGGTAGGCTTTTTGATACATTTTTGTTAACATAAATTTTGAAAACTTTATGTAGATGTGTTGGATGTGACTAAGGAAAAGGGCATATTTGTCAACAACAGGAATTAGATTTCTGACATTCATCGAAATATTGACATCAGCTCTGCATTGTTAGTAATGAGTTTGACTTCTTTGGAGTTATACTTTTCTTTGAAACAGCAAATATAATATTTTGAACTGTCTTTGGGCTTTTTGTTGGAATAGATATGAGCATAAACTTGCTAGTGACCAGCTATTCTAAAATGGAAAACATTTATCAGATTGCAGTAGCTCACACCTGTAGTCCCAACACTTGGGGAGGCCAAGGCTGGAGGATCTCTGGAGCTCAGGAGTTGGAGACCAGCCTGGGCAATGTAGTCAGACTCTGTCTCAACAAAAAATAAAAAAATTAGCTGGGCATGGTGGCATGTGCCTGTAGTTTCAGCTACGGGGGGGTCTGAGGCTGGAGGATCTCTGGGAAGTCAAGGCTGCAGTGAGCAGTGATCTGGCCATTGCACTCCAGCCTGGGTGACAGAGTGAGACCCTGTCTCAGAAATAAAAAGGAAAACATCTAACTGTTTTGCTGCATAGTCTTGCTGCCAATTGGTTGAGTATTGATATTAAAATTTCCAAATTTCTTTTTTTTTTTTTTGAGACGGAGTCTTGCTCTGTCCCTCAGGCTGGAGTGCGCAGTGGTGTGATCTCAGCTCACTGCAAGCTCCGCCTCCCAGGTTCACGCCATTCTCCTGCCTCAGCCTCCAGAGTAGCAGGGACTACAGGCGCCCACCAACACTCCTGGCTAATTTTTTGTATTTTTAGTGGAGACGGGGTTTCACCGTGTCAGCCAGGATGGTCTTGATCTCCTGACCTCGTGATCCGCCCGTCTCGGCCTCTCATAGTGCTGGGATTACAGGCATGTGCCACCGCGCCCGGCCCCAAATTTCTTTATTTTGTGTTTGTTTTAATCTGGAAAGGAATCTAACTGGTGTAAAGTAATTTCAAACCTTGTTTTGCCAACCTAAGCAGGGGGACACAGTTTTCTAGATATGGCAGAAAATTGAGACTTTACTATTTCCTAGTGGTTTTTTATGTGTCTTTTCATTTAACTTAAAAGCTTAAGGGGAAGGAAGGCTTCCATTTTGGAATAGAAATGATACAACATTTTTTTTTTTTTTAATACGGAGTTTCACTCTTGTTGCCCACGCTGGAGTGCAATGGCGTGATCTGGGCTCACCGCAACCTCTGCCTCCTGGGTTCAAGCAATTTTCCTGCCTCATCCTCCTAAGTAGCTGGGATTACAGGCATGCGCCACCATGCCTGGCTAATTTTTTGTATTTATAGTAGAGACAGGGTTTCTCCATGTTGATCAGGCTGGTCTGGAACTCCTGAACGCAGGTGATCCACCCACCTCAGCCTTCCAAATTACTGGGATTACAGGGGTGAGCCACCGTGCCCAGCCAACTGATGTTTGTTTTATAGCAAAATTCTTTCTTAGCTGTTTAAGACTTAAGACAGGTTCTTTCCATGACTGCAATTTAAGAGTAGTGAATTGAGTAATAAATTAAGAATTGAGAGTTTGATCCTTACTAGTTTTTATTTCCTCCTCCTACTTGTTTTTTTCTTTTTTCTTTTATTTTTTGAGACCAAGTCTCACTCTGTTGCCCAGGCTGGAGTGCAGTGGCACGATCTTGGCTCACTGCAACCTCCACCTCCGAGGTTCAAGTGATTCTCCTGCCTCAGCCTCCAGAGTAGCTGGGATTACAGGTGCCCACCACCACGCCCAACTAATTTTTGTGTTTTTATTAGAGATGCGGTTTCACCATGTTGGCCAGGCTGGTCTCGAACTCTTTGCTTCAGGTGATCTCCCCGCCTTGTCCTTCCAAAGTGCTGGGATTACAGGCGTGAACCACTGTGACTGCCCCTCCCCCCGCCTTTTTTTTTTTTTTTGAGACGGAGTCTTGATCTGTTGCCCAGGCTGGAGTGCAATGGCACAATCTTGACTCACTGCAACCTCCATCTCCCAGGTTCAAGTGATTCTCCTGCCTCAGCCTCCCAAGTAGTTGGAACTACAGGTGCGTGCCACCATGCCTGGCTAATTTTTGTGTTTTTAGTAGAGACGGGGTTTCACCATATTGGCCAGGCTGGTCTTGAACTCCTGACCTCAGGTGATCTGCCCCCCTCGGCCTCCCAAAGTGCTGGGATTACAGGCGTGAGCCACCATGCCCTGTCCCTACCTCAGTTTTGAGTGTGTCTTTGTTCTTCTCTTTTACTAGAATTTGAACAGAGAGGTGGACGTGAAACTTAACAGGCAGCTTTTTTTCTTTTCTTTTTTTATTATAGTAAAATAAGTAACTATGGTAGAGATGCATGAATGGAGGAATTTGACTTTGATTTTTTTTTTTTGAGACAGAGTCTCGCTCTTTCACCCAGGCTGGAGTGCAGTGGCATGATCTCAGCTCACTGCAACCTCCATCTCCTGGGTTCAAGCGATCCTCCTGCTGCAGCCTCCTGAGTAGCTGGGATTACAGACGCACACCACCACACCCGGCTAGTTTTTGTAGTTTTAGTAGAGATGAGGTTTCACCTTGTTGGCCAGGCTGGTCTCGAACTCCTGACCTCAGGTGATCCACCCACCTTGGCTTCCCAAAGTGCTGGGATTTCAGGCGTGAGCCACTGCGCCCGACCTTTTTTTTTTTTTTTTTTTTTTTTTTGAAATGGAGTCTTTCTATGTTGCCCAGGCTGGAGTGCAGTGGCACAATCAGCTCACACAGCCTCTGCCTCCCGGGTTCAAGCAGTTCTCCTGCCTCAGCCTCCTCAGTAGCCGGGATTACAGGCGTGTGCCACTATGTCTGGCTAATTTTGGTATTTTTGCAATTTTTTTTTTTTTTGAGATGGAGTTTTTTTCTCTTGTTGCTCAGGCTGGGGTGCAATGGCATGATCTCGATCTCGGCTCACCTCAACCTCCACCTCTCAGGTTCAAGCAATTCTCCTGCCTCAGCCTCCCGAGTAGCCGGGATTACAGGCATGGGCCACCACACCCAGCTAATTTTGTATTTTTAGTAGGGATAGGGTTTCTCCATGTTGGTCAGGCTGGTCGTGAACTCCCAACCTCAGGTGATTTGCCTGCCTTGGCCTCCCAGAGTGCTGGGATTATAGGCGTGAGCCACTGCGCAGCCCTAATTTTGGTATTTTTGGTAGAGATGGGTTTCACCATGTTGGCCAGGCTGGTCTCGAACTCCTGACCTCAGGTGATCCACTCACCTCGGCCTCCCAAAGTGTTGGGATTACAGGTGTGAGCCACTGTGCCCGGCCTGATTTTTTTGTCAGATTTTACTTATTTGCGGTATGCCAGCTTGACCCTATTTAGGTTTGAAAGCAAATGGTTGGAGCTAAGACTATCTGATATTTCCTATGCAGTTCAAAGGAAGATTTAATTCTGTCATGCCTTACAAAGAGTGAATGAGGTGGATAGAGCACGTTAGTCTTAAAATCCTGATTCAGTTCTTTTTTTTTTTTTTTTTTGAGACGGTGTCTCGCTCTGTTGTCCAGGCTGGAGTGCAGTGGTGTAATCCGGGCTCACTGCAAGCTCCGCATCCTGGGTTCATGCCGTTCTCCTGCCTCAGCCTCCCGAGTAGCTGGGACTACAGGCGCCTGCCACCACGCCCGGCTAATTTTTTTGTATTTTAAGTAGAGACGGGGTTCCACCATGTTAGCCAGGATGGTCTCAATCTCCTGACCTCGTGATCCGCCCGCCTCGGCCTCCCAGAGTGCTGGGATTACAGGCGTGAGCCGCCACGCCTGGCCCTGATTCAGTTCTTATAAAATAATTAATACCTAGATTAGATCGGTGTAGTGTGGCATTGCTTGGTAGTTAGAATACCATTTGTGTTTACACTGAAATAAAAAGTTTTACCAACTTTTAAAGAGTTAAAAAAAAAAAGAGTTAAAAACCTAAGTGCAGCCCTACACTTTTAACTTAGGCTTTGTTCTTACATGTGTTGTCCAGACTGCCTTTCCATGCTGTCTGCCGCAGATTATGCTGAGTTGTCATTGGTTTCTTTTAATATTCAGTAGTTACAGAATAATAGGGTAAGAGGGGGGATGCTTATCTATCCTACCTCTGGTTGGTTCTTTCCTACATAAGCAAAGCATCACTTATTTTGAAATGAATAATGTTTTTCTTTCCTTTTTTTTCCTTTTTTTTTTGAGATAGGGTCACACTCTGTCACCAGTATAGTGGTGTGATCATGGCGGCAGTGAACTTGAACCTCCTGGGCGCACACTATCCTCCCATCCATACTTTACCTCGAAAGTAGCTGGGACTACAGATGTCCACGACCATGCCTGACTAGTTTTTTTGTATTTTTTGTAGAGACAAGAGTTTTGCCACGTAGTCCAGGCTGGTCTCGAACTCCTTGGCTCAAGCCATCTGCCTGCCTTGGCCTCCCAAAGTGCTGGGCTTACAGGTGTGAGCCACCGTGTTCAGCCATTATTATTACTATTTTTTAATTTTTTTTATTCTCTTTATACACGTCCTTGGTGCTTCAGAGGCGTACATTGTTAATGATGAATATTTTTGAGATAGTGGCCCTTTAAAAAAGCAACCTTTATTTTGAATGTTTAATCCAATGTATTTAATCAGATCTGAAAATTTGTGGTTGTCATTGGCTTAACTGTCACTTCAGAGTTGACTTCTGTCAGAAAACTGTGTTATGTTTTCATGTGGAATAGGTAATTTTACTGAACAGGGTGTCTTGATATGCCTTTCATTTGTTTTCACTGGTGATTCTATGTTCTGCTTTTTTTATGCTTTAGATCATTGTAAAAAAAATATGGTGAATGCTTTGTGGTTTTGTTTTGTTTTGTTTTTTTTTTTTGAAACAAGGTCTTGCTCTGTCACACAGGCTAGAGTGCAGTGGCCCTGATGTTGGCTCACTTCAACCTCTGCCTCCCAGACTCAAGTGATCCTCCCCCCTCAGCCTCATCAGTTGCTGGGAATACATGTGCACATCACCACGCTTGAGCCCAGGCTGGTCTCTAACTCTTGTGCTCAAGCAGTCTTCCTGCCTTGGCCTCCCAAAGTGCTGGGATCACAGGCATGTGCCTGGCAATGCTTTGTGATTTATTTATTTAATTATTATTATTATTTTTTTGAGACGGAGTCTCGCTCTGTCACCCAGGCTGGGGTGCTGGAGTGCAGTGGCGCGATCTCAGCTCACTACAAGCTCCGCCTCCCGGGTTCACGCCCTTCTCCTGCCTCAGCCTCTCTGAGTAGCTGGGATTACAGGCGCCCACCACCACGCCCGGCTAATTTTTTATATTTTTAGTAGAGATGGGGTTTCACCGTGGTCTTGATCTCCTGACCTCGTGATCCGCCCACCTCGGCCTCCCAAAGTGCTGGGATTACAAGCGTGAGCCACCGCGCCCAGCCAGTGATTGATTGATTGATTTTAGTTTTATTTTTTATTGTATTTTGAGACAGAGTTTTGCTCTTGTCACCCAGGCTGGAGAGCAATGGTGTGACCTTGGCTCACTGCAACCTCTGTCTCCCAGGTTCAAGTGCTTCTCCTGCCTCAGCCTCCCGAGTAGCTAGGACTACAGGTGTGTGCCACCATGCCCAGCTAATTTTTTTTTTTTTTTTTTTGAAGACGGAGTCTCACTCTGTTCCCCAGGCTGGAGTGCAGTGGCGTGATCTCAGCTCACTGCAAGTTCCGCCTCCTGGGTTCACGCCATTCTCCTGCCTCAGCCTCCCGAGTAGCTGGGACTACAGGTGCCCGCCAACACGCCTGGCTAATTTTTTGTATTTTTAGTAGAGATGGGGTTTCACCATGTTAGCCAGGATGGTCTCGATCTCCTGACCTCGTGATCTGCCCGTCTTGGCCTCCCAAAGTGCTGGGATTACAGGCGTGAGCCACCGCGCCCGGCTGCTAATTTTTGTATTCTTAGTAGAGATGGTATTTCGCTGGCTGGGCATGGTGGCTCACACCTGTAATCCCAGCACTTTGGGAGGCCGAGGCAGGCGGATCACTTGAGGTCGGGAGTTCAAGACCAACCTGGCCAACATGATGAAACCCCTCTCTACTAAAAACACAAAAATTAGCTGGGCGTGGTGGTGCATGCCTGTAATCCCAGCTACTCAGAAGGCTGAGGCAGGAGAATTGCTTGAACCCAGGCTGCAAAGGTTGCAGTGAGCGTAGATGGCACCACTGCACTCCAGCCTAGGTGACAAAGTGAGACTCTGTCTCAAAAAAAAAAGACGGGGTTTCACTATGGTGGCCAGGCTGGTTTCGAACTCTTGACCTCAGGTGATTGACCCGCCTTGGCCTCCCAAAGTGCTGGGATTACAGGCTTGAGCCACCGCACCCGACCAAACACTGATTTAATACTAGGCAATATTTGCTTCAGGTACAGCTAAAGCCTCATTCCCGCCTTCTTTCTTCATTAATTCACAGTTGGTTTATATTATTTCTGTGATAGTTTGCATCTTCTGAGAAGCAGATGACAAGACAGAATTAGATGTGCAAGAGGTTCATTAGGGTATGCTTGTGAAGGATAAAGAGAGGAAGGAGGTGTAGGTGGCAAGAGCCTTTACACTGGAAGCATGTGTGACACCTGTGAAAGAAGAGAGGGAAGGAATGATGATTAATGATTGATAGAGGAACCTCAAACTGCAGTGCAGCTTGCAGTTCAGAGAAAATCTCAGCCAGAGTAGATTGTTAGAAGAGTCTGTTGGGCAGGAATGGTCCTTCTTTGTGAACATCTGCTGTGTTCAGTCATTGGCTGGGAGCAGCCTAGAGTAGCCTAGCCTTGGTATGGGTGCTGTAGTAGATTTCTGGTAGCTGGGGCTGTCAGTTAACTACACTCCTTGCAACATTTTCTCTCTTGAAGGGAAATCTGAGTGGCACACTCAAGGCTGTCAGAATTCCCATACGTGTTTTTGTACTTAAATACATGTGTGTAATTCCAGCACTTTGGGAGGGTGAGGCGGGAGGATCACCTGAGATCAGGAGTTCGAGACCAGCCTGGCCAACATGGCGAAACCCCGTCTCTACTAAAAATATAAAAATTAGCTGGGTGTGGTCGCGGGTACCTGTAATCCCAGCTACTTGGGAGGCTGAGGCGGGAGAATTGCTTGAGCCCGGGAGGCGGAGATTGCAGTGAGCCGAGGTTGTGCCACTGCACTCCAGACTGGACGACAGAGCTAGACTCCGTCTCAAAAAAAAAAAAAAAGTGATAATATGTTTTCTTGTTATTGTTAGTGTTTTTGTAAATGGAATAATCTATGCTATTCATGTACTTTTATGCTTTCCAAACAAGTACATTTCCACTAGCAAGGTAAACAACTTTGTTTTCACCTTGTCTTCGTCATGGTGTTAGTTAGGTTATTAATTTTTTTTAAATGCTATCCTTTAATGGCTTATATTAGCATTTTTTTCTTTTCTTTTCTTTTCTTTTTTTTTTTTTTTTTTTGGAGATGGAGTTTCGCTCTTGTTTTGTTCCCCAGGCTAGAAATGCAGTGACGCAGTCTCCTCTCACTGTAACCTCCGCCTCCCCGGTTCAAGTGATTGTCCTGCCTCAGCCTCCCGTGTAGCTAGGATTACAGGCATGTGCTACCACGCCTGGCTAATTTTAAAAAATATTTTTAGTAGAGAAGGGGTTTCACCATGCTGGCCAGGCCGGTTTTGAACTCCTGACCTCAAGTGATCTCCCGCATCGGCCTCCCAAAGTCCTAGGATTACAGACGTGATCCACTGTGCCTGGCCTCTTCTTTCTTTTTTTGTAGACTTGATATCGTTCTGCCTCTTAGGCTGGAGTGCAGTGGCATGATCACAGCACACTACAGCCTCAGCCTCCAGGGCTCAAGTGATCCTCCTGTCTCAGTTTCCTGAGAAGCTGGGACTACAGGCATGAGCCAGTATGCCTGACTGATTTTTGAACTTTTTGTAGAGACGGGGTTTTGCCAAGTTGCCCAGACTGGTCTCCAACTCCTGGGCTCAACCAGTCCTTCTGCTGTGTCCTCCCAAAGTGTTGAGATTACAGGCATGAGTCACTGTGCCTGTAATTAAGTTTTCCAATTAATGATGAGGTTAAGTGTCTTATGTTTTTAATTTTTAATTTTTAATTTTTTTAAGACCTTTTTTTTCCCCTTTTTTGAGATGAGTTCTTACTCTTGTCGCCCAGGCTGGAGTGCAGTGGCGTGATCATAGCGTACTGTAGCCTTGAACTTCTAGGGCTCAAGTGATCTTCATACCTCAGTTTCTGGAGTAGTTTGGACTACAGTTGTTCACCACCACACCCAGCAAAGAATGTGACAAAAAGTACTAAGTGTGTTTTAGCTAAGTATCGATAAGAAAAGAGTGTCTTTTTATTTATTTTTTATTTGTTTATATGTACTTTTTGAGACAGGGTCTGGCTCTGTCATCCAGGCTGGAGTGCAGTTGTGTAATTTTGGCTCCCTGCATCCTCAGCCTCTCAGGCTCAAGTAATCTTCCCACCTTGGCCTCCGGAGTAGCTGGGTTTATAGGCTCTTGCCACTATGCCCAGCTAATATTTGTATTTTTTGTAGAGATGGGGTTTCAGGTTTTGTTGGTCTTAACCCTGGCCCAGGGGTGTCTGTAAATTTTTTTTTCTTTTTTTTGCCACTCAGTTTCCTCCTGTGAATGTATCTTTCTTTTGCTATTTTTCTTTTTTTTCCCCCTTAGGGTCTTGCTCTGTTGCCCAGGCTGGAGTGCGGTGGCTTAATCTCAGCTCACTGCAACCTTCATCTCCTGGGCTCACATGATCCTCCCACCTCAGCTTCCGAGGTAGCTGGGACTACAGGAGTGTGCCACCACGCCTGGCTAATTTTTGTGTTTTTTTGTAGAGACAGGGTTTCACCATGTTTCCTAGGCTGTTTTGCTGTTTTTCTATAGGGTGTTGGTTTTTATAGGTTTTGGTTTTTTGTATGGATTTGTGTGAGTTCTTTTTATTTATATATTTGGATATTCTTTGTTAGAATTGCACATATGTTTTTTGTTTTTTCTTTAATATTATGTGTGTTGCGGGGAGGAGGATTGAGTTTATTTGACTAGGAAGGGATAAAAATACATTCCTGACTGGAGACTGTACTCAGAGATTGGTCTTGGTGTATACCCCTGATTTCTAAGATGAATGTTACTGAGAATTGACAATTTTTTTTGTTGATTGTTGTGTTTCCACTAAGTTATTCATCTCATTTTGGCCTGCTATTAGCTAGTTGACCCAAATCACAGTGCTGGATGACTTGAAAAGCTCTGATTTAATTTTTGCCTAGTATATAGTTATAGTAGCATATAGGTTAAAGGTTAAAGTTACAGCTTTGATCCTATAATGGTCAGTTAGTTTCCCACGAAAGGTTAAAATGCTATAGACTAAAACTAACAGCTGTCTTAGGGATTTGCCACTCCTTATAAGGCAATGGGTAGTGTGTGGATAGGGAGGTACAACTTGTCATCACTAACAAAACCCTCGAAAGAATGATCTATCCAGGTTGCTTACTCTGTGCCAGGCTAGTTTTAACACACATCAAATCATTTGACCCTCACAACAGTCATATGATGTAAAGTTACTATCTCCATTTTCCAGATGAGGAAACAGAGGCATTGAGAGGCTTAGTCTTATGGTTGAACCTAATAACTTGCCGTGGTAATCCAGTCCGAGAGGCCCTCAGCTGTAAGAGGCACCTTTATTTTATGTTTCAGTAAGAAAGGAAAAGGATCAACAAGATAGACTGTTAATTTTAAGTATTATAAGAATTCTGATTTATAAGTATAATCAGAATTCAATTTAGTGTATTTTAGAGAGGGTCAGCCAGAATCCTCTTTAAGAGAAAACACTTAGGCTGGGTGCAGTTGCTCACTCCTGTAATCCCAGCACTTTGGGAGGCTGAGGCAGGTGGATCTCCCAAGGTCAGGAATTCAAGATCAGCCTGGCCAAAATGGTGAAACCCTGTCTCTACTAAAAATACAAAAAATTAGCCAGGCTATAATCCCAGCATTTTGGGAGGCTGAGGCGCGAGAATTGCCTGAACCTGGGAGGTGGAGCTACAGTGAGCCGAGATCGTGCCACTGCACTCCAGCCTGGGTGACAGAGCAATATTCCATCTCAAAAAAAAAAAAAAAAAAAAAAGGAAAAGAAAAAACACTTAGGAGCAAGACTTTATTGGATCCATTGATTAGTTGTTTCCATGTGGCCCCAGGTGTTGGGGAATTTTATGTTTCGGGTTGCCAGAGCCAACTTGTAGTCCAGTTACATTCCTCTTCTTCCTGGCAGTGAGAACACCGGTGAAATGGGAGGTGGTTAGCTTGGTTGCCTGGGGACAAATTGGACTGAGTTGCTTTATTCCTGCATGTATGTTGAAATAGTCATCTTCACAACTTAGAATATAGTTGGAGTTTTTTTTAGAAGAGCCATTTATTTTGATGGTGTGACTGAAGGCTATACATACAGTCATGTATTGCAAAACAAATGTCATTTTGGTCAAGGACAGTGGTCCCATAAGATTATAATGGAACTAAAAAATTTCTGTCGCCTAGTAACTTCACCTTGTCTATAGTGCAACAGCGTGTAGCATTACTTAGGTGTTTGTGTGGTGTTGGTGTAAACAAACCTACTGCACTGCCAGTCTTACAAAATCTAGCACATGGAGTTATGTATAGTACATAGTACTTGGTAATGACAATAACTGTATTACTGGTTTGTGGATTTACTATGCTATACTTTGTATGGTTATTTTAGAGTGTATTCCTACTTATAAAAATTATCAGTTTGCTGTAAAACAGCCTCAGGCAGGTCCTTCAGGAGGTATTCCAGAAGGAAGGCATTGTTACTCTAGAATATGACACCTCCATGGGTCTTATTGCCTCTGAAGACCTTCCAGTGGGACAAGGAAGGTATGGAGTTGGAAGATGGTGATATTGATGATCCTGACTGTAGGCTAGGCCAATGTGTGTGTCTTTGTGGTTTTTTTTGTTTTTGTTTTTGAAATGGAGTCTCGCTCTGTTGCACAGGCTGGAGTCCAGTGGCATGATCTCGGCTCACTGCAACCTCTGCTTCCCTGCTTCCAGTGATTCTCCTGCCTCAGCCTCGTGAATAGCTGGGATTACAGGTGCGCGCCACCATGCCTGGCTAATTTTTGTATTTTTAGTAGAAATAGGGTTTCATCATATTGGGCAGGCTGGCCTTGAACTCCCGACCTCAAGTGATCTGCCTGCTTCGGCCTCCGAAAGTGCTGGGATTACAGGCATGAGCCACCGTGCCCGGCCTAATTTTTGTATTTTTAGTAGAGACGGGGTTTTGCCATGTTGGCCAGGCTGGTCTTGAACTCCTGACCTCAGGTGATTTGCCTGTCTTGGCCTCCCACAGTGCTGGGATTACAGGTGTGAGCCACTGCACCTGACTGTATTTACACCCATACTCTCCCTGAAGGTTGTAGTTCCTGCCCTGCTTTACTTTTACTGGCATAGAAGCTGCTGGGCTTGGTGTTCTGCTTTCAAACTTAGCGTGGATATAGGGAGTTCAGCGGGGAGGAAGAGAAGAGTAGGTGCTTAACTAGTTTTGATCTTACTCAGTACCAGAGAGTGTTCTGGGAGCTAGTGGTGTCATGTATGTCTGATTTCTTTGAGGGTGGTAGCGTAGTTTTTTGAACCACCAAATCAGGTTTTAAGTTTTTTTTTTTTTTTTGGAGGGGAGATAGGGTCTCACCCTGTCCCCCAGGCTGGAGTGCAGTGGCGGGAACATGGCCCACTGCATGCAGCCTTGACTTCTTGGGCACCAGTGATCCTCCTGCCTCAGCCTCCCAGGTAGCTGGGATTACAGGTGTGAGGCACTGCACCTGGCTGTTAAGTATTATCTAGTATAAACTCGTCAGAGCTAAATAGGGGCTGAATTTTCTAAGAATATGTGCTTGGTTTGGGTCTTTTCTTGAATAGGCTTTTGTTTTTGTTTTTTTGATTTTTTTGGGTTTTGTGTTAGTTTTTTTTTTTTTTTTTGAGACGAAGTCTCACTCTGTCGCCCAGGCTGGAGTGCAGTGGTGTGATCTTAGCTCACTGCAGCCTCTGCCTCCCGGATTCAAGTGGTTCTCCTGCCTCAGCCTCCCAAGTAGCTGGGATTATAGGCATGCTCCACCACGTCTGGCTGATTTTGTATTTTTAGTAGAGACGGGGTTTTTCCATGTTGGTCAGGCTGGTCTCGAACTTCTAACCTTAGGTGATCCGTCTGCCTTGGCCTCCCAAAGTGCTGGGATTATAGGCGTGAGCCACCGCGCCCGGCTGAGTAGGCATTTTTTAATGGACATTTGATAAGGACCAAGTGCAACTGTATATCAAATGGAAATCTAGGGAAAAATTGTCTTTTAAATTGCAGTTAAAAGCTGATTATCCCTATTGTCTCTTGCTTTCCTTATAATGAATTTGTATAAATTGGAGATGCACATCTTGCATAGATGTGTTTTCTTTTTTTTATATAAAGTGGTGCAAGTCACATCACAAAATTGACTATTTTTTGGCCAGGTGTGGTGACTCATGCGTGTAATCCCAGTGCTTTGGGAAGCTGAGGCAAGTGGGTCACCTGAGGTCAGGAGTTTGAGACCAGCCAGGCCAATATGGTGAAAACCTGTCTCTACTAAAAATAGAAAAAAGCTAGCCAGGCGTGGTTGCTCATGCCTGTAATCCCAGCACTTTGAGAGGCTGAGGTGGGCAGATCACGAGGTCAGGAGTTTGAGACCAGCCTGGCCAACATGGTAAAACCCCATATCTACTAAAAGTATAAAAATTAGCCGGGTGTGGTGGCACCTGCCTTTAATCCCAGCTACTCAGGAGGCTGAGGCAGGAGAATCGCTTGAACCCGGGAGGTGGAGGCTGCAGTGAGCTGAGATCGTGCCACTGCACACTAGCCTGGGCAACAGAGCGAGACTCTGTCTCAAGAAAAACCACAAAGTACAAAAAATTAGCCAGGTGTGGCGGTGCACGCCTCTAATCCCAGCTACTTGGGAGGCTGAGGCAGGAGAATTGGTTGAACCGGGGAGGCAGAGGTTGCCATCAGCCGAGATCACGCTACTGCACTCAAGCCCGGGCGAAACAGAGAGACTCCATCTCAAAAAAAAAAACAACAAAATTAACCGTTTTACAATGAACAATTCAGTGGCATTCAGTGCACTCGCATTGTTGTGGAGCCACTGCCCTTGTCTAGTTCCGAAACATTTTCATCACCCTAAAAAGAAAATCTCACATGTGTTAGAATGAAGAATGAGTTACTTCTTATTCTCCATTCTCAGTACCAGGCAACCACTAACCTGCTTTTTGTTTCTGGATTACTTATTCTGGAACTTTCACGTAAATGGGTATGTGACCTTCATGTCTGGCTTCTATCACTTAGTGTAATGTTTTCAAGGTTCATTCATGTTGAAGCTTGAGTCAGTATTGGTACTTTCTGTGCTTCATTGCTTTTGTTTTGTGTTGTTGTTTTTTTTGTTTTGCCTTGTTTTTGTTTTTTGAGATGGAGTCTTGCTCTGTCGTCCAGGCTGAAGGGCAGTGGCGTGATCTCAACTCATTGCAACCTCTGCCTCCCTCGTTCAAGCGATTCTCCTGCCTCAGCCTCCCAAGTAGCTGGGATTATAGGTGCGCACCACCATGCCTGGCTGATTTTTGTATTTTTAGTAGAAATGGGGTTTCACCATTTTGGCCAGGCTGGTCTTGAGCTCCCGACCTCAGGTGATACACCTGTCTCGGCCTCCCAAAGTGCTGGGGTTACAGGTGCCTGGCCTAATTTTAAAATTTTTTTTTTGTGGAGAGACGGGGTTTGTTTATGTTGGCCAGGCTGGTCTCTAACTCCTGACCTCAAGCACTCCTCCTGCCTCAGCCTCCCAAAATGCTGAGCTTATAGGCATGAGCCACTACACCTGGCTCATTCATTTGTTGATGGACATTTAGCTTGTTGTTACCTTTTGATTATTGTGAACCGTGCTGTTATGTACATTCATGTACAGGTATTTATCTGTTTTCATCCTTTTAGGGGTATATATCTATTAGTGGAATTGCTGGGTTATGGAGTAATTCTGTGCTTCACTTTTTTTTTTTTTTTTTTTTTTTTAAATTTTTATTTTGAGACAGGCTCTTGCTCTGTTGCCCAGGCTGGGGTGACAGTGGTATGATCTCAGCTCACTGCAACCTCTGCCTCCCGGGTTCAAGCAATTCTCCTGCCTCAGCCTCCTGAGTAGCTGGGGTTACATGTGCATGCCACTACACCTGGCTAATTTTTGTATTTTTAGTAGAGATGGAGAAACATGTTGGCCAGGCTCGTCTTGAACTCCCGACCTCAGGTGATCCGCCTGCCTCGGCCTCTCAAAGTGCTGGGATTACAGATGTGAGCCACTGTGCCTGGTCTGTGCTTAACTTTTTGAGGAACCATTAAATTGTTTTTCACAGTAGCTTAACCATTTTATACTCCATGATTAACGTATGAGGGTTTCAATATTCTACTTTTTATTTTCTGTTTTTTGAGATGGAGTCTCACTCTGTTGTCCAGGCTGGAGTGCATTGGTGCGATCTCGGCTCACTGCAGTTTCCGCCTTCCAGGTTCAAGTGATTCTCCTGCCTCAGCTTCCTGAGAAGATGGGATTGTAAGCATGTACCACCAAGTGTGGCTAATTTTTTTTTTGTATTTTTTAGTAGAGACAGGGTTTCACCGTGTTGGCCAGGCTGATCAGGCTGGTCCTGACCTCAGGTGATCTGCCTGTCTCGGCCTCCCAAAGTGCTGGGATTACAGGCGTGAAAATGCTACTGATGACAGTGCAGAGAGTCCTGAGATGCTTAGAGTAGTGGAGTTACTCGATCCTTCCCTGTGGTGGAGGGTTGGGAGTTGAAGAAACCAGGAAGTCCTATATGAAATGGTCCTTTAAGGCCGGGTGCAGTGGCTCACCCCTGTAATCCCAGCACTTTGGGAGGCCGAGGCAGGCAGATCACGAGGTCAAGAGATTGAGCCCACCCTGGACAACATGACAACATGGTGAAACCCTGTCTCTACTAAACATACAAAAATTAGCTGGGAGTAGTTCCAGCTACTCGGGAGGCTGAGGCAGGAGAATCGCTTGAACCCTGGAGGTGGAGGTTGCAGTGAGCCGAGATTGCGCCATTGCGCTCCAGCCTGGGCAACAAGAGCGAAACTCCATCTCAAAAAAAAAAAAAAGAGAAATCGTCCTTTAAGTCAAGCCTTAAAACGTAGGAATTACCTAGTTAATTTGAATATTAATATTATATGATATATAAGCTGTACATGTTATAAAAATTATTTTGAAAAGTTTAATCTTTAAAATTTTAGTTTAGATTTTCCTTGTAGTTATCTAGAGCTGTGCTGTCCAATAGTGTAGCCACTAGCTACATATAACTATTGAAATTTAAATTAATTAAAATTAAATAAAATTAAAAATTCAGTCCTTCTGTTACACTAGGCACATTTTAGATATTCAGCCATCATATATAGCTAGTAGGTGCCATATTGGACAGCTCAGAATAGAGTATTTTTATCCTCCCAGCAAGTTCAGTTGGGTGGCAATGATCTAGACATTTTGATGAAATGAAAGCTTCATTATTATTGCTATTATTATTATTATTTTTGTGTGTGTGTGACAGAGTGTCGCTCTGTTCCCCAGGCTGGAGTGCAGTGGCGCCATCTCAGCTTACTGCAAGCTCGCCCACCCGCGTTCACACCATTCTCCTGCCTTAGCCTCCTGAGTAGCTGGGACTGTAGGCGCCCACCACCACGCCCGGCTAATTTTTTAGTAGAGACGAGGTTTCACCGTATTAGCCAGGATGGTCTCAATCTCCTGACCTCATGATCCACCCGCCTCAGCCTCCCAAAGTGCAGGGATTACAGGCGTGAGCCACCGTGCCCAGCCCAAAAGCTTCGTTATTATTAATTTTTATAATTCAGACGTTTTGCCTCTTTTGTCAAGTGCATGAAATTTGAGATGGGTACAGCTGAGAAATGTATGATGGCTGTGTGCTGAATTCCTCTAGGGGTGTATTTGTTTAAATATTGCCAATAAGGTGTTCAAAATAAGGTTATTTGAAAGAGCAAGTTGAAATGGAAAGCTTAGGAGAGCTTAGTTTTTTGTTTGTTTGTTTTTTTGAGATGGAGTTTCGCTCTTGTTGCCCAGACTGGAGTGGAATGGTGTGATCTTGGCTCACTGCAGCCTCCGCCCCCACACCATTCAGGCGATTCTCCTGTCTCAGCCTCCTGAGTAGCTGTGATTACAGGTGCTCACCACCACGCCTGGCTAATTTTTTGTATTGTTAGTAGAGATAGGGTTTCACCATGTTGGCCAGGCTGGTCTCTCCTGACCTCTGGTGATCCTCCCACTTTGGCCTCCCAAAGTGTAGGGATTACAGGCATGAGCCACCATGCCCGGCCTCAGCCTATAGTTCTTTTAATGCCCTTGTCTACTAATTCTATCATCTGTGTCATTTCTGGGTCAGTTTCAGTTGCTTGATTCTTTTTTTTCTTCCTCTTTTTGGGTTGTCTTTTCCACCTACTTTGCTTATCTGTTGATTTTTGGATGCCAGACATCATGAATTTTACTTTGTTGGAGGCTGGATATTTTTGTATTTCTATAAATATTCTTGAGTTTTGTTCTGAGATGTGGTTAAAATACTTAAAAATAGTTTGATGAAGTCTTGCTTTTAAGCTCTGTTAGGTGAGATCAAAACCATTTTAGTGTAGGGCTAAGTATTTCCCACTATTGAGTCAAAATCCTTTTGGGGATTCTGTGTGATAGCCCATGGACTATGTGGTTTTCCACTCTGGCTGTGAGGAACTGGCACTCTTCCTGTTCCCATGTGAGCCTTGTGGATTGTTCCATTTGATTCTTTTGGGTATTTTATTTATATTTTTAGAGAAGGTGTCTTGCTCTGTCACTCAGGCTGGAGTGCAGTTTTGTGATCATAGCTCCTTGCAGCCTCAAACTCCTGGGCTCAAGCCATGCACCCCATATAGCTGGGGCTATACCATGCCTGGTTATTTTTATTGTTTTAGAGATAGGGTCTCACTGTGTTGCCCAGGCTGGCCTTGAAGACTCCAGGGTTCAAGCGATCATCCCTCCTCAGCCTCCCCAGTAGCTGGGATTACAGGATTTTGCCATCACATCTGGCTAAGGGGGTGTGGAACCAGGGACAAAGACCAAATACATATTTCATAATATACTACACAAGGTAAATCTGGTTCATGTCACTCTACCTTGACTGGAAGCATAAGTATAGATTTTGCCATGTTGCCCAGGCTGGTCTTGAGCTCCTAGCCTCAAGCGGTCCCCTCTTCCCAAACCTTGGCCTCCCAAAGGTGCTAGGATTGCAGGCATGAGCCACTGCACTTCCTGAGTAGCTGGGATTACAGGTGCGCGCCACCACGCCCGCTAATTTGTTTTGGATTTTTAGTAGAGACGGGGTTTTGGGCCAGGCTGGTCTTGAACTCCTGCTCTTAAGCGATCTGCCCGCCTCAGCCTCCCAAAGTGCTGGGATTACAGGTGTGAGCCACCACGCCCGGTCTGATTTTTGTATTTTTTGTAGGGATGGGGGTTTCCCCATGTTACCCAGGCTGCTCTTGAACTCCTGGCTTCAAGCAATCCACCTGCTTCGGCCTCCCAAAGTGGTGGGATTTCAGGAGTAAGCCACTGCACCCAGCCTTGTTCATTTCAATATTCCTGATGAAGTACTCCATCTGATCTCATTTGCTCTTAGAAATCTGCTTGCTGGTTACCCTGTGCAGTGGCTCACACTTGTAATCCCAGCACTTTGGGAGACTGAGGTAGGAGGATTGCTTGATGCCAGGAGCTAGAGATCAGCTTGGGCAACATAGCAAGACCTTGTCTCTACGTGCACCTGTAGTCCTGGCTACTTGGGAGGTTGAGATGGGAGGATTGCTTGAACCCATGGGTTTGAGGCTGCTATGAGGTATGATCACACCACTGCATTTTAGCCTGAGAGACAGGAGACAGTATCTCTTAGCAAAAAAAAAAAAAAAGAAAAAACAAATCTGACTACCGTATTGATGATTCTAGTCCAGAATTTTCCAAAGGAGTATAGGTGGTTTTTTTGGTTGTTGTTGTTGTTTGTTTTGTTTTTTGAGATGGTGCGAGTCTCGCTTTTTTTGTTTTGTTTTGTTTTTTTGAGATGGAGTCTTGCTCTGTCGCCCACGCTGGAATGCAGTGGCACAATCTCGGCTCATTGCAACCTTCGCCTCCCGGGTTCAAGCAGTTCTTGTGCCTCAGCCTCCCGAGTAGCTGGGACTACAGGCGTGCGCCACCACGCCTGGCTAAGTTTTGTATTTTTGGTAGAGTTGGGGTTTCACCGTGTTGGCCTGGCTGGTATCAAACTCATGACCTCAGGTGGTCCGCCATTCTCAGCCTCCCAAAGTTTTGGAATTACAGGTGTGAGCCATCGCACCTGGCCTTTTTTTTTCTTTTTTAAACATATTTATTTATCATTTTTTTTTTTTTTTGAGACGGAGTCTCGTTCTGTCGCCCAGGCGGGAGTGCTGTGGCGCGATCTCTGCTCACTGCAAGCTCCGCCTTCCGGGTTCACGCCATTCTCCTGCCTCAGCCTCCCGAGTAGCTGGGACTACAGGCGCCCGCCACTGCGCCCGGCTAATTTTTTGTATTTTTAGTAGAGACGGGGTTTCACCATGGTCTCGATCTCCTGACCTCGTGATCCGCCCGCCTCGGCCTCCCAAAGTGCTGGGATTACAGGCATGAGCCACCGCGCCCCGCCATCCTTTTTTTTTTTTTTAAAGAGGTGGAGTATAACTATGTTGCCCAGGCTGATCTTGAACTCCTGGCCTCAAGCAGTCCTCTACCTTGGCCTCACAAAGTGCTGGGATTACAGGAGTGAACCACCGCGCCTGGCTGAGATAGGTTGTTTTTTGAATTAACTATTCTTTTTTTTTTTTTTTTTTTTTTTTGAGACAGAGTTTCGCTGTTGTTGCCCAGGCTGGAGTGCAGTGGTGCAATGATCTAGGCTCACTGCAACCTCTGCCTCCCAGGTTTAAGGGATTCGCCTGCCTCAGCTTCCCAAGCAGCTGGGATTACAGGCATGTGCCACTACACCCGGCTGATTTTGTATTTTTGGTAGAGACGGGGTTTCTCCATGTTGGTCAGGCTGGTCTTGAGTTCCCAACCTCAGGTGATCTACCCTCCTTGGCCTCCCAACGTGCTGGGATTATAGGCGTGAGCCACTGCACCCAGCCATGTTTTTAAGATTTTTAAACATCTGGCTCTTTTTTTTTTTTTTTTTTGAGACGGAGTCTCGCTTTGTCACCTAGGCTGGAGTCCAGTGGCGCCATCTCGGCTCACTGCAAGCTCCGCTTCCTGGATTCACTCCATTCTCCTGCCTCAGCCCCCCGAGTAGCTGGGACTACAGGCACCCGCCACCATGCCCGGCTAATTTTTTGCATTTTTAGTAGAGACGGGGTTTCACCACGTTAGCCAGCATGGTCTCGATCTCTTGACCTCGTGATCCGCCCGCCTCGGCCTCCCAAAGTGCTGGGATTACAAGCATGAGCCACTGCACCCAGCCCTTCTGGCTCTTTTTAAATGTCAGATATTGATAACTCCCAGACTGAATTAAGATTTTATATGTCAGATGATTAACTATCATTTTGAGTTGTTGCTTAGTTCTCTGCTTGCTTGGCAACAGGTCAGTTTCCATGGTATTGCCATTTTTGTACCGCATTCTTAGTGGAGCTGAGAGGTTGGGGGTGAGGCTACAGGGCCGAACTCTATAAACTAGAATAGCTAAACTTTTATCCAGTTTGGTGTATAAAATTTTTTGATATACAGCTCAGGAAAAGCATATAAAAAACAAAAATAAAAATAATTTCTGAATAATTTTTTTTTTTTTTTGAGACGGAGTCTCGCTCTGTCGCCCAGGCTGGAGTGCAGTGGCGTGATCTCGGCTCACTGCAAGCTCCACCTCCCGGGTTCATACCATTCTCCTGCCTCAGCCTCCCGAGTAGCTGGGAGTACAGGCACGTGCCACCATGCCCAGCTAATTTTTTGTATTTTTAGTAGAGACGGGGTTTCACCATGTTGGCCAGGATGGTCTCGATCTCTTGACCTCGTGATGTGCCCGCCTTGGCCTCCCAAAGTGCTGGGATTACAGGCGTGAGCCATAGTGCCCGGCCCCCCCGCCCCCACCTTTTTTTGAGACAGAGTCTTATTCTCACCCAGCCTGGAGTGCAGTGTTAACGATCTTGGCTCACTGCAACCTCTTCCTCCTGGGCTCAAGTGATTCTTCTGCTTCAGCCTCCCAAGTAGCTGGAACTACAGGTGTATGTCGTCATGCCTGGCTAAATTTTTTTTTTTAATATTTTTTAGTAGAGACGGGGTTTCACCATGTTGTCCCAGCTGGTCTCGAACCCCTGGGCTCAAGCAATCCACCCATCGTGGCCTCCTGCAGTGCTGGGGTTATAGGCATGAGCCACCTTGGCCTGCATAATTCTTTTTTTTTTTTTTTTTTGAGATGGAGTTTCGCTCTTGTCGCTCAGGCTGGAGTGCAATGGTGCGATCTCGGCTCACCGCAACCTCCACCTCCTGGATTCAAGCAATTCTCCTGCCTCAGCCTCCCAAGTAGCTGGGATTACAGGTGTGCACCACCATGCCTAGCTAATTTTGTATTTTTAGTAGAGACAGGGTTTCTCCATGTTGGTCAGGCTGGTCTCCAACTCCCGACCTCAGATTATCTGCCCAACCTTGGCCTCCCAAAGTGCTGGTATTACAGGTGTGAGCCACCACGCCTGGCCATTAATTCTTTTTTAAGAAAGAGTTTCATTGCTATTAAACAAGTTTGAAAATCACAGTTTCTGCTTGAGTAGAAAATACAAACTTGGGTTTCTACCACTACACTTTCACAACATGCTTTTGACTCCAGATTTGAGGGGGGATTTCTCCCCAACAGGAGGTAGGCCATCAGTTCTGCAGTGGGCAGCAGCTGGGCATCCTCTAATTGAATTCAGTTCTGACACTGTCTACACTACCCGCTTAGAGATGGATGGTGACACATCACACAGGTTGAGGACTCAGTCCTATCTTTGATAGTGAACGTAAACCTTCATTTATTTTGTCTGTGGTTCTGACCAGCCAGCTGCAAATTTCAAGAGTTCCTGCAGATACCTCCTTGACTTCAATTACTTTGCTAGAGTAACTTACAGAACTCAGGGAAATGTGTTTATCCATTTATTACAAAAGATACATGTGTATATGTGTGTGTGTGTGTGTGTGTGTGTGTGTGTGTGTGTGTGTGTATGTGTGTGTGTGTATATATATATTTAAATTTTATTTGAGTTAGGGTCTTTCCCCAGTTGCCAAGGCTGGAGTGCAGTGGTGCGATCACAGCTCACTGCAGCTTCAACTTCTTGGACTCAGGCTATCCTCCCATCTCAGCCTCCTGAGTAGGTGAAACTATATACACACAGCACCATGCCCAGCTAATTAAATTTTTTTTTGGTAGAGATGGGGTCTTGCTGTATTGCCCAGGCTGGTCTTGAACTCCTGGGCTCAAGCAGTCCTCCGGCCTTGGATTCCCAAAGTGCTGCAATTACAGGTGTGAGTCATCATGTTTGGCCTACAAAGGATATTTGGAAGGATGCAAATAAACAGTCAGGTGAAGAGATACATATAGGGCCAGGATTGAAATGGTCCCTAGCACTGGCACTTCTGTCTTCTTGGAGTTGGGATGGGCCACCCTCCCCTCACATGGCTGTGCTTCTCTTTACTCCTGCAATCCCCCATGTGTTTGGCTCCCTACAAGCCATGTTCAGCTCCCTGCAAGCTCTCTGAACCCAATCCTTTCAGGTTTTTATGAAGGCCTCATTACGTAGGGATGACTGATTAAATCTTTTGGCCATTGGTGATGAATTAAAAGTTCAGTCCCTCTCCCCTCCTTGGAGGTTGAGGTGGGAGTTGAAACCATTTGTCATCCTAAGCTAACAAACGGTTGCCAGCTATTGGTCAACTCATTGGCATACAAAAAGACACATTACTTTGAAGATACCGAGGATTTTAGGAGTTGAAGGGCCAGGAAACAGGAAGGCCAAATATATATTTCACAATATCACAATATGTTATTAAGAGCAAATAGTGATAGAAAAGTGAAAGTGATGATAGCAGAAATGTAAAGTGTAGGTTCTATAAACAGTGCAGATGAGAACAAAGCTAACAGTTATCAGGCAGTCTAAATGCATGCAGTTTTTTACCTTAGACACATTCGTTCGTTGACTGTTTAATTGTAAAGAAAAATCAATTTAAGAACATGTATGAAATTGCATTTATACTCTGGAAAAATGAGATGTAAGTAGGTATTTTGTATTTTTTAGCGTTTCAAGAGCATAATTCCCCTTATGGTATGTCTGTTGCCTTGCTTTCACACATTCCACTTGTGTACATGTTTTTGGGAACTCATTATGTAAGAAAGTAATGGACTTCTTACACTTCTGTTAGGTAAAACCATAGTAATTGGCTGGGCATGATGGCATGGGGTGGGAGGATCACTTGAGGACAAGAGTTTGAGCTTGCAGTACACTGATCTTTGCTGTGAATAGTCACTGCACTCCAGCCGGGGCAACGAAGACACTGTCTCTTTCTTTTTTTTTTTTTTTTTTTTTTGATGGAGTCTTGCTCTGTCGCCCAGGCTGGAGTGCAGTGGCACAGACTTGGCTCACTGCAACCTCCACTTCCCAGGTTCAAGGGATTCTCCTGCCTCAGGCTCCCAAGTAGCTGGGACTACAGGTGCCTGCCACCATACCTGGCTAATTTTTGTATTTTTAGTAGAGACGGGGTTTCACCATATTGGCCAGACTGGTCTCGAACTCCTGACCTTGTGATCTGCCTGCCTCGGCTTCCCACAGTCCTGGGATTACAGGCGTGAGCCACCGTGCCTGGCCCAAGACTCTATCTCAAATAAAAAAGAACACAGTAATTTTTCTCTTTTATGGGATACTACACTTACATAAGTTTCTTTTTTTTTTCTTTTTTTTTTTTTTTTGTGAGACAGAGTCTTGCTTTTCCCCTGCCAGGCTGGAGTGGAGTGGCATGATCTCAGTCACTGCAACCTCCGCTTCCTGGGTTCAAGTGATTCCCGTGCCTCAGCCTCCTGAGTAGCTGGGATTACAGGCGTGCCCCACCACGTCTGGCTAATTTTTGTATTTTTAGTAGAGATGGGGTCTCACCATGTTTTCCCAGGCTGTTCTCAAACTCCTGAGCTCAGGTGGATCCCCCCTGCCTCGGCCTCCCAAAGTGTTGGGATTACAGTCGTGAGCCACTGTGCCTGTCTGGGATGTTTGCCATATTTGTTTCATCAGTATATATTTCTTTGCTTGGGTTGAGTACAGGGACTGATGCCTGTAATCCCAGCACTTAGGGAGGCCGAGGTGGGAGGATTACTGGAACCCAGGAAGTTGAGGCTGCAGACCAACCTAGGCAACAGAGTGAGACCATGTCTTCAGGGGGAAAAAAAAAGCGCTGGGCATGGGCATATACCTATAGTCTCAGCTACTCTGGAGGATGAGGTGAGAGGATCGCTTGAGCCCAGGAATTTGAGGCTGCCATGAGCCGTCATCATGCCCATGCCAATGTACTCCAGCCTGGGCAAGAAAGTCGACCCTGTCTCAAAACTAAACTAAACAAATTTCTCTGGCTGAAGTTTAGTAATTTGCTTTTAAGTGACGTTTGTACATTTTAGAAAATAACTTTGTATATTAGACATCATTTATGGTACTTACCGTTTTCCATGGTCATAAAATACCTAGTCTAGTGTGATAAATGCCAGGTGATAGAGGTATGCCTGGGGCATAAACCTAGGGGCTTGGTGGGATGGGGTGAGATGGTTGAAATAGTATGTAGAAGGAAAGGCTTTCCAGAGTTTACTCTTAGGGTGGCTCTTGAAGGGCAAGTGAAGGAAAGACATTTCAGGCTGAGGGAAGACACGTTTAGATGGAGTCCTGTGGATGGAGAGTGCTGGACTTGTTTGCGAAGTCAGGAGTAGTTTGATATGATCAGATGCTTAGGGAGGTGATTGGTAAAGTGGTGGAAGGTGAGATTGTGGAACAGGTAGGCATGGACCCTATCACAAGCGTCCTGGCTTGTGTATCTAGCTAAAGGATCTGTCTGTCTGTCTGTCTGTCTTTATATTTTTTGAGACGGAGTTTCGCTCTTGTTGCCCAGGCTGGAGTGCAATGATGCAATCTTGGTTCATTGCAACCTCCGCCTCCCAGGTTCAAGTGATTCTCCTGCCTTAGCCTTCTAAGTAGCTGGGATTGCAGGCGTGCACTACACGCCCAGCTAACTTTTTATTTTTAGTAGAGTTGGGGTTTCACCATGTTGGTTAGGCTGGTCTTGAACTCCTAACCTCAGGTGATTCACCTCCCTCAGCCTCCCAAAATGCTGAGATTACAGATGTGAGCCACCCCACCTGGCCCATGCCTCTATCTATCTATCTGTCTGTCTGTCTATCTATCTATTCTATCTAATCTTTTTTTTTTTTTTTTTTTTTTTTGGAGTCAGGTTCTTGCTCTGTTGCCCAGGCTGGACTGTAGTGGCGTGATCTTGCCTCACTGCAGCCTCTGCCTCCCGGGTTCAAGCGATCTTCCTGCCTCAGCCTCCCTGGTAGCTGGGACTACAGATGTGTGCCACCATGCCTGGCAAGTTTTTATATTTTTGGTAGAGATGGGGTTTCACTATGTTGGCCAGGCTGATCTCAAACTCCTGACCTCAGGTGATCTGCCCACCTCAGCCTCCCAAAGTGCTGGGATTACATGCGTGAGCCACTGTGCCTGGCCTGTTAAGTATTACCATAAACTCTTCTCCTATCTGTCTTGTAAGTTATGTACACCTCATCTATGTTCTTGATGTAGCTTGTTACTTAGTCTGTTATAGTAATAATCTCTTTAATTATTAGCTTTTATGTCTTCTCCATTGTCCACTGACAGCCATAACTGCGTATATCTTTTTGTATACCTGTCTACAGACCAGCCATCCTAGGTTGAAGAATAGAATTACTTCTCATTGCTTCCACAGTTCCTGTCTTCCTTTAAATCATCATGTATAACACAAATTATACAGTAGCTTTCTTGTAAATCTCCTGCTTCTGTATTTTATATCTGTTAGGCTGGGTGCAGTGACTCACTTCTGTAATCCCAGCACTTTGGGAGGCCAAGGTGGGAGGATTGCTTAAGGCCAGGAGTTTGAGACCAGCCTGGGCAAAATAGGGAGACACCCCGTCACCACACACTTATACACACACACACACACCCCCCCACACCCACCATGAAAAAAATTAGTCGCGGCGGGGTGCGGTGGCTCACGCCTGTAATCCCAGCACTTTGGGAGGCCAAGGCAGGCAGATCACATGAGGTCGGGAGTTCAATACCAGCCTGACCAACATGGAGAAACCCCATCTCTACTAAAAATACAAAACTATCTGGGCGTGGTTGCACATGCCTGTAATCCCAGCTACCCTGGAGTCTGAGGCAGGAGAATCACTTGAACCCGGGAGGCAGAGGTTGTGGTGAGCCGAGATCGTGCCGTTGTACTTCAGCATCAACAAGAGCGAAACCGTCTCACAAAAAAAATTAGTCGGGCACAATGGTATGCATCTGTGGTCACAGCTATTTGGGAGACTGAGCTAGGAAGATTGCTTGAGCTCAGGAATTCAAGGCTCAGTGAGCTCTGATTGTGGCACTGCACTCCATCCCGGGCCACAGAGACTCTGTTTCTAATAAATAAATAAAATGTAAATTAGCTGTTCCTCTGTGGCTTACAACCTTCCAGTGGCTCCCATTTCACTTAGAGTAAAAGTGAAAGCCCTCACCGTGGTCCCCTCCTTTTTTGCTGCTCCATTACTCTTTCTTTATCTCCTTCACTTCATTCAGATCATTGCTCAATAAGGCCTCTCCTAACCTACCTATCTGCAAGTATCTCTAGAATATGACTTAAAAACAATCTAAACACAGATGTCACAACTAAAAAAAATTAATACTTAGTCCTTAGTGTCATTAAATTTCTGGTCACCTATTGTTAAATAGTTGCTTTGTTTGAAGGTCACTGCAACCTGCATTTCCTGAGCCCAAGCTATCCTCCTGTTTCAGCCTCCCGAGTAGCAGAGACTACAGGTGTGCACCACCATGCCCAGCTAGTTTTTTAGAATTTTTTGTAGAGACAGGATCTAACTGCGTTGCCTAGGCTGGTCTTGAACTCCTGGCCTCAAGTGATCCTCTCACCTTGGCCTCCCAGTATGCTGGGATTACAGGCACAAGCCACTACATCTAGACACGAATTTCTGATTTAAATAATTCTTTGTAAGAACACTTCTTAGGAGGCATTTGAATGGATAACTGTCTTAACTGTCTTGCACACCAGTCTTTGTCTTTTTTTTTTTTTTTTTTTTTTTTTTGAGAAAAGGTCTTGCCCTGTCACCCAAGCTGGAGTGCACTGGTGCAATCACAGCTTACTGCAGCCTTGAACTCCTGGGCTCAAATGATCCTCCCACCTTGGCCTCCAAAGTGTTTGGATTACAGGCATGAGCCACTGAGCCCAGCCTCAGGTTGTCTTTCTCCTGCTTTACTATTTCATTTTTTTCTTTTCGTCTTCTAGCGTACTGTAAATTTACATATATTTTAATGTCTGTACTAGAATATAAGCTCAACAAGGGTAGGGCTCTTTGTGTGTAGACATTGCTCAGTACATAGTTGGCACGAAATAAAATCACTTAAATGAATGAATGAGTGAAATACAAAGGCGGAATTTGACTGTAAAACAGTCTTGTTGGAGAAGGTATATGGGGAATAGGGGAAAGAGAGGGCCTCTTTTCGCCCTCCTACATTGATACAGATAGATCTCAGTTGGTCTCTGATCTTGTTTGTAGGGATTTTGTTGGATGAATGCAAGGTGGGATGGTCTTCAGATTGTACCAATTTAGCTGGCATTGCTAACCAACTGTTGGAATCTCTGAAAATAAAAGATCTTGAAATTCCTCCCCCTCTCCCCGCAAAGAGAAATACGAAGGCAGACAACTGGGTAAATTGTCCTACCCCTAACTGCCATCCACAGAAAAGTAACATTTTGTTTTATTTGATTAACTGTGCTTGACAACATTAGAAACAGTGGAAAATCATCTGGGACTTGGGCAGGTAGAAACTCCAGAGGTAGGACTGGAGGAGGGGCTGTGTAACCTCTCTTTCTTACTCTTAAGAATAACCTTTTTATCTACCCGAGATTTATTGGCTCCTTAAAATCATAACTAAAACCTGTAGCCTCTTTCAGCAGAAAGCAATGCTTAGAGTAAGACTTCTACTACACTGCCAGCCCGAAGGCTTGAACAGAAGGCAAGTGGAAGCCCTAAAACTTTGGCTGTTCCTGGCACGATTCCAGTCCCACTCTCCCTACCCTCACCCACAGCTTCCCCATCACTGTCTGCTTGGGAACCGTGAGCATTGTTCTCATCTTGTGCTTCTTTCTGAGTTATCAGGCAGCCGGAAGGCCAGATTCCCTTGTCTTCCCTCTTTTCATGGACTCTGCATTTTCTTTTCTGATCCTGTTTTTCACCTTGATCTTCTTGGAACTTTTCCCTGAGCCCTTTTAAACTCACGGTATATCAGCAAAATTCCCCTAATCTTCAGTTTCTTCTGTGATTTCCGCCCCCCGCCCCACACATTCTTATTCTGACTGAAAATAGGCCATCTCCTGATGACACTGCCTCCCTGCAGCCCTCCGAAAGAGTACTTGCCTGCCCCTCCATCCCTTTTGTGTTACTAGGCTTCACAGTAGCATGTCCTCTTTTTCTTTGTTGCCATTTCTTTACTTTTCTTCTCGCCTCCCTAAAAACACCTCTGAATGTGATGTCATGAGTTTGTACTATGCGCTCCTGATTTTTGCTGCTTAATCCAGTGTGCTGTGGAGGATTGAACCTCTTATGATGGAGTTCCCCTCTTTAACTCTAGTAATGCTTCTTGCCTTAAAGTCTGCTTTGTCTAATATCAGTATAGCTATGCCAGTTTTCTTTTTGTTCGTGTTTGAATGGCATCTTTTTCTGTCTTTTTTATTTTCAACCTTTCTTTATTCTTGATGTCTTGGTTATGTCTGAACAGGTTTTCATCCACATCTTAAAAGCACATCTTTGCTTTTAACTTGCATTTAGTTTCATTCACAGTTTCATTTAATGTATTTATTGATATATCTGTATTTAGATCTAACTCAGAGATTTCTATTTGACCCACCTGTTCTGTGTGGGTTTGTTTTGTTAGTCCTTTTGATCTTCCTTTGCATTGATTTAGTATTTATTGTTATTCTTCCCTCTTCCTTAGCTTGGTAATTGTGTGCTATTTGGAAAAAATACTATTCTCTGAGTAGTTATCCTAGAGATAACAATTTACTTCCTTTATTTATTTATTATTTATTTATTTATTTATTTATTTATTTATTTATTTTGAGACGGAGTCTCGCTCTGTCGCCCAGGCTGGAGTGCAATGGCGCGATCTTGGCTCACTGCAAGCTCCGCCTCCTGGGTTCACGCCATTCTCCTGCCTCAGCCTCCCGAGTAGCTGGGATTATAGGCGCCCACCACCACGCCTGGCTAATTTTTTGTATTTTTAGTAGAGACAGGGTTTCGCCATGTTAGCCAGGATGGTCTTGATCCCCTGATCTCCTGATCCACCCACCTCGGCCTCCCAAAGTGCTGAGATTACAGGCGTGAGCCACAGCGCCTGGCCAACTTCCTTAATTTATTAATCTCATGTTGACTTGGCTTCTCAAGAAGGCTTAAGAATCCTAAAGGGAAGCTGGGTGCGGTGGCTCACGCCTGTAATCCCAGCAGTTTGGGAGGCCGAGGCAGGCGGATCATGAAGTCAGGAGATCGAGACCATCCTGGCTAACACGGTGAAACCCCATCTCTACTAAAAAAAATACAAAACATTAGCTGGGCATGGTGGCGGGCACCTGTAGTCCCAGCTACTTGGGAGGCTGAGGCGGGTGGATCATGAGGTGAGGAGATCGAGACCATCCTGGCTAACATGGTGAAACCCCATCTCTACTAAAAAAAATACAAAACATTAGCTGGGCATGGTGGCGGGCACCTGTAGTCCCAGCTACTTGGGAGGCTGAGGCAGGAGAATGACATGAACCTGGGAGGCGGAGCTTGCAGTGAGCTGAAATTGCGCCACTGCACTCCAGCCTGGGCGACAGAGGGAGACTCCGTCTCACATAAATAAATAAATAATAAAATAAGGCTGTGCATGGTGGCTCACGGCTGTAATCCCAGCACTGTGGGAGGCCGAAGTGGGCGGATCACCTGACGTCAGGAGTTCAAGACCAGCCTGGCCAACATGGTGAAACCCTACCTCTACAAAAAATATACAAAAATTAGCTGGGCGTGGTGCCACCCACCTGTAATCCCAGCTACTTGGGAGGCTTAGGCAGAGAATCTCTTGAACCCAGGAGGCAGAGGTTACAGTGAGCCAAGATCATGCCAACTGCACTCCAGCCTGGGCATCAGTCTAAAATAAATAAATAAATAAAATTCACACCTAGGACATCACAATAAAATAGATCGCTTGAGCCCAGGAGTTCGAGACCAGCCTGGGCAACCTGGTGAAACACTCTCTCTACAAAAAGTACAAAAATTAGCCAGGTGTGATGGTGCGTACCTATAGTCACAGCTACTTCGGAGACTGAGGTAGGAGGAACACTTGAGCCTAGGAGGTCGAGGTTCCAGTGAGCTGAGATCTTACCCCTACACTCCAGCCTGGGTGATAGGACGAGACCCTGTCTCCTCCTCAGAAAAAAAAAAAAAGCATTACTTAATCTCTTAGCCTCTTAATGGCCCCCTCTGGAATAGGCAAATAAGGGGGAAACTGTGGGGGAAAGCCCAATACCTACACTTCCCTTTTGTTTTTTCTGGAAGTCTTCCCCTTTTTCCCCAGCTGGAATGCAGTGGCACAATCATGGCTCAACTGCAGCCTTAATCCCCTGCGCTCAAGTAATCCTTAGCCTCCCAAGTAGCTGGGACTACAGGTGCATGCTACCATACACCTGGCTAATTAAAAAAGAAAAATTATTTTTGTAGAGATAAGGTGTTACTGTGTTGCCCAGGCTGGTCTGGAACTCCTCACCTCAAGGGATCCTCTTGCCTGGGCCTCCCAAAGTGTTGGGATTACGGGCGTGAACCACTGTGCCTGGCCTGAAGTTCCCTTTCTGAAGGCAGCAGTCTCTCTTGCATTCCAGGTCTATCTTGTTACTTTTTTTTTTTTTTTTTTTTTTTTGAGGCAGAGTTTCACTCGTTCCCAGGATGGAGTGCAATGGCACGATCTTGGCTCGCCGCAACCTCCACCTCCTGGATTCAAGCGATTCTCCTGCCTCAGCCTCCCGAGTAGCTGGGATTACAGGCATGCGCTACTATGCCCGGCTAATTTTGTATTTTTAGTAGAGACAGGGTTTCTCCATGTTGGTCAGGCTTGTCTCGAACTCCTGACCTCAGGTAATCTCCCCGCTTCGGCCTCCCAAAGTGCTGGGATTACAGGCATGAGCAACCGCGCCTGGCTTTTTTTTTTTTTTTAAATAGAGACAGTGTCTCACTATGTTGGCCAGGTTGGTCTTGAACTCCTGGCTTCAAGCAATCCTCTTGCCTCAGCCCCTCAAAGTGCTAGATTACAGGCATGAGCCATTGTGCCCAGTTGTTACTTTTCTGATTCCTTCAAACAGATGTTAATATTTTGTTCACTTTTTCCAGTTGTTCTGTAGTGGGAGGGGTCTGAATGACTTGGTTTCCTAGAAGGGAAGTAGGTAGTTTCTACCTTTCTGTTACGTAGTCTAGTATAATTTCTGTGTCTTTTCTTATTTCAGTATGCCTAATGATATTCTTCCCAGAGCCGCTGTGAATGACTGCATAGGTTGAACACAACAACACAGTGACCCTAATCCTTCCGATACCTTGGCTTCTTAGTTCCTTGACCTCTATTCCTGGGATCCTGTTCTCTGCCCTACCTCAGCCACCCATTCCTTTGAGTTACTGTTACCTGAAATTCATACCCTTTTATCTCTGTTTCAGACTTAGCACTCTACATCCTCCTGATCTTTCCAGCTGATGCCCTTCCAGCATCCCTGTGATCTTTGACTCCATCATGACGTCAGTTCATTGATTATACCACCTTTTCCCTTGATGTTTCTTACGCTTTTGTTCAGCTTAAATTCCAGTCATTAGAACACAACCTCTCCTCCTATTCCTTTGTCTTCTTGTTTCATTAGTTCTTTTGGCTATGCCACAACCTGTGTTTTACTCTCATTCCCCGGAAAATAGAGCATACAACAAAGCTTTTACTGGGCTAATACTTTACTTGAAGTTAGAATGAAGGGGAAAATAGAAAGTGAGACAGGAAAGGAGGGAAAGCAAATACAGAGTGCTACGTTATCCAGCAGGCTACAGCATCATAAGAACCTTAGCTGGCTGCTCAGTCATGTTGGAAATCTCTGGAGAATCATGGCACCTCTCAGAATACTTCTGGGGACAGGTTTGAGGGAGGATGGCTGAGAGATTTATTTGTTGGCTCCCTCTCATATCCTGTCTCTTACTGGTCAGAGTTGCCTGAAGGATCTTAATTATTCTATACTTTTGGGTTTGTTACTTGGCTTCTCTATGCAGCTGCTGGAAAAGCAGCTGATTTGGGGTAACAGGGCTTCTGCCACAGCAGGCACAGTGAGGACCACCAAAGCCTACCTGTTAACACTGGGGAGGTAGAGACCACTAGTGGTAGGCTGAGTTCATATGATCCTCCCAGATTGCAGGATTTTGCTTGTGCTGCTGAGCCTGCTTCAGCTGGGAAGTAGAACAGCAGGCAGGACCGAGTGGATTTTGGAAAGTGTGTATGAGCTGCATTTGTTATACCTTGTGTAATCCAACTTTTTGCCTATTCTTTGCTTGCTTTCCCATAGCTCAATGTGGCTGGAGAAACCATACTGATCACTCTGACTTCACAGTCATGATTACCAAGACCAAGAGGCTTTTATTATAGGTTATAGTCTGTTTTCCTATTCCAATTACTCTTCTAGATAGTTTAAATGTCTTACTTTAATCCTCTAATTCTCCCTGCCTTATCCTCCCTTTATTTCATTGGGGAAAAAACCTGAATCAATTAGAAGAAAACTACTCACTCCCCTTACCAGATGTGCTACCTGTCTACATCTGTGCCTGGTACTCTGCCTTCTGTAACTGCTAGCTAAGGCCAAACCCTGTGCACGTATACTAGGCTCCATGCTTTTCTACCTGTTTAAGGATAATCACTCCAGTAGTTCATCCTTTATTTGCATCATCAAATTTTTCATCTCTGTTGTATCATTCTTATCAGCGTATTAAACGGGCTATTACTTCTTGTTTAAAAACTTTTTTGCCGGGTGTGGTGGCTCACGCCCGTAATCCCAACACTTTGGGAGGCCAAGGCTGGCGGATCACCTGAGGTCAGGAGATTGAGACCAGCCTGGCCAATGTGGGGAAACCCCATCTCTACTAAAAATACAAAAATTAGCTGGGCGTGGTGGCGGGTGCCTGTAATCCCAGTTACTCAGGAGACTGAGGCAGGAGAATCGCTTGAACCCGGGAGGCAGAGGTTGCAGTGAGCTGAGATTGTGCCCCTGCACTCCAGCCTGGGCGACAGAGTGAGACTCTGTCTTAAAAAAAAAAAAAAACACACACACACACCAAAAAAACAAACTTCTTTTGGTTATTCTGATTCTGTATATTCTTTCTTTTCTCCTATTCTTTTACACATTTCATTCAGGCTTTTGCCCCCACTGCTCCTCTAGAGTTGCTCTTGAGGTGATCAATTGCTCCATGTTGCTAAATCCAGCAATCTGTTTGCAGTCTTCACCTTATTTGAAATATCTAACCCAAGAGACATATGTGTCTGTGTGTGCGTGTATATATATATGTATATAATATGTATGAAGGGTTTATATATGCATAAATTTAAAAGGGGTGTGTGTGTGTGTGTGTGTGTAAAATTGACCGACATGACTGTGAAGGCCAGGAAGTCCCAAAATCTGCAGCTGGCAATCTGGAATCCCGAGATAGCTGACAGGGTAAGTTCCAGTTCAAGTCCGAAGGCACGAGAGCCAGGTGAGCCAGTGTCTCAGCTCAAGCAGTGAGACCCAGAGGAGTTCCCTCTTAAACTCAGCCTTTTTGTTCTCTTCAGGCTTTCTGTGGGTTGTATGAGTCCCACCCACATTAAGGAGGGCAGTCTGCTTTACTCAGTCCACGGATTCAAATGTTCATTTTATCTGAAAGCACTGTCACAGATAGACCCAGAATAATGTTTGACCAAACATCTGGGCACTCTATGCTGTAGTCCAGTTGATGCATAAAATTAACCATTACAGAACCTTTTCTTCACTTGACATTTAGAACAGGATGCCAATATAGTCCCTATAAGAGCTAGTCCCTGGCTTCAGCTCCACTACCCGCTCCCCCGCTTTTCTCTCTCTCTCTCTCTTTTCTTTTTTTGTTTTTTTGGAGACTGAGTCTTGCTCTGTTGCCCAGTGACTCACTGCAACTCCAAAAAAAAAAAAAGCCTTACTAATAAAACTCTTAGCCTCTTAGTGGATCCCTCTGGAATGGGCCAATAAGGGGGAAAGCCCAATACCTGAACTTCTCAATGAAAATCCTGGGTTCAAACAATTCTTGTGCTTCAGCCTCCCGAGAGGTGGGATTACAGGCACCCACCGCCATGCCCGGCCAATTTTTGTATTTTTAGTAGAGACGGTGTTCCACCAAGTTGGCCAGGCTAGTCTCGAACTCCTGACCTCAAGTGATCCACCCACTTCGGCCTCCCAAAGTGCTGGGATTACAGGCGTGAGGCACCACGCTCGGCCTCCCCTTTTCTCTACTGCAGTCAGAGGTGCCAACTTGCTCTTTTTTTTTTTTTTTTTGAGACGGTCTCGCTCTGTCACCCAGGCTGGAGTGCAGTGGCATGATCTCTGCTCACTGCAAACTCCACCTCCTGGGCCCAAGCGATCCTCCCACCTCAGCCCCTCCCCAAGTAGCTGGGACTACAGGCGTGCGCCACCACATGCCTGGCTCATTTTTGTATTCAACACGCTGTTTCCTGACCGTAGCTGGATAGGCTTCTGTGTTGGGGGCTTTGCACTCATTCATCTGCCTGAAGTGCCTCCTTGCTGCTGGGCACCTCCTCCCCATCCACATAGCCCATGGCCTTATTCTTGCCACGTGTACTGAAATGTGACATTCTCATGAGGGTTTTCCTCATCAGTCTGTCTCAGTTTTCAGCTGCATCCCCGGCACTTCCTGTTCCCCTTCCTTGTTTTTCTTTTTTCTCATTTACTCTTATCGTCATCTAACACACTTCCTTATTTATCTTGTTTATTGTATGATTCCTTCAACTAGACGGTAAACTGTGAGGTGAGAGGAGAGCTTTTTAAAATCTTGTTGCCTTAACAGCCTCCCCCCCCCCCACCACTGCTTCTAGAATAGTGCCTGGTGCAAATTTGCCTCTCAGTAACAAGTTTTCTGTTTATTTAAAAATACGGACGGAATTTCGAAGCTTTGTGATAGAGATAAAAAAAATGGACAGGAGCTTTTCCCAGGAGGTATACAAAGTATAGGTGTCTGGCCTGGAACTCTCCACAAAGAATACCTTTATTGCTCTACAAATGCTATTTGTAGTCTAAACATGGATGAGCTGATACAATTCTGAAGGCACCTTGCAGCCTTCTCTCCTTGCTTCTAGCTCCACGTGTGTGCGAGTCTGCATATGTGAGTGTAAGGGCAGCACTGTGTTAAAGAGATTTACAAACATCTTTTTAATCCTCATAACAATCCTACACCACACATGTCATCATCCCCTTTGTACAGACCATAAAACTGATATTTAGAGAGCTTAAACGTCTTGCTTGAGGCCTCAAGTGGTAAGTGGCAGAACTCAGCTTGAAGTGACTTGACTATTATTACATTATATGTGACCTCCTAGATAAAGAGATGCCTCCTTATTTTGTGTAAGGCAGAAGTGGGGAGTCTTGGGCAGATTACTTAACCACTGCTATAGTTTGGATGTGGTTTGTCCTTAGCAAACCTCATGTTGAAATTTGATCTCCAGTGTTGGAGGTGGGCCCTAATGGAAGGTGTTTGTGCCATGGGGCTGGAACCCTCATAAATAGATTAATGCCCTCCTGGGTGAGGGGTGAGTGAGTTCTTACTCCTTTAGTTCCTACAAGAGCTGGTTGTTAAAAAGAGCTGGCGCCTCTCTCTTGCTGCTTCTCTGGCCATGTGACCTCTTCACATGCTGGCTCCCCTTCACCTTCCGCCATGTGTGGAAGCAGCCTGAGGCTTTCACCAGATGCCCCATCTTCCAGCCGGCGGAATCATGAGCCAAGTGAATTTCTTTTCTTTGTCAGTTACCCAGTGTCATGTATTCCTTTATAGGAACACTAAAGGGACTAAGACAACCCCTTTAGGTCCTAATCATATACATACTTATAGATTCAAAGTATCTGCTTAGCATGTACTCCATTCAAAGCAACTGTTCAAAGGTAAGAATCCTATCAGGGATCAGTGCAGAAATACGACACCTTACACATTTCTCAGCTTTCACCTTCCCAGAGCTTCCTCGGATTGGTCCTCCTGTTAGTTTCCTGGATCTGAAGGTAATACCTCATCCAGAAGATAAGAAGGGTAGTGGGGACTGTCACCACGAAGGAGCTTTCCTTTTCTGGTTCAAGTTATTTCCCAGCTCCACTCACCTCCGGACTGTTTCATGAAGAATTCCAGAAGTCCCCTTCTCCCTCATAGGAAAGTGCACCGAACCACTCAGATTTAATGGCTTAAAACAACTGCTGGTATTTGAGGATTTGTTCAGGTGGGCAGTTGTGGTTCTGGGCTAATGGGGGCCGGTGTCATCTGCTTGCTCCACTGTGATCTGGAACAGCTGGGCCTTTTTTCTTGGTTACTGTGTAGTCTCACGACCTCTCCTTTTCCAGTGAGGTCTGCAGTAGGACCTGATGGCTTATGCAGTGGTTCAGGGCAAACATTCCCAGAGGAAGGAAACAGAAACTGCCAGTTCTTTTTGAAGTGTAGGCCCAGAACTGGTATATCATCACTTCTGTCACATTTCCCCGATGACTTTGTGTCTCTGACCATCCCAAACTCACTGTGAGAAGTGACTGCATGGGGTGTGGGAGTAGGTCCATTGGGAGTGGACTAGTCCAGACCTTTTTTTTTTTTTTGAGACGGAGTCTTGCTGTGTCGCCTGGGCTGGAGTGCAGTGGCGCAATCTCGGCTCACGGCAAGCCTCGCCTCCCAGGTTCACGCCGTTCTCCTGCCTCAGCCTCCCGAGTAGCTGGGACTACAGGCACCCGCCACCATGCCCAGCTAATTTTTTTTTTTTTTAAGTAGAGACGGGGTTTCACCGTGTTAGCCAGGATGGTCTCGATCTCCTGACCTCATGATCCGCCTGCCTTGGCCTCCCAAAGTGCTGGGATTACAGGTGTGAGCCATCACGCCCGGCCCAGTCCAGACTATTTTTGAGAATAAAAAGGGGCCTATTAAAAATTATGTCAGGTTGACAGACATAAACTGGAACTGTCCTCACCTAGTCTGGACATGTGGGTATCATTATCATCTCTACAACTTGGAGAAAACAACACATAGGTGTGACCTTGAATCTTGAATCTGTTTTCCTGCAGTTCTCCTAATGTGAAAATGTGACTGCATTGAGTATGCATGTGATGTTTTAAATTGAATATAGCTTCTAAGCAGAACCCATCAACTCTTCTTTTCTGTTCTGTTCTTTACTTTTCTTTCTTTTTTTTCTTTTCTTTTTTTGAGACAGGGTCTCACTCTGTCGACCAGGTTGGAGTGCGGTGGCGCGATCTCGTCTCACTGCAACCTCTGCCTCCAGGGTTCAAGCGATTCTCCTGCCTTAGCCTCCCAAGTAGCTGGGACTACAGACTACAAGCGTGAGCCACCACGCCCAGCTAATTTTTTTGTATTTTTAGTAGAGACGGGGTTTCACCATGTTGGCCAGGCTGGTCTTGAACTCCTGACCTCAAGTAGTCTGCACGCCTTGGCCTCCCAAAGTGCTGGGATTACAGGCGTGAGCCACCGTGCCGAGCCACCATCAGATTTTCTTGGTGGGCACTGAATGATGACAGAAAGAGTTTAATTTAACACTGGAGGGAAAAATTGGCTTTGAATTTCCTGAGAAATAATTTCGTTTGTTGGGTTTTTTTTTTTTTTTTGAGATGGAGTCTCGCTCTGTCACCCAGGCTGGAGTGCAGTGGCATGATCTCGGCTCACTGCAAGTTGCGCATCCTGGGTTCACGCCATTCTCCTGCCTCAGCCTCTCCAAGTAGCTGGGACTACAGGCCCCCACCACCACGCCCGGCTCATTTTTTGTATTTTTAGTAGAGACGGGGTTTCAACGTGTTCTCGATGTCCTGACCTCGTGATCTGCCTGCCTCGGCCTCCCAAAGTGCTGGGATTACAAGCGCGAGCCACCGCGCCCGGCCAGTTTGTTGGTTTCTAATAGAGAGCTTTCCTGAAGGATTTTTCGTTCTTTTTTCTTTTTTCCCCCCTGCAAGGGGAATTTTTCAAGACTGATTTTGACTGCATGCTATCCTTTCCTTTCCTTTCCTTTCCTTTCCTTTCCTTTCCTTTCCTTTCCTTTCCTTTCCTTTCCTTTCCTTTTCCTTTTCCTTTTCCTTTCCTTTCCTTTTCCTTTCCTTTCCTTTCTTCTCCCCTCCCCTCCCCTCCCCTCCCCTCCCCTCCCCTCCCCTCTCCTCCCCTCTCCTCTCTCCTCTCTCGTCTCTCCTCTCCTCTTTCTTTTCTTTTTTTTGAGACAGGATCTCACTCTGTCACCTAGACTGAGTGCAGTGAAGTGATTATAGCCCCCTGCAGCCTCAAACTCCTGGGCTCAAGCAGTTCTCCCACTTCAGCCTCCTGAGTAGCTGAGACTATTTGTGCCACTACATCTGGCTAATTTTTAAATTTTTTTTACAGATGGGGGTCTCACTGTGTTGCCCAGGCTGATCTTAGACTCCTGGACACAAGCCATCCTCCTGCCTCAGCATCCCAAAAGTGCTGGGATTACAGGCATAAGCCACTGTGCCTGGCCAGCTGTTTTCAACCTATATGCTGACCTGGATCTAATCCTCTCATAAGATAAAATTTCACTCTGCTGATTAATCAGATCATTTTAAAGGTCTCATCTAGCTCTAAGAGACTCTAATAATCCAATAGAAAGTGGTTACAAACACCGAAAGTACAATTGGGAAGATATAATAAAGGCTTTCACAGTTCATATGTGATCTGGGGTCAGATGGGATTCAGGAAACTCCATACTTTGTGTTTTTCTAATATTAAAAAAATTTTTATATAGAGATGGGGTCTTGCCATATTATATTGCCCAGGATACTGTTGAACTCCCAGGCTCAACTGATTGTCCCTCCTTGGCCTCTTAAAGTGCTAGGATTACAGGCTTGAGCCACCATGCTTGGCTACCCCATAATTTGAAGGAGAGTTAGTTGCAATTAAAAATGGAGGTTTTTTTTTCTTTTCTCTTTGAGACGGAGTTTTGCTCTGTCACCCAGGCTAGACTACAATGGCATGATCTCAGCTTACAGCAACTTCTGCCTCCCGCATTGAAGCGATTCTCCTGTCTCAGCCTTCTTAGTAGCTGGAATTACAGGCGTTCGCCAACACGCCCGGCTAACTTTGTATTTTTAGTAGAGACAGGGTTTCACCATGTTGGCCAGGCTGGTCTCGAACTCCTGACCTCAGGTGATCCACCCACCTCAGCCTCCCCAAGTGCTGGGATTACAGGCATGAGCCACCGTACCCAGTCCTGGAGTTTGTTCTTAACAGAATATCAAATCTTGAGAAGTTGACTATAAAAGAAAATTCTAAAATTAAAAATTCTATTCTCTGTATAATACATAGAAGGTAGATTTTTGAGGTATGACATTTAAGATGTGAGGTGCCTCTAAAATGTACACATACATGCTTGTGTACTCCACGTAATTGTGCCTCAAGGAGGTAGGGTGAGGCTTTCTGTCTTTCCTGAAACATGTTACTCTTGTTCAGTGCTTGGAAAAAGGATGTGGTTAGATGGAGTACTGGCTTGATACAATTCTCTGTCTTGCCCAGGGTTGAGGGTGGTGTCAATGAAAATTCTCAATTTGAATGCCATGTAATAGGCTCCTTATTAATCCTGACTACAGTATAAAAAACAGGCTGGGCTTCATGGCTCACACCTGTAATCCCAGTGCTTTGGTTGGCCGAGGCAGGAGGGTCACTGGAGGCCAGGATTTCAAGGCTTCAGTGAGCTATATGATTATGCCACTGCACTCCATCCTGGGTGACAGAGCAAAACCCTGTCTCAAAAACCAACCAACCAACCAACCCGCAAAACCAAAACAGATCTCTCCAAGCTTCGGCAGATTTGAGTAATTATGTGATCTCTTCTTGACTGAACAAGTCACTTGTCAGATGAATATCTGGTTCCCACTATCTAGGGACAGAAGGTTCCCACTAACATTGATTTCAGGTAATGCATAACAAATAAATACTAAGTTTTTTGACATCTTTCCACAACATGTTTATATTACGTGTGTGTGTGTATGTATGTGTGTGTGTATGTGTGTATATATATATATATGTATATATATATACACACACACGTACATACATATATATATGTGTGTATATATATATATTTTTTGGGACAGAGTCTTGCTCTATCGCTCAGGCTGGAGTGCAGTGGCGCGATCTCGACTCACGACAACCTCTACCTCCCAGGTTCAAGTGATTCTCCTGCCTCAGCCTCCTGAGTAGCTGGAATTACAGGCACGTGCCACCATGCCTGGCTAATTTTTGTATTTTTTTTTTTTTTTAAGTACAGAAGGGGTTTCACCACGTTGGTCAGGCTGGTCTCAAACTCCTGACCTCAGGTGATCCGCCCACCTCGGCCTCCCAAAGTGATAGGATTACAGGTGTGAGCCACCATGCCTGGCCTTTTTTTAAAGAGATGGAGTCTGGCTGTGTTGGCCTGGTTGGTCTTGAACTCCTGGCCTCAAGCAGTCCTCCTGCCTTGGCCTCCTAAAGTGCTAGGATTACAGGCATGAGCCATTGCACCCAGTCCAATGTTTCCTAGTTTTTCTTATGCAAACTTTTAAATTCTTCTCAGTATATATGTCTAAAATCTTCTGTTACAAAAAAATACTGAAGCTGCTGCACACGGCGGCTCATGCCTATAATCCCAGCACTTTGGGCGGCCCAGGCGGGTGGATCACTTGAGGTCAGGAGTTTGAGACCAGCCTGGCCACCATGGTGAAAACCCATCTCTACTAAAAATACAAAAAGTAGCCGGGTGTCATGGCAGGTGCCTGTATTCCCAGCTACTCGGGAGGCTGAGGTGGGAGAACTGCTTGAACCCAGGAGGCGGAGGTTGCAGTGAGCTGAGATCACTCCACTGCACTCCAGTCTGGGTGACAGAGTGAGACTTTGTCTCAAAAAAGAAATGGAAGCAATGTATATTTATTAAAATATGTATATACATATACAGAAATGAGCTAAAAGTAGCTATATTATTATTAAAATTGTATGCAATAATGATTGCATAGCATGTTGGTATGAATATGACCATAATTTGACGCAAGTTGACACATTTTTTTTTCTAATATTCTGTATTACAACTAATCTGCATGGATTGTTTTTCTGCATGTAATCTCTGCTTACTTGGTTTAACTTTTTGGTCGAGTCCTGGAAGTGGAATTGGTGAATTAAAAATTTAGATATAAACTCCCAAATTGAGCCAGGCGTGGTGTCATGCACCTGTAGTCCTAGCTGCTAAGGTGGGAAGATCACTTATGCCCAGCAATTGCAGTGGGCTATGATTGAGCCATTGCACTCCAGCCTTGGTAATGCAGTGAGAAACATAAAAGTTTCTCCCTCCCTCCCTCCCTTCTGACAGAGAGTCTCACTCTGTCGCCCAGGCTGGAGTGTAGTGTCACCACTGCAACCTCCGCCTCCCAGGTTCACGCCATTCTCCCACCTCAGCCTCCTGAGTAGTTGGGACTACAGGCACCTGCCACCACACCCGGCTAATTTTTTGTTTTTGTATTTTTAGTAGAGATGGGGTTTCACCGTGTTAGCCAGGATGGTCTTGATCTCCTGACCTCGTGATCTGCCCGCCTTGGCCTCCCAAAGTGCTGTGATGATAGGCGTGAGCAACCACACCCGGCAGTGAGAAACTGTTTCTAAAAAAAATTTTTTTTAACGTAGAAATCTTTTCCTTTTTTTGAGATGGAGTTTTGCTCTTGTCGCCCAGGCTGGAGTGCAGTGGCGTGATCTTGGCGCACTGCAACCTCTGCCTCCTGGGTTCAAGCGATTCTCCTGCCTCAGCCTCCCAAGTAGCTGGGATTACAGGTGCCTGCCACCACACCCCGCTAACTTTTTGTATTTGTTTACTAGAGATAGGGTTTCACTATGTTGGCCAGGCTGGTCTCGAACTTCTGACCTCAGGCTATTTCTTCCCCCAGGGCCTCCCAAAGTGCTGAGAATACAGGTGTGAGCCACTGCGCCTGGCCATAGAAATCTTTTCATATGTTTGTAGATCATTCTTCTTTGAGTATTCTCTATTTTTTACCTTCACCCGTTTTACTGAGTTTCTTATTGGTTTATAAGAATTTTTTTTGCTGGGTGCAGTGGCTCACACCTGTAATCCCAGCCCTTTTTGGGGCCGAGGCAGGCGGATCACCTGAGGTCAGGAGTTCGAGACCAGCCTGGCCAACATGGTGAAACCCCCGTCTCTACTACAAATACAAAAATTAGCTGGGCATGGTGGTGCACGCCTGTAATCCCAGCTATTTGGAAGACTGAGGCATGTGGATCACTTGAACCCGGGAGGTGGAGGTTGCAGTGAGCTGAGATCGCACCATTGCACTCCAGCCTGGGTGACAAGAGTGAAACTCTGTTTCAAAAAAACAAAACAAAACAAAACAAAACTCTTTGCATATTGAAGGAACTTACTAGCAAGCCTTTTGACATAGACTTTGTAAATGTTTTTCTTTTGATGATTATATATATGGTTAGTTTGGCTGTGTACAAGTTTTTTTTGTTTGTTTGTTTGTTTTTTTATTTTTTTTTTTTTGAGACGGAGTCTTACTCTGTCGCCCAGGCTGGAGTGCAGTGGCACAATCTCGGCTCACGGCAACCTCCGCCTCCTGTGTTCAAGCGATTCTCCTGCCTCAGCCTCCCGAGTAGTTGGGATTACAGGCGCCCGCCACCATGCCCAGCTAATTTTTGTATTTTTAGTAGAGACGGGGTTTTACTATGTTGGTGAGGCTGGTCTCGAACCTCCTGACCTCAGTTGATCTACCTGCCTTGGCCTCCCAAAGTGCTGGGATTACAGACTTGAGCCACTGCACCTGGCCGCATATATATATTTTATTTTTTTATTTAAAAAAATGTTTCTGAGACAGGATCTCACTATGTTGCTGAGGCTGGAGTTCAGTGGTGTGATCATGGCCCACCGCAGCCTTGGCCTCCTGGGCTTAGGTGATCCTCCCATCTCAGCCTCCCAAGTAGCTAGGACCACAGGCACCATCGTGCTTGGCTAATGTTTAGTATTTTTTTGTAGAGTCGAGATTTTTGCCATGTTGCCCAGGTAGTCTCGAACTTAGGAGTTCAAAACGATTTGCCTGCCTTGGCCTCTTCAAGTGCTGAGATTACAGGCTTGAGTCACCTCACATGGCTGCAAAGCGATTTTTTTTGAGACACATTTAGTTTTTTCGGTGATGTCAGTAATTTTACAATTAAAGAAAAAGTTATCTGAACAAAGGGAGAGTGCCCTTAAATTGCTAAGAGGGAGCATTGCTTTGTTTTTTTCTAGTTTCGTTGTGTCTTACAGTGTTCAAACACTGTACTGGAAGTAAATAATTAAGTTTAAAATAATTTTCTTCTCCAGTGTTTGATTATCCATTTCTTTTTGTTCCAATTTCTGTATCTGAAAAACAATATTGGCTTCAAAAACGAACAAAAAAAAATTTAACTTCCCCCAGATTGCAGATTTACCATGTAAATGTGTTTCCACCCTGTTTTCAAGCTAATGTGACAAATTTGCTACATTATAAAGAACAGAAACCTGTGTACAGATTTTGGGGATAGCACACATAAAATAGTCCAAGGACATTATCAACTCAGGTGCAGAAGTTCTTGCTGAAGTTCTATTAACAATTGTGTTTAAAAACACCAGATGGGAGCAGATTTAAAGAGGGAGATTCTAATGGAAGGTTAGTTGGGATTTGTAGGGAAGAGAGAGAAGGATTTTAATTGAAAAGATACTAGACCGTATTCTTACCTTTATAGCGTTGTCTTCTTTTCTTTCTTTTCTTTTTTTTTGAGTCATATTTTCGTTCTTGTCACCCAGGCTAGAGTGCAGTGGTGTGATCTCGGCTCACTGCAACCTCAGCCTCCCGAGTAGCTGGAATTACAGGCCCCTGCCACCATGCCCAGCTCATTTTTGTATTTTCAGTAGAGATGGGGTTTTGCCATGTTGGCCAGGCTGGTCTCGAACTCCTGACTTCAAGTGAGCTACTGGCCTTGGTCTTCTCAAAGGTTGGGATTACAGGTGTGAGCCACCTCGCCTGGCCTATAGTAGTGTTTTTTTTTCTTTTCTTTTCTTTTTTTCTTGAGACGGAGTCTTGCTATGTTGTCCAGGCTGGAGTGCAGTGGCACAATCTTGGCTTACTGCAACCTCTGCCTCCCTGGTTCAAGCAATTCTGCTGTCTCAGTGAGTAGCTGAGATTACAGGTGCGAACCACCACATCCGGGTAATGTTTGTATTTTTAGTGGAGACGGGGTTTCGCCATGCTGGCCAGGCTGATCTCTAACTCCTGATGTCAGGTGCTCCGCCTGCCTCAGCCTCTGAAAGTGCTGGGATTGCAGGCGTGAACTACTGTGCCCAGCCTAGTAGTATTTTCTATCCAAGTTTTGGATGTAATTCTCTTGGGATTTTTTTCCTAATTTGTACAGCTACCACTGTACTGTTCATGACTGTATCCATGGGAACATAAGTAGGATGACATAAGTTTATAACTTGTTGCTAGGCAGATCTAGCTTGTAATGTATTAAGATTTTCCCATTAAAAAGCATTTGGATGGTTTTCTTTTGTGCGGTGAAGGTAACTAAACAGCGTAATTTGGAATTAAAACTGTGAAGTTGTATAAATTCCTTCTAGGAGAACCAACTACTCTTTGTTTTCTTTCTTTCTTTTTTTTTTTTTTTTTTGAGACAAGATCTCTTTTTGTCACCCAGGCTGGACTACAGTGACATGATCAGGTTTCACTGCAGCCTGGACCTCCTGGACACAAATGATCCTCCTACCTCAGCCTTCTCCTCCCCTTTACCAGCTCCTCCCCTTCCCTTCCCCAGCTCTCCCCCTCCAGTAGCTGGGAATACATGTATGCATCAGCATGTCTGGCTAATTAATTTATTTTTTAATTTTTATTTATTTATTTATTTATTTATTTATTTATTTATTTATTTATTTATTTATTGAGATGGAGTCTCGCTCTGTTGTCCAGGCTGGAGTGCAATGGCGTGATCTTGGCTCTTTGTATCTTCCTCCTCCTGGGTTCAAGAGATTCTCCTGCCTCAGCCTCCCTAGTAGCTGGGATTACAGGCACCTGCCATTATGCCTGGCTGATTTTTGTAGTTTTGTGGAGATGCAGTTTCACCATGTTGGCCGGGCTGGTCTTGAACTCCCAGCCTCAGAAGATCTGCCCACCTCAGCCTCCCAAAGTGCTGGGGTTACAGGTGTGACACTGAGCTCAGCCTATTCATTCATTCATTCATTCATTCATTCATTCATGAGACGGAGTCTCGCTCTGTCCCCAGGCTGGAGTGCAATGGCATGACCTCGGCTCACTGCAACCTCCGCCTCCTGGGTTCAAGTGATTCTCTGCCTCAGCCTCATGAGCAGCTGGGATTACAGGCATCTGCCACCACACCCGGCTAATTTTGTGTTTTTAGTAGAGATGGCGTTTCACCATGTTAGTCAGGCTGGTCTTGAATTCCCAACCTCAGGTGATCCGCCTGCCTCAGCTTCCCAGAGTGCTGGGATGACAGGCGTGAGCCGCCACACCCAGCCATATATATATGTATTTTTTATTTGAGTTTGCGTTTTGCCGTGTTGCCCAGGCTGGTCTTGAACTCCGGAATTTCAGATCGCCCACCTCAGCCTCCTAAAGTGCTGGGAGCCGCTGTGCCCAGCCTAGTCATGTTTTTAATTAATTGAATGTCTGAAATGGAAGATAATGAGTTAAAATAATTGTGTCTTAAGCCTGTCCTCTTCAGCTAAAACAGTCAGTATTTAGATATGTATGAACGAGATGTGAACACTTGATCCATCCTAAAGTACATAGCAGATTTCAAGATGATGACAGGTATCTTGGGTAGTTCTTCCGACTCTCAAAGACTTGGTGGACTAACCAAGAAAACCTCATGGAGATCGAGACACCTGTCTTGTATTTTGGTTGCAATTTTTTAAAATTAATTTTTAAAAAATGTAATATTAGTGTAAAATAACTAAATTTCAAAAAAGTTTAGAATGAGATGTAATTGAGGTCACATAGCTCTTTTCTGCAGAGGCTATCACACTTAACACCTTATCTGATTGTAATTTAAAGAATTTTTTGAGGCTGGACACGTTGGCTCACGCCTGTAATTCCAGCATTTTGGGAGACTGAGGTAGGAGGGACACTTGAGCCCAGCCTGGGCAACATAGTGAAACCCCGTCTTACAGAAAATTAAAAAATTAGCTGGCTGTCGTAGTGTGCACCTCTGGTTCCAGGTACTTTGGAGTCTGAAGTGGGAGGATCACTTGAGCCAGGGAGGTTGAGGCTGCAGTGAACTGCCATTGCACTCCAGCCTGGGTGACAGAGCAAGATCCCTGTCTCAGAAGAAAAACAGAAAAGAGGCTGGGTGTGGTGGCTCACGCCTGTAATCCCAGCACTTTGGGAGGCTGAGGCAGGTGGATCACGAGGTCAGGAGATCGAGACCGTCCTGGCCAACATGTTGAAACCCCATCTCTACTAAAAATACAAAAAAAATTAGCTGGGCTTGGTGGCGCGTGCCTGTGGTCCCAGCTACTTGGAAGGCTGAGGCAAGAGAATTGCTTGAACCCGGAAGGTGGAGGTTGCAGTGACCCGAAATTGCACCACTGCACTCCAGCCTTGCGGCAGAGTGAGACTCGGCCTTAAAAAAAAAGAAAACCAGAAAAGAATTATGTAAGCAGTTATTCAATAATAAATAATATTTATGCAGCTGGGCACAGTGGTTCACACCTGTAGTCCTAGCACTTTTGGAGGCTGAGGCGGGTGGATCACTTGAGCCCAGGAGTTCGGGACCAACCTGGGCAACATGGCAAAACCCCATCTCTACAAAAAGTACAAAAATTAGCCGGTTATGGTGGTGTTCTCCTTTAGTCCCAGCTATTCAGGAAGCTGAGGTGGGCGGATCACTTGTGCCCAGGAGGTTGAGGCTGCAGTGAGCCAAGATGTCGCCACTGCACTCCAGTCCCAACAACAGAGTGAGACCCTGTCTCAATTAAAAAAAAAATAATAATATTTATGCCGTTTTTTTGTACCAGCTACTATGATAGGTGCTTTATAGGACAATTTGGGGAAGTAATTGCTGTTAACTCCATTTTACTCATATAAG